>NT_167249.2:941944-1541944 GCF_000001405.40 Homo sapiens | reverse complement strand
AGGCTGGAGTGCAGTGGCACAATCTCGGCTCACTGCAAACTCCGCCTCCCGGGTTCACGCCATTCTCCTGACTCAGCCTCCGGAGTAGCTGGGACTACAGGCACCCACCACCACACCCGGCTTCATTTTTGTATTTTTTAGTAGAGACGCGGTTTCACTGTGTTAGCCAGGATGGTCTCGATCTCCTGACCTCATGATCTGCCTGCCTTGGCCTCCCAAAGTGCTGGGATTACAGGTGTGAACCACTGTGCCCGGCCTGCAGTTTCAATTTATAAGGACAAATGCTTCCCCTTCATGTCTTTCATTCGAGTTCTAGACTATCCTCTTCAGAAACCTTTCTTGATTTATAGACAGATAAAAATCTGTTAAGAATCCCATTGTCTATTCAGTTAAGGCTCAAATTTCAGCCTGCTTTGGAAGGCCTCAACTCAGTTGGCCCCATCATACTTTTCACTTCTCCCTCACTTAATCTGACTCTTCCAGAAAGGTAGCTACCTTCATTCTATGTCCCCTTCTTATCAGTCTTCCTACTCCTATCTTCCCCAGCACCTATGCCCACCTGCCAACACATATACCAAGTTTATTATTACATTCATTTATCTAATTGTAACTAGTGTGTCCCCACCCCCTACCAAGTGGAATGTTTAGCTCCTTTCTGACAATCTAAATCTTACTTAGCTGGGCGTGGTGATGGGTGCCTGTAGTCCCAGCTACTCAGGAGGCTGAGGCAGGAGAATCACTTGAACCCAGGAGGTGAAGGTTGCAGTGAGTTGAGATCGCGCCACTGCACTCCAGCCTGGGTGACAGAGGGAGATGCCATCTCAAATAAATAAATAAATATAAAATAAAATAAATCTTTACGTTTCCTTCAAGGCCAACATCAAAAGCCTCTTCTTTGAAGGCTTCTCTGACTAAACACTAGCTGTTTCCAGAATTCTTGTGGCATCCAATCTGACTGGAAGATTTAACATCAGATTATTTGTTGTAATTATAAATGTACAGATCTTAATATTCCATTATATGGTCTGTGCATATTATAGACCCCTGCCCACTGCACTTTGGGGCTTAAAACCTATTGGTTGGCTAATTCAGTTATTAAAGAATTCAGTAAATGAGAATAACACCTTGTCTCTCTTGACTCTTGGTCCAAATCTCTTGCAAATAGGCCACACCGTAGTCATAGAGCAAGAGGACTCAGATACAGTTTGGTTGGTCCTTTACCTTCAAAAGTTCAAGTGCTGGCTGCCGAGACTTCTCCAACTCAGTGATCAGGGTCCCAAGCTGGACCACCTCCTCAGAACCCTTGATGACACGGCTGTTCCTCCTTTTGGTGAGTTCTTGCTCTAGCCCTACCAGCTGCTCCAACAGGTACTGTTCCCTTTCTCTCAAAAACCGATGGCCCTATTCAAACACTGATACAATGTCTTGCCTGTGGTTCTGAAATGTTGTCTCCAGTAAATGCAGAAAGAGAAAAGTGACCTTTTTGAGAGGCTAGGGAACACCAGAACATGTGTGAGATCTTCTGAGGATGAGTTCAGAACAGAAATCTCTTTGATCACTCTCCCCCTCCCCATTCCTCAATACTTCCCCCACACACATACCCCTTCCTCTCCTTAACCTATGCCCCGCTACTACCTACACACACACCCCTGCCCTACACACATACACACATTCATACAGAACATTTACTAGAGACCTCTCTTACCACCAGGGCCTGAATCTCATCTTCTCCCATAGATTGAGAATTCTGAATGCTATCCCTGTATCCCTTCAGAATCTTCCGATGGTTTAGAATTTTGCCCTATGAAAATAAACAAGGATAGTCTCGGGCTGGGCGTGGTGGCTCATGCCTGTAATCCCAGTACTTTGGGAGGTCGAGGCAGGTGGATTACCTGAGGTCAGGAGTTAAAGACCAGCCTGGCCAACATGGTGAAACCCTGTCTCTACTAAAAAATACAAAAATTAGCTGGGCATGGTGGTGAGCACCTGTAATTCCAACTACTTGGGAGGCTGAGGCAGGAGAATCAGTTGAACCTTGGAGGCGGAGGTTGCAGTGAGTCGGGATCGCGCCACTGCACTCCAGCCTGGGCAACAAGAGCAAAACTCTGTCTCAAGAAAAGAAAAAAAAAGAAAAAGAAAAAGAAAATAAACTTGGATAGTCTCAAGATCAAGATGAAAATGACCTAAATGACAAAAGGGAGATGCAAAGTGATTCCAGAGTGAAATCCAACTGCATTTGACCATGTGTAGTTTAATAATGGTTGTGTGGAACAATTTCCATTCTAGTTAATAAGGAAGATCCATTGAGTGATACAATGGCCTAGAGCAATTTCTTAGAAGTAAGACAAAATAATATCGTATTATCATTATAACTAACAAGACTTATGGTATAGTTTCTAATTTATATTTACACTATCCTTTTCTACCAAAAATACAGACAATTAAAATTAAAATTAATTAATAAAACAAAAATAGAAGGTGGGTGCAGTGGTATGTGCCTGTAGTCCCAGCTATTTGGGAAAATAAGGGTGAAGTATCTCTTGAGCCCAAGTCTTTGAGGGCATACCTTGGCAACATAGTGAGACCCTGTCTTGTAAAAAGAAAAAAAAATAGAAACAAAAAATTAACACAAAAAGTCAAGGAAAGTATATATGCCAACTCCAAATAATAATAATAATAACTATTATTATTATTATTGTAGAGATGGGGTCTTGCTATAGCCCAGGCTGGTCTCCTGTTCTCAAGCTATCCTCCTGCCTTGGCTTCCCAAAGTGTTGGGATTACAGGCATGAGCCACCACACCTGGCAGCAACTCCAGATTATTAAGAGGATGACTAAATTGGCAGGCAAAGAGAAAAGGGAAACAATGAACTGCCTGATGTTTCTTTTTTCTTTTCTTTTCTTTTTTTTTTTTTTTTTTTTGAGACAAAGTCTCACACTGCTGCCCAGGCTGGAGTGCAATGGCACAATCTTGGCTCACTGCAAGCTCCGCTTCCTGGGTTCAAGCGATTCTCTTGCCTCAGCCTCCCGAGTAGCTGGGACTACAGGCGCCCACCACCACGCCCGGCTAATTTTTTGTATTTTTAGTAGAGACAGGATTTCACTGTGTGTACCAGGATGGTCTCGATCTCCTGACCCTGTGATCCGCCCGCCTCGGCCTCCAAAAGTGCTGGGATTACAGGCGTGAGCCACCGCACCCGACCTCAAAAATATTTTTATAACAACTGTGTACATACCACTTGAAGCTATATACTACGAGAGCTATCAGGAGTGCTGGTATTCTGTATAGCTGATAAGACTTGATCTGAACCTCAGAGATGAAACCATCAAGGCAATGTGATAGACTTACTTCCATAAAAGATATAAAACCAAACCAGCTTTATTATCCAAATGCAAAGGGTAGTACTTTACCAAGAATCTTTCATGCTAAAGAATTTGAACTGTCTTACACCTCTTAGAAATGCTATTATATTTTTTAAAAGATAAGAAGCGTTGGTGAGGATGTGGAGAAAGGGGAACCCTGATACGCTGTTGGTGGAAATGCAAACTGGTACAGCCATTATAAAAACAGTAAGAAGCTCCTCAAATAATTAAAAACAGAACTACCATATGATCCAGCAATTTCACTTCTGGGTATTTATAGCCCATATACTTCCCATGTTCTTTGCAGCACTATTCACAATAACCAAGATTTAAAAAACCCTAAATGTTCACTGATGGATGAATAAAGAAAATGTGGTATATACATACAATGCAATATTATTCAGCCTTAAAAAGAAGGAAATTCTGCCATTGGTAACAACATGGATGGACCTTGAGAACATTATGCTAAGTGAATATGCCAGATACATACTGTGCGACCTCACTTATATGTGGAATCTAAAACAGTCAAACTTACATAAACAGAGTAGAATGGTGGTTGCCAGGGACTGGTGGGGACGGGGAATGGAGGGTTGATGGTCAAAGTTACAAAGTTTCAGTTATGCAAGATAAAGAAGTTCTAGAGACCTACTATATAGCATAATGCCTATAGCTAAAAACACTGTATTGTATACTTCAAATTTACTAAAAGAATAGATCTTTGGCTAAGTGTTCTTATCACACACACAAAATAATAACAATAAAGAGGGTGTGTGGAAAGTTTGGAAAGTGATAGACGTGTTTTTGCTGTGATGATGGTTTCAGAGGTGTATACTCATCTACAAACTCATTAATTGGTATACATTAAATATGTATAGCTTTTACATGTCAATCATACCTCAATAAAGTAATGCAAAAAACCTGCACCTTATCCTGAAGGTACCATAGAACTTTCTGGCTAAAAGAACAGAGCTGGGGTCCAACACGATTCTTACCCGACGAGGCTGTGCAGCCTTTTCTAGGAGAACAGCAGCATGGTGCTTGTGTTCTCGGGACTCCAACGCATCACATACACCATCTGCTGGTCATCCTTTGAAGCATTAATGGAGCTTCTCCAGGTGTCGCCTACACAGCTTCTCTGCTTTTTGCTCAGGTGGTCTTTCCTCTCTGGGTTGTCTCTCCTCATCTACCTTCATTCTCCAAATGTTCTCCATCAGGTTGGCCATCTGCCACACATGGCAGATATTTTTTCTTAAAAGCTGGCTTGCACAGAGAACAATGTAATGGTTGCCTAGTAGATTCACAGACCTGAATGATGCAGTGGTAGCAAAAGACATGACCACAGTCAATGGTCACTGGGTCTCTCAAGTAGTCAAGACAGATGGAGAACCTCATCCTCCAGATTTCTCAGAGGGGAGGCAGCAGTTGTGATCACTATGCTCAAGTCCTGCAAAGAGTTCACTCTCAAAGTGAGAAATCACTTTCTGAGAAGACATGAAGAAAACAAAGAAGTTGTGAGTTTAATGAACATCAAAATGGAACCCATGAGAAAATAGTTTTTATGTTCAAACTGCTCCCAACCTTTTTTCTCAAAATCCAAAGTCCCTTCCAGAGCACTACTCAGAACACGTTCTGGCTTGCAGTGTTAGATGAATGTTAATTTTAGGCAGCTAGCTCTGCTGTAAGCATTTCAAAGGGTGCTCATATATGTAATTTTTTTTTCCCCGAGACGGAGTCTCGTTCTGTCGCCCAGGCTGGAGTGCAGTGGCACTATCTCGGCTCACTGCAAGCTCCACCTCCCGGGTTCACGCCATTCTCCTTCCTCAGCCTCCCAAGTAGGTGGGACTACAGGCGCCGGCCACCTTGTCCGGCTAATTTGTTGTGTTTTGAGTAGAGACGGGGTTTCACCGTGTTAGCCAGGATGGTTTCGATCTCCTGATCTCGTGATCTGCCCGCCTTGGCCTCCCAAAGTGCTGGGATTACCGGTGTGAGCCACCGCGCCCGGCCTCATATATGTAATTAAGTGGGAGTATCCTAGAAGATTTTGGACAACTAATTTTTCAATAAAGTATAAAGGATTTGTGCCCACCTCTCAGTAGATCAGCTCAGTAAAATATATTTCCTGTAAATAATTCAAAAGTAGAGAATAAGAACTAACAAAATTTGGGCCTGTATCTTAAAACTCATCTGAAAACATGAGAGCTACATATTAGAAACCACTAGGTTTTGGCCGGGCGCGGTGGCTCACGCCTGTAATCCCAGCACTTTGGGAGGCCAAGGCGGGCGGATCACAAAGTCAGGAGATCGAGACCATCCTGGCTAACACGGTGAAACCCCGTCTCTACTAAAAATACAAAAATTAGCCGGGCGTGATGGCGGGCGCCTGTAGTCCCAGGTAGTCGGGAGGCTGAGGCAGGAGAATGGCGTGAACCCGGGGGGCGGAGCTTGCAGTGAGCCGAGATTGTGCCACTGCACTCCAGCCTGGGCGACAGAGCCAGACTCCGTCACAAAAGAAGAGAAAAGAAAAGAATGCACTAGGTTCATCCACAGGTCTGTTATTCATACACTGCCTGAGAAATCTCTTCATCATGGTTTAAACTAATTTTTTCAAACATGTTTTGAAACATCACAGTAAAAAAGTCACTCATGTCCCAGTCTAATATACATGCATATGCACACACAGACACACACACACACACATTTTGTTGGGTACCATTTTTCTTTATTATTTGTAATATATTCTGATTTTTAAATTACAGTCCATTTTAAAAATGCTGGTTATAACCTGCAAAATTGGTTTCATGACAGTAGGTATCACCTACATTTTGAAAAACAAATCAAACCACAACTTTATCACTAACAGTGACCTCTACCTACAGATGCAAACTCTGGGGAGCTACCAAGGCCTACTGAACCACCACTTGAATCTTGCACCTTAAACTCACACATCAAAATCCACTATCTCTCTCATTCTTCCTATTCCTCAGGAACACGTACCAATAGCCACCCCATTATCCAAGCCATTACAGACAACAGTAAGGAGGCTTCTCAAAAAATTAAAAGTAGAACTACTATATGATCCATCAATCTCACTAATGGATATATATCCAAAGGAAATGAAATTGGTACGTCAAAGAGATACATGCACTCCCATGTTCACTGCAGCGCTATTCACAATAGCCAAGATATGAAATTAACCAAAGTGGCCATCAAAGAATGAATAGATTTTTAAAAATGTGGCGTATGTACACAATGGAATACTTTTCAGCCATAAAAAGAATGAAATTCTGTCATTTGTAACAACATGAATGAACCAAGAGGACATTATATTAAGTAAGCCAAGCAATGAAGAACAAATGGCACATGATTTCACTCATATGTGGAACTGCAAAAGCTGATCTCATAGAAGGGAAGAGGAGAATAGCGGTTACCAGAGACCGAGAAGGAGAGGGAGAAGTGAGGATGTACACTCAAGTGAGAATGTACACTGAAAACTATAAAAAATTGCTGAAATTGAAGATCTAAATAAATGGAAAGACATCTTGTGTTGATGGGTAGAAAGACTTAAAATTGTTAAGTTGTCAATAATATCCAAAGTGATCTACAGACTCAATTAATCTCTATCAAAATTTCAACAGCCTTTTAAACAGATATGGAAAAGCAGGTCCTTGAATTCATATGGAAATGTTCACAAAAAAACAACAGTGTTTGTAGGAAAAACAGAGTTTTGATAGGCAACTCAAAATCTATTCATCTTCATACTCATAACACTAACAAAGCAATAACAATTCGAATAAAAATACTAGCATAGTTTTTAAAAAGAAAAAAAAAAGACTTGTTAAACTCTAAATAGATGAAAGACTTTTTAAAGGGGGAACTAGGCTGAGGGGTGGCTCATGCCTGTAATCCCAACACTTTGGGAGGCCGAGGTGGGCAGATCACTATGTCCAGAGATCGAGACCATCCTGGCCAAGATGGTGAAACCCCCATCTCTACTAAAAATACAAAAATTAGCTGGGCATGGTGGTGCGCGCCGGTAGTCCCAGCTGCTCGGGAGACTGAGGCAAGAGAATCGCTTGAACCTGGGAGGCAGAGGTTGCAGTGAGCCGAGATCTCACCACTGCACTCCAGCCTGGTGACAGAGCAAGACTCCATCTCAAAAAAATTAAAAAAAGGAGGCCAGGTGCAGTGTCTCATGCCTGTAATCCCAGCACTTTGGGAGGCCGAGGTGGGTGGATCACGATATCAGGAGATCAAGACCATCCTGCCTAAGACGGTAAAACCCCGTCTCTACTAAAAATACAAAAAATTAGCCAGGCATGGTGGCACGTGCCTGTAGTCCCAGCTACCCAGGAGGCTGAGGCAGGAGGATGGCTTGAACCCGGGAGGCGGAGGTTGGAGTGAGCCGAGATTGCACGACTGCACTCCAGCCTGGGCGACAGAGCGAGCCTCCATCTCAAAAAAAATAACAATTAAAAGAATGAAAAAATAAAATAAAATAAATAAAGGGGGAACTAAAGATACAAGGGGATAAGGAAAGATGGAAGCTGCTGCTTTATGGAGACAAGGTGGAGGGACATCACCATGAGAAGCTATAGAGGATAAGCAGTTGAAGCTTTGCACAAAATGTAGATGACAAAGATGGGTAGCTCTGGATGGTTATTTTCTGCTTGTTTGTTTTGCACCTGCTTAAAAAAAAACACCTGATTTGTTTTTTTCTGTATTGCCACCTTCCTTCTTTCATTAAGAAGCTGCTGTTATGACTCCAAATAGGACCTTGTGCCATGAAGTGCAATCTGCACTAACACATCTACAAATGCATGTCAATCACACCTAAAGTAGAAAAAGAAAGCTCTTGTGGAATTATTCTAAAGTCTAATGGATTTTTCTTCCCCACTCTTAAGGGGCATCTCAGCAACAAGTTGTTATGGAACTGTGGCAACATCTTAATATTCCCATTCTCAAAATAGTTCAGAAAAAGTGCATGAAAATTGGGGGAACTACTTAGTAAGCACTTCAGGATAGAGAATGTAGCCAAAATGAGTAAAATGGAGAAGGAGTCAACGGCATTGTGCACAGCATTGTATTCATAGCTTGCTCCCTTAAATCGTGTTTGGGACTTGGCTGCTATTTTGGTACAGCTGCTATTACTCAGTGCAGAACATTAACATATGGGGGAAATTGTATATTACACAATGCAGCTTCCACATTATGCTGACACCATTCCTCTACTTGTCCATTTACTTTAAGAGACACTTACTGATGCAAAGGAGACTGAACAGTGAAGGATCTCACTCAGAATCCTGTCCACAATCTGTCCAGTTTACACCTTACCCCAAAGAGGTAATCTCTTTTGTTAATTACCTGTGTATCTTCCAATTTTTTCATGATAATATAATAATGACTCTTCATTCCCTCTTTTTTTAACACAGAGGTAGCCTGTTATACAACGTTCTTCACCTCATTCTCTCACTTCACAATATATCTTGGAGATCTTACCAAAAGCACACAGAGACCTCCTGTGTTGTGATTAGATTTTCATTGCATAATATTCCATTGTTCGTGTGTGTGTGAGTGTTTAGTTAGTCTCAAATTGATAGGTGCATGAATTTTTCCAATCTTTTGTTAAGGCAAGCAGTATTGAATAAACTTGTACATAATATTTTTGCATGTGTATAATTATATCTGTAGAATGAGTTTCAAAAAATGAAATTGAAAGGTTTAAGGCTGTATTCACAAACAATTTTGAAAGGTATTGATTGCCTAATTGTCCTCCAAAAGGTTTGTCCCAAACTGGACTCCTATAACCAATAAATCAAAGTGCTTGTTTCTCCATAGCCTTGTCAACAGAGGGTGTTGCCAAACTTTTAACTTTTTGCCAATCTGACAGGAAAGACATGATATCTCCTGTAGTTTTTCTTCTTCCTCTGGTAAAAGCAAGGTTAAGTGTTTTTTCATGTGTTTAATAACTATTTTTGTTTCCTTTTCTGAGTTTCTTCACAGTTCCCGAGACAGAAAAAAGGAAAAAGGATTTCAGCAGACAGAATTTCAACAACAATTGTCTGTTAAAATTCTTTTTACTTTTTCTTTCAGAGATTGCTAGTCTCTTTCTTCTCAATTTTAAGGTGCATTTTAATTGCTAAAGAGGTCATTTCTTTGGATGTGATATGCATGAAAATATTTCTATAAGTTTTTCATTTGTCTTTTGATTTTTTATGATATTTTCTGCTACTCGGAACTGCTTTTTATTTTATGTAGTTCAGTTTATTAATTTTCTGTCCTATGGCTTTTACGATTTGGAGTTACAGTTAGATAGCCCTCCTCCAAAGTTAGAAAGGAATATTTCCTTTTTTTCATTGAAAACTTTGACCCATTTGGAGTTTATCATGCTATACAGTTGGAATTGTGCCCAACTTTAAATATTATTTCCCATGTAGTTATCCAGTTATCTCAAAAGCATTTATTGAATGGTCATCTATCTTTTCCACTGATCTGAGATCCCATTTTTATCATCCACTAAATTACTGTATGCTTGGGTCTATTTCTAGATTTCCTTTTATTTTTCATTGATCTGTCTGTTTATGTACCAACATCACATTCTTTTCGTTATTGAGGCTTTAGAATGTTTTCATATTTGGCAAAGCCAGTTTTTCTCAAGCTCCCCTTGTCTGAGGTTTAGTTGGTATTCTTTCTTTATTTTTCATATGAATCTTTGAATCAGTTTATCTAGTTAAAAAGAACACCTGGCTGGGCACGGTGGCTCACGCCTGTAATCCCAACACTTTGGGAGGCTGAGGAGGGAGGATCACCTGAGGTCATGAATTCGAGACCAGCTTGGTCAACATGGTGAAACCCCATCTCTACTAAAATACAAAAAATAGCTGGGGTGGTGGTGTGTGCCTGTAATCGCAGCTACTCAGGAGGCTGAGGCAGGAGAATCGCTTGAGCCCGGGAGACAGAGGTTGCAGTGAGCTGAGATTGTGCCGTTGCTCTCCAGCCTGGGCAACAAGAGTGAAACTCTGTCTCAAAAAAAAAAAAGAACACCTCTGGTATTTTTATTTTTTACAAGTTAAATTAAGATTAGCCCGGAGGGATGATAACTTTATGATGATCAATGTATGTATTCGAGAAATATTTCAGGTTTTTAAAGTATTTAAGTGTTTGTTACATATAGGTATCACACATTTCAAAGTAAGTTCATTCCAGAGTATTTTATCTTTTTGTTGATATTATAAATAGTATCTTTTCTTCTGTTATATCTTCTACCTAAATGTTGATTTGGATACATGAAAACTATTTACTTCTTCCTATAGCTATTTTATTCTGCATGTTAGGGTAGAAAACAAAACTGTAATAATGGAGAAAACTGTAAATGAGATGACTCAAACAAAATAGTTTATTTCCATCTCAACAGTCCTGGGTAGGTTTATCAAGATGGTGAGTGGTTGTACTCTATGAAGTCACTTAGGGATGCATGCTATTAGAAGTTCTTCTATCTTCAACATGTGATTACAAGATCAATTTGCTTCAACCAATGATGAAGGGTTTCAAGAAGGGCTGAAGTTCAAGGTCTCTTTAATCTGTGAGGTGACTGTTTCATTTATCACAACTTATATTCCTTTGTCAAGACCCTAGTCACATGGCTACATCTAACTGCAAAGAGGGCTAGGAAATGTGGTCCGGCCAGGTCTCAGCTATACTTTATTTGTTTGAGAGAAGGAAAATGGATTTTGTGGTCAGTTAGAAGTCATTACACAGACCAGCAATGGTCACCAATAATCCACATATACTCTACTTTTCACATTTAGAAAAAACTCACCTCACCCCCTAGGGAAATATCTCATCCAGTTATGACATCCAGCTCAAAATCCAGGATCTTTAGGTGACATGCAGTTTTCTATTGGATATACACTTGAGTCCTCATGGCCCAGTGACCCATAAAGTAATAAAATCTAAATTATCACTCTCTACCACGTAAACACAGATAATATACAATGGTGAAGTGAGAACAGGATAATGGCAAAAGAAACTCTTATTTAAAAAACAGAAACACACAATCATTGGCCCACAGCAATGATTAAATCTTACTGGGTAGGAATCCTAAATTATCCTTGCCCTCTCAATGGAGTAAGTTCCAAGCTTAGTCCATCTGACTATCACTGGTCCTCTCTGTGGGAGGAACTCCTTTGTTTGTCATCCTGACCACTGGCTTTGCTTTCTGGAAGATTCTTTCTTCTCCATTATCTACCATAGCCAATATAAGAAGAAGTGAGGAGTACTCATTTCTTAGGATTGCCCCGTACAGATTTTGCAGCCTGACTTCTGTGGTTGCAATTTGAGGGCCTATGAGTTATTTTAAGCTTAACCACAGGCTTTTTTATGTTAGGCTTTATGGCTTCCTTGGGAATATAATTTCTTCAAAAACTAAAAGGGCTTCTTGTTTATTTGTTTCATGCATCAATGACCACAACCAAAGTTCTTTTCTAGGTCTGATTCTGAAATCTTTTGTTCTAAGCTCTGTTGAATGACTCATGTCACTCTTAATTTAATGGTAACAACTTTGAGTGGGAAGAAAACTCCTTTAATCTAATTGTTTCCTTAGGCGTCTGTCCTTCTGTTTGCCTTAATACAAGGCCTTTGGGAAAAGCTTAGAGGAAGGTATTAGTTTTTTATCACTGATTTAACAAATTACCACAAACTTAGTTGCTTAAATATAAATGTATAATCTATAAATATAAATTTATGATAATATAATATATATTATATATTTATAATAGAAATTTATGAACTTACAGTTCTGTAAGTCAGAAAACCAACACTAGTTTCGCTAAGCTAAAATCAAGGTATCAGTAGGACCACATTACTTCTAGAGGCTCACAGGGAGAATCTGTGTTCTTGCCTTTTTCAGCTTCTAGAGGTTGCTGGCATTCTTTGGCTTATGGCCCTGTTTCTCCACCTTCAAAATCAGCAATATAACACATCTCTCTGACCCTTTGTCCCATCATCACATGTCTCTCTCTTACTGCAGCTGGGAAAGATCTTCTGCTTTTAATGACTCATGTGATTAAATTGGGCCCACTGGAATAATTCAGGATGATCTCCTCATCTCAAGGTCCTTAATTGCATTTGCAAAGTCCCTTTTGCCATGTACGGTAACATATTCACAGATTCTGGGGACTAGAATGTGGACATTTTGGTGGGGGGACAGTCATTATTTGGCCTAACACAAGCAACTAAAGCCATATTTCCTGTTATCTGAAATATAAAAGCATTTCTCAATCTTGTAAAGACTCACATCTCTGGACTCTATTTCCTTCAATCTCTGCTTGCAATCTGGTCATTTCTTGCCTGAGTTTGCACTTTCTTATAATATTTTGCTAAATGCAACAAGAAGCAGGCAACACTGGAAACAATCTAAATTTCCATCAACATTTGAATGAATAGACACATTGTAGTACATCCATACAATAAACTACTATATAGCAATAAAAAGGAATGGACTATTTATACACTCAACAACATAGATTAATCACAAAATAATTATGCTGGATGAAAGAATCTAGACAAAAATAGAGTACATATTATGAGTTCATTTATGTAAAATTCTAAAAAAGGAAGCCAACCTATAGTGACAGAAAGCAGACCAGTATTTGCCTGGGGATGGATTATAGGATGGGTTGAATTCAAAGGAGCAGGGAAAAGCTATGGGGGGTGACAGATATATTCATTATTTTAATTGTGGTGATGATTTCACAGGTGGATTCCTATGTCAAAACTCATCAGATTATATACTTTAAATACATGCAGTTTACTAGTTACGATAGTGAAGACGTGGAACCAACTTAACTGCCCATCAACTGTAGACTGAATAAAGAAAATGTAGTACATATACACCATGGAATACTATGCAGCCATAAAAAAGAATGAGATCGTGTCCTTTGCAGCAATATGGATGGAACTGGAGGGCCATTATCCTAAGTAAATTAATGTAGGAACAGAAAACCAAACATCACATGTTCTCACTTATAAGTGGGAGCTAAACATTGAGTATACAAGGACACCAAGAAGGGAACAATAGACATTGAGGTCTATTTGAGGATGGAGGGTGGAAGGAGGGTGAGGATCAAAAAACTACCCATCAGGTACTACGCTTATTACCTGGGTGATGAAATAATCTGTACAACAAACGCCTGTGACACACAATTTATTCATGTAACAAACCTGCATATGTACCCCTGAACCTAAAATAAAAGTTGGAGAGAAAAAAAAAGAAATCTGGAAGCAGAAACACACACAGAGCATGACGGCTCCAAAGACAACCAGGCAAAATCTGTTACTTTATCAACAAAAGTGCATTATTTTCATTCCCTGGTATTTGTTGCTAATGTAAATTTTGTTCAACAACCTGAATAGAATTAAGCAAAGCTTTGGGAATTTTTGCCAGGCAGGTACAAAAATATGTGTGCTATTTTTTTGTTCCACATCTTGAGAGAGCATGAAAAACATAAATATGTGCAGTTTATTGAATATCAGTTGGACTCAATAAAGCTATTTTTAAGGTGTACTAAAAAATAAACAAAGAGATACATTCATAGTATTGCATATGGGATTTCACTGAGACATAAGCTCATGAAGGTTGGGGCCTTTGTTTGGTTCATTACTGTATCACCAGAACCTATGATAGCACCTGGCACATATTAGAGGTTCAATATATCCCATATAACTTGTAGAAGGCAGAAGAATGTCCCTATCCCCAAGATGTCCATGTCCTAATCCCTAGAACCTGACTATATTATGTTATACGGCAAAAGAGAATTAAGGTTGCTAATCAGTTGACTTTGTAAAAAGGGAGGTTATTAGGCCGTATGAGGTCCAATCTAATCACACCAATCTTTAATAAAAGTGGAAAGAAGAAGAAGCAGAATGTAGCTCAGAGAGATAGGACATGAGATGGACATAACCAACTGTTGTTGGATTTGAATACAGAGAAAAGAGGCTATGAGCCAAGGAATTCTACAGCCCTTTGAGCTGTTAACAGCTCTGTTTAAAGCCAGTAAAAAGACAGGAACCTAGTCCTCCAACTACAAGGAATTGAGTTCTGCAAGCAACCAGAATGAACAGAAAACAAATTTTCCCCTAAAGCCTTCAAAAAGAGATGCAACCACACTAACAACTTGATTTTAGCCCATTGAGACTTGTTTCAGACCTCTGACCTACTGAGGCAAGATAAGTAAGGTTAGGAGGCCATACTAACTTGTCCCATGTGTGAAGCCCCACGGCTCCTTTTACAGTGAATTCTTTTCACTTGCACCCTCCTGCATCAGCACTGAAGTCTTTTGCAAGACAAGCAGTCCTGCAGGATTCTGCCAGGTGGTTACAAGTTCTTGATACCCTATACAGCCTGGGAAAGAGAACGAAAGCCCTTTGTTCATGATGTAGCTACCCATCTCCAGCCAATCAGCACCAAAAGCCCAAGAAGCTATTAGCTACAAATTCCTGCCTTGGTTGGGGTGGGTGGAGGTGTGACTGGGAAATTCTCCAGGGTCTTGCATACACAGCTAGGCTCAAGGTTTAGCTTATGGTGACCTTTTCCTCATTGTAATAGCAAAAAACACACCACCACGTGGGGATTTTATACGCTAATGATACATGGGATGCGTGTTAGACCAAGTAGCTCATGTGCTAACCACAGGTCTGCCTTTGCTTACTTGATCTCACCAGTATTTTATTAATATGTATGTACAGTTTCCACAAAGGAAATTCCCCTTAAGGCACTAACTACTGCCTCTAGCTTTGAGCTAGCTTTGAGCAGCCCACTCTGCCTCTCAGAGTGTACTTTCACTTTGCAATAAACTCCTTTGCCTAGTCTTATTTTGGACTCACTCTCAAATTCTTTTGTGTGGCCCAGAATCTGAATCTGGCCCACCAACGACATTGCAGAAGTGTAAGAGAATACATTCGTGTTGTTTAAACAGCTAAGTTTGTGGTAATTTGTTACAGCAGCAATAAAAACCTAATCCATAACTAAAAGAAGCTATGTTCTGGTCCCTAGAAGCACCAAAGAAGCTGCAATGTCCTCGGTCCCCAGTTTAGGGGAATGGAGTGGATGTTGAAAGCTTCTGAGGGGAGGAAGAGCCTGAAAGACATTCTCTAGGAAGGAAAGGGCAAACTGGGAGTGAGTCAGAGCTTTATGATTGACTACACTCTTTTATCATTCATAAAGACTGTCAGAGGCATTCCAACCAGAGCGACGCCATTTTGAGTGAGAGCTAGGAAAATGAGGCTGCAACTTGGCGGGGTGCATTTCCAGAAATATAGGTATTCCTAGCCTCTAGACATTTATGGTTAAGGGAATAGATTAATAATATTTACTAGGCCAGGAAAGGTGGCTCACACCTGTAATCCCAGCACTTCAGGAGGCCAAGGTGGGTGGATCACAAGGTCAGGAGTTCGAGACCTGCCTGGCCAATATCGTGAAACCCGTCTCTACTAAAAATACAAAAATTAGCTGGGTGTGGTGACATGTGCCTGTCCCGACTACTCGGGAAATGGAGGCAGAAGAATCGCTTGAACCCAGGAGGCGGAGGTTGCAGTGAGCCAAGATTGTGCCATTGCACTCTGGCCTGGGCAACAGAGGGAGACTCTGTCTCAAAAAAAAAAAAAAGTTTACTAAACTGACCCAGATTTAGCAATGTCCAGATAATCCTGACACCTGGAGAACAAAGGCACTTCTAATTTTGCTTTAAAGATAATAATATTGATTCTTGCAAAACATAGTAATTAAGGAAATTAATCCTTTATCACAAACTCTTGTAGCAGAGCACATCTTCCCATGATCTTCTTTTATCATATATATATATGATATATATATAAAGATATATATATAAGCATTGTACCTAGGGTGGACGCGTTCCTCCTCTTACTTTCTGGAATGCCCTACTCTGTCTATGGGGTAGCTCTTCTTTCACCACTGAACTTGCTTTTGCTGTGCACTCCAGCAGACTTGCCCTGAATTCTTTCTTGCACGAGATCCAAGAACCCTCTCTTGGGGTCTGGATTGGGACCTCTTTCCTGTAACAGGACCACCTTCCACAAATGGACCCAGGTTCAGTGTCCACTCTGATTCACTGTCCCATGCTGCCTTCCCTAAAGCAGGCACTTTGCCACTGGTTTCACACGTCTGGGGTGAAGAACTCTTCTTGGTTTGTCCGGAACCTTTCTGGTTTTGCGTGGAAAGTCCTGTGTCCTGGGAAACTCCACAGTCCCAGGCATCCTATACCATGCTTCATTTGCCAAAAACTGTGACCCAAAAAAATTGTGAACAATGATTTTACTGCAAAATGTTGGAAACTCTGTAGAAAGTAGTTGTATGGTATGCTGGGAAAATAGGGAATTTTTTTTGGGTATTTGATTTTGTAACACTTTTCTGATTATAAAAGCATTAAATACACATTTGGAGGTACTTGGAGAGACAAAGGAAAGCTTAAAGCAATGCTTTTCAAGCTTTGTTATGTGTAAGAATATCTTGCTTGAAATGTAGAGTCCCAGGCTGCAACGCAAGAGTGTGCATCAGGAAGAGTGGAGTGTTGCCCAGAAATCTGGAAGGTAAGAGAAAAGGCTAGCCACTAATAGTAGTTTAAATGAGTCGAGAGTCTGGTCTACATTTTGCATGTCTAATAGACATCTCAAAATTAGCATATCCAAAATCAGATCCAAATCCTCTCCCCTGGTCTGTCCCTGCCCACGCCCCTACCCTCTATCAAGTCTTTCCCATCTCAGCATCCTTCCAGTTGCTTAAGCCAAACACCTGGGCATAATCCTTGTCTCTATTGTTCCTATCACACCATACCTAATTGTGTTAATTCTATCTTCAAATGTATTCTGAACTTGACTATTTCCCACAACCCCCATCATCACTTGCCTAGTTTATTTCAATGGCCTTCTGACAGATGTTGCTACCTCCATTCTTGCTTCCTTGGTTCTATTTTCAACAGAGGAGCCAGAGAAATTAAAACATGAGTTAAAGCCTATAGTCAGAGCCTATCAGTCCTTTGTCCTTTTAGTGCCATCCATCTCACTCAAAGTAGAATCAAAGTCCTTAGAATGGGCCACATGGTCCTACCCAGCCTGGACCCGCTCACTTCTGTTGAGCTAATGTCCTGCACTTCACCTGATGACCTCATGTCCTGCACTTCACCCCTCCTTCACTCTGGTCCAGACACACTGGCATCCCTACTGCTCCTTATACTTGCTAGGCATGCTTCTGCCTCAAGGCCTTTGTGCAGACTCTTCCCGTTGCCTAGAACACATTTCTCTCAGATATTCTCAAAGCTGGCTCTCTAACCTCTTTCAGGCATTTGCTGAAATATCACTTTCTCTGTAAGGACTTCTCTAACCTCCCTATTTAAAATTGTAATATTTTCTCCCCACTCCCTGTTCCCCTTCTTGGTTTGTGTTAATTCATAGTACCTACCACCATCTAATATTACAAATTTTTTTTTTTGAGACTGAATCTTGCTCTGTCGCCCAGGCTGGAGTGCAGTGGCAGGATCTTGGCTCACTGCAACCTCTGCCTCCCAGGTTCAAGCGATTCTCCTGCCTCAGCCTCCCAAGTACCTGGGACTACAAGTGTGTGCCACCACGCTCAGCCAATTTTTTGTATTTTTAGTAGAGACAGTGTTTCACCATGTTAGCCAGGATGGTCTTGATCTCCTGACCTCGTGATCCACCCGCCTCGGCCTCCCAAAGTGCTGGGATTACAAGTGTGAGCCACTGCATCCGGAGTATTACAAATTTTTTATTACTTTGTTCGTGGTTTGCCTTCCTCCAACAGAACACAAGCTCCACTGGGATTTTTGTCTGTTTTGTCACTGCTTTATTCCCAGGACCCAGAAGAGCACTTAGCATAAAGTAGATGCTCAATGAGTATTGGTGAAGGCATGGATGGATATATAACATATGACAGAGCTTGCAGTGTAAAACAGTGGGGAAAATTAGAGGCTGTGCATTAGATGACACTGAGATAATTAGTTAACCATATGGAAAAAAGGGGAAACAAATATATATTTTGCTCTAAACACAAAAATTAATTCCAGATATATAAAGATTTACATATGAAAGGCAAATGTCTCAGTTGTTCAGGCCTCTATGACAAAAATACCATAGACTGGGTGGCTTAAATAACAACCACTTATTTCTCATAGTTCTAGAGGTAGGGGAAGTCTGAGCTCAGGGTGCACAGTCAGTTTCAGATGAATGTTCTCTTCTGGGTTGCAGACTGCTAACTTCTCATTGTGTCTTCACATGGTGGAAGAGACAAGGGAGCTCTTTGGGGTCTCTGTCATAAGGGCACAAATCCCATTCAGTAGTGCTCTGATCTCATGACCTAATCACCTCCCAAAGGCCCCACCTCCAAATACCATCACACTGAGGATTAGGTTTTAACATGTGAATTTTAGGAGGGACACAAGCATTCAGTCTATAGCAGCTAAACTGAAAAATATTTAGTCAATAATATAGATTATCTTTGTAATCTCAAGACAAGGTAGGACTTATTAAACTAGACCAAGAGTCCAAAACATAAAGATTGATACGTTTAGCTACTTTAGAATGAAAAAACAAATGCTTCTCTCTTCTCAAAAGATGACATAAAGAGAGAGAAACAACAAGCCAGAAACTCCAAGAAGATGTTTGTAACACATATAACCAACAAGGAATTAGTGTCCAGAATATACAAAAAACAAATATTTCCCATAAATCTGAAACCAACCCATTTGTCCCATAGGACTGATTATGTTTTTTTTTCTTTTAATAAACATAGAAATTTACCCTACAAGTCTTAAAACTTGAGAAACTTACATTTGTCTTATCTGAGTTCCTTTCTCAGGAAATTGACGATCAGGGCTCCCTGGTAGTATCAGGAAACTGAAACTTACCTTTCACTGCATCTGCTAAGACACCAGACCCCTCACCCTTCATGACTGCCTAACTGACCCCAGGCTGCCTGTTGACCAACTCCTCTTCCTTTCCCCTCCCTAATTCCTGTTTTCCCATATGTAGTTACCTTTCTTCCCTGCTCTATAAACCCTTAATTTTAATCTGTTGAAAAGAGGAGACAGAGTTAAGACTGATCTCCAATCTCCTCGGTTGCAACACCTGAATAAAGCCTTCTTCCCTCACAATACTTGTTGTCTCAGTGATTGGCTTACTGTGCAGTGAGCAACCTAGACCAAACCCTTGGCATTTTGGTAACAAATCCAAAAGAAAACTAAAAATAGCCAATAGAAGAAAGTATAAAAAACATAAAAGACACTATACAGAAAGAGAAATACAACTGGCCAAAAAAAAAAAAAAGGAAAAAAGAAAGAAAAGAAAAATGCTCAGCTTCATTAATAATTAGGAAAATGCACATTAAAACCAAATGCGATAACATTTCACACACATCAAAATGGCAAAAAGTCAAAAGTCTGACAATTCCAAGTGAAGTTGCAGATGTGGTTTAATGGGAATTTCATCTGCCACTAAAGGGAATGTAGATTATACAACCCCTGGGAAATAGTCTCCCCTCACAAAGTAACACTATATATACTGCAACCACATTCTAAGACTCAGAAATTTCATTACTAGTTACATATTCTAAAAAGTCTTGCAGGTATGTGCCAGGGTACATGTATGAGAATGTTCATAGCATCATTGGTCATAACAGCAAAACTATGAAGACAAACCAAGTTCTAAGAATAGTAAAATGGAGAAGAAAAAAACATGGGACTTTCAAATTTGGAATACCACACAGCAGTGAAAATGAACAAGCCAAAGCTATATGCATCAAGATGGTGAATCTCAAAAATAAAGACAAGTCACAGAAGAACACATACATTACAATTCCACGTATACAAAGTTTAAAAATAGGCAAAACTAGACAATATCCTGTTTAGGGATACATACATGTATCAAGGAAGTATAAAGAAAAGCTAGGCCTTGGCCTCTCCCTCTCCCTCTCCCCCTTTCCCTTGGATCTCCCTCTGTTGCAGAGGCTGGACTGTACTGCCGTGATCTCAGCTTGCTGCAACCTCCCTGCCTTGGGCTCCCGTGATTCTCCTGCCTTGACCTGCCGAGTGCCTGGGATTGCAGGCATGCGCTGCAATGCCTGACTGGTTTTTGTATTTTTGGTGGAGACGGAGTTTCGCCGTGTTGACCGGGCTGGTCTCCAGCTCTTGACCTCGAGTGATCTGCCCGCCTTGGCCTCCCGAGGTGCTGGGATTGCAGACGGAGTCTCGCTCACTCAGTGCTCAATGTTGCCCAGGCTGGAGTGCAGTGGCATGATCTCAGCTCGCTACAACCTCCACCTCCCAGCCGCCTGCCTTGGCCTCCGAAAGTGCTAAGATTACAGCCTCTGCCTGGCTGCCACCCCATCTAGGAAGTGGGGAGCTCCTCTGCCCGGCCGCCCCGTCTGGGATGTGAGGAGCGCCTCTGCCCGGCCGCCACTCCGTCTGGGAACTGAGGAGCGCCTCTGCCCAGCCGCCCCATCTGAGAAGTGAGGAGCGCCTCTGCCTGGCAGCTGCCCCGTCTGGGAAGTGAGGAGCATCTCTGCCTGGCCGCCCATCGTCTGGGATGTGAGGAGCGCCTCTGCCCACCCGCCCCGTCTGGGAAGTGAGGAGCGCCTCTGCCCGGCTGCCCCGTCTGGGAGGTGTACCCAACAGCTCCGAAGAGACAGCGACCATCGAGAATGGGCCATGATGACAATGGCAGTTTTGTGGAAAAGAAAAGGGGGAAATGTGGGGAAAAGAAAGAGAGATCAGATTGTTACTATGTCTGTGTAGAAAGAAGTAGACACAGGAGACTCCATTTTGTTCTGTACTGAGAAAAATTCTTCTGCCTTGGGATGCTGTTAATCTATAACCTTACCCCCGGCCCCGCGCTCTCTGAAACATGTGCTGTGTCCACTCAGGGTTAAATGGATTAAGGTCGGTGCAAGATGTGCTGTTAAACAGATGCTTGAAGGCAGCATGCTCGTTAAGAGTCATCACCACTCCCTAATCTCAAGTACCCAGGGACACAAACACTGTGGAAGGCTGCAGGGACCTCTGCCTAGGAAAGCCAGAGACCTTTGTTCACGTGTTTATCTGCTGACCTTCTCTCCACTATTATCCTATGACCCTGCCACATCCCCCTTTCCGAGAAACACCCAAGAATGATCAATAAACACTAAAAAATAAAAAATAAATAAATAAATAAATAAAAAGAAAAGCTAGGATGGCCGGTGTGGTGGCTTGTCTTTAATCCTAGAACTATGGGAGGTTGAGGCAGTAGGATTGCTTGAGGCCAGGAGTTTGAGACAAGCCTGGGCGACATAGCTAGACACCATCTCTACAAAAATAATAATAAGAAGAAAAGTTCACTGGGACCGGGCGCGGTGGCTCACACCTGTAATACCAGCACTTTGGGAGGCTGAGGTAAGTGGATCACCTGAGGTCAGGAGTTCAAGACTAGCCTGGCCAACATGGTGAAACCCCGTCTCAACTAAAAATACAAAAATATTAGCTGGGCGTGGTGGCGGGCACCTGTAATCCCAGCTACCTTGGGAGGCTGAGGCAGGAGAATTGTTTGAACCTGGAAGACGGAGGCTACAGTGAGCAGAGATCACGCCATTGCACTCCAGCCTGGGTGACAAGAGCGGAATTCTGTCTCAAAAAAAAAAAAAAAGAAAAAAGGAAAGAAAAAGAAGTGAAACCAAACGAAAAGAAAAGCTCACTAGGTGTGGTGGTATGAGCCTGTAGCTGAGGTGGGAAGATCCCTTGGGCTCGGGAGTTCACATGCTGCAGTGAGCTATAATTGTGCCACTGCACTCCAGCCTGGATGACTGACTGAAACCTAATCTCTTAAAAATAAAAATAAAAGCTGGGTGCGGTGGCTCACGCCTGTAATCCCAGCACTTTGGGAGGCTGATGGGGCGGATCACGAAGTCAGGAGATTGAGACCATCCTGGCTAACACGGTGAAACCCTGTCTCTACTAAAAATACAAAAAAATTTGCTGGGAGTGGTGGCACGTGCCTGTAGTCCCAGCTACTCAGGAGGCTGAGGCAGGAGAATCGCTTGAACCCAGGAGGCGGAGGTTGCAGTGAGCCGAGATTGCGCCACTGCACTCCAGCCTGGGTGACAGAGCGAGATTCTGTCTCAAAAAATAAAAATAAAAATAAAAGCTAGGGAATGATTATCACAAAAAAATGCAGCTCTAGCAAAGAGAGAGGGAGAGTGATCTATTGGTTAGGAGCACATAATAAAAGATATTGGAAATATTCGATTGCTTAGAGTGACAGATGATTACATAACATCCTTTATTATCTCATCAATACTTTAAAATGTGTATATGGATTATATGTACACTTTTGAATATATATTTCACAGTTTTTGATTAAAGAAGGAGAGAAAAGGAAACAGAGGGCAGGTACAGACAATATTTTCTAATTTTGCTGTAAATGTGGAGCAGGAAAATAGGAGAGTACCTGAAGCAAAAACCTTTTAAAAACTTATGTTACTGGCCAGGCGCAGTGGCTCACGCCTGTAATCCCAGCACTTTGGGAGGCCGAGGTGGGGCGGGGAGGGGGGTGGTGGATCACCTGAGGACAGGAGTTCAAGACCAGCCTGGCCAACATGGTGAAACCCCGTCTCTACTAAAAATACAAAATTAGCCGGGAGTGGTGGTGGGGGGCGCCTGCAATCCCAGCTACTGGGGAGGCTGAAGCAGGAGAATCACTTGAAACCCAGAGGCGGAGGTTGCAGTGAGCTGAGATCGTGCCATTGCTTTCCAGCCTGGGTAACAAGAGCAAAACTCTACAAAACAAAAACAAAAACAAAAAAACTTATGGTATCAAGGAGTTTGTCTTGTTTTGGTTTTTAAAGCGATATATTATAACATGTTTGTATGCTCATGAGAATAATTCAGTGAAACGGTAAAAAAAATTTGCTGAAGCAGGAGAGTAGATATTTATAGATGGTTAGTCCATTTTTGAGAAAACAAGAGAGGATGGGATCTAGCCTTGTCAGGGAGAGTAGAGACATCAAGGTGGTTCTGCTATGGCAGAACTTGCTGGAAACCCACTCTCTAGGGTGCAGGCAAAAGCTGTTCATACCAGAGACACTCCAGTATAAAACCCCTTCAGGAGGGGTGCCTAAGGAAGCTGCTCACTGCTGGGTGTTGCTGACTGTGACTGAAGTAACTGGACACTAGGTAAGTTTTGGGTGCTGCAGGAGCAGGTGCTGCTAAACCATGCACTCACTGCAGGAACCTGGCAAACAGCACACCAGAACCTGGAAGCAAAATCGTTTTTCCCTGCAATGACTCTCCAGTGCCCTCTACTGACAAAGCTTCAGGGCCAGATGGCAAAGAAAACATAATTAAAAGATTCAGGATCATTTTTGGAGCTGAGAGGCAGTAAATCCATAACTCACAAACTGGGGAATGGAGGGATCAGGCTGACAATACCTGAATCTTCCATCAAATCTACCATCACTAATAGTGGGATGAGATCATATACCTCTAAATGTGATACCATAGGTACACAGCACTGCTTTTGAAGTATTCTCCTTAAAAAATTGAACCCAGCCGGGAGCGGTGGCTTACGCCTGCAATCCCAGCACTTTGGGAGGCCGAAACGGGCGAGTCACCTGAGGTCAGGAGTTTGAGACCAGCCTGGTCCAACATTGTGAAACCCCGTTTCTACTAAAAATACAAAAATTAGCCTGGCATAGCGGCGGGCACCTGTAATCTTAGCTACTCAGGAGACTGAGGCAGAAGAATCACTTGAACCCAGGAGGCAGAGGTTGCAGTGACCCGAGATCGCGCCACTGCACTCCAGCCTGGATGACAGCGAGACTCCATCTCAAAAACAAACAAACAAAAACCCCAAATCTGATAAAGCCTTTTAAGTAAATAAAAATAAAAGCTAAGGAATGATTATCACAGAAATGCAGAGTGATGCTTACCTCTATAGCAGAGAGAGACGGACTAGTAGTATCTGGGTTAGGGACATATGGTGAAAGATATTGAAAATGTTTGATTGCTTAGAATGAGAGATGACTACATAGCATCCTTTATTATCTTATGAATCTTATCTAAGATACACAGGAAATAGAGGAACAAGTTAATTGATACCATGAGGAAGCAATCAACCAAATCCAGTACTGGGAACATTCTATGGGATAAATGAACTGGCTTCTCCAGCAAATTAATGGAATGAAAATAAGGGAAGGGTAGATTGTTATAATAAGATTAAGAGACATAATAATAAAATGCAATGTATTGCCAAAATATAATTTTTAAAAGTCAATGACAGTATCCTATACAAAGTGAGCATGTATCAAAGATGTACTAACAAGAGACTAGTAAAAAAAGAACTAGTTCAAAGAGAATTTGGAAGATTGAATATACATACACTGGACATACATCTTCTATACCTCCACTGAACAAAATTCATTGACATTGCTATTGACCAAGAATCATTTCCATTGATATCACTTTTCTACAAGTTAATGTCTACCCCTAAGGAGTACTCTAAATACCCTAAAATACTAAATCAAAGTTAAACTACCCTAGAGAATTAGATAATTTTTACGTAGGCCTATTAGAAAATGCTACAGTGTCGGCCGGGCGCGTTGTATCAAGCCTGTAATCCCAGCACTTTGGGAGGCCAAGGCAGGAGGATTGCTTGGGTCCAGAAGTTTGAGACCAGCCTGGGCAACATGGCCAGACCTTGTCTGTACAAAAAATACAAAAATTAGCCGGGCATGGTGGCACACATCTGTCCCAGCTACTCAGGAGGCTGAGGTGGGAGAATTGCATTAGCTCAGGAGGTCGAGGCTGTAGTGAGCCATGATTGCACCATTGCACTCTAGCCTGGGTGACAGAGTGAGACCCTGTTTCAAAAAAAAAAAAAAAATTTTTTTTTAAGTTGAATTTGTCATTATATATTATACAATATATTTTCACTAACTTTTGAGCTAATAGACATTTAAAAGTCACCAAATTTGGAATACAAAGTATTTTAAATGACATCCCAAGTCATATAAGAGATTGGTTCAGCCTACGCTTTCTGTTCAAAACCCAGTAGTTAATGCTATTAGCATTCAAAATGCCTTTTTTTCCTTTTAAAAAGGACAGTTAAACCTGTTATTTTTTATCCTGCAGCCAGTTCTTAGCACAAAAGCAGGCAGATTTTAGTAGCACAAAAGTTATTTATTAGCTTATGCCTCTACCAGAAAACAGAAATGTTGGCTTAAAATTGTTTCATTGATGTAACTTTTACCTTTTCCTTTACAGATATTCATTTATTCATTCTGGCCCTAATACCAAGGTATCCTTCACACAAAAGATTCAAACAGATTCTTTGCATCTTTACCAATGGGAGTTTCATGTTTTCAAGTTTTTGTTTGTTTGTTTGTTTGTTTTTTGTTTGGAGGCCTCTTTCCAAGCACTCTAGTATTCTTAAAATCCTGAGATTCTGAATGGTATGATTTAGCTCAATATGTTTATACTAAACTTAGGGGAAAAAAACTAATATATTTTCCTTACCCATCACAAGGTTTATGCTGAGACTTCAATAACAAAAAACAGACTAACAAGAGAAAAGCATGCACATTTATTTTATCCAAGTTTTACATGACATGGGAACTTTCAGAAACGAAAACCCAAAGAAATGGGGACATTTGTGTAGTTGTATAGACAGTCAGGCAGATGTATGATTGCAAGGACAAAAGTGTATGAGCTAACGGTGATAAACTGAGAAGTTGGAAAGGCCTGTCTATTCAGTTTCTTCTTGGCATACCTGTGTGGCAGTCCCTCCCTCAGGGCATAGGAGAGGATGCCTGTTATATAAGGGGCCTCAGATGAAGGAGGGAGAAGGAGGGAGCAGGTCAGAGAGTGACCTTCCTAGATTTTGTGGCCTGCTTCAGGGAAGAAGGGGCGAGGGGAACTCTAGTTTCTATGGCCTGCTTCAGGGCAGAAAGGAGCAAGAGGTCAGAGAAACCTTCCTGTTTCTGCTATTTTCTCAATTTCCAAGGTGCCATATTTTTGGGGTGGCATTTCCTGTACCCTGTCATATACAAACTCATTTTTAGACAGCGGCCTTTAGTTCCTCCTGAGGTTAAACCAGAGCTGCTCAAGGAATATACCTACTAAATCTTCTTGCTCCATTTAAGATATTTATTTCAAATGCAAATAATTATACCATACCCTTTGGCCTAGTCAGCACTGATTCACTATTTCAAAGCTTTACATTTAAGCCTCATAATAACCGTACGAAGCAGATCTAGCTACTTCCATGTTACAGAAGAAGAACCTGTGGCACACAGAGGTTGAGCAGCTGCCCCAAAGCCTCACAGAATGTGGCAGACTGGAGAATTCAACGCAGAACTCTTACCCAGCCCCATATGCTGCCTTGGCCTCCATCTGGTATGACCACAGAAATGGAGAGCTGGAGGAAGGAATTTCAACTCTGCTTCAGAACCTTAAATGAAGCAGGAAGCTGTAGAGGGGCACAAAGCTACAAAGCTGCTCCAAAGCTGTCTCCTCCAACACAAAGCAGAAATTGTGTTCCCAGCATCCATTTCTGTTACCCTTACTTGGACTTGAGAAGCTGTATCAATCAAGATGTAGTGTGGTGGGAGAGGGACTCAGTGCATGACTGATACCCAGCCAAGCAGGGCCAGGCAGCTTTAGAAATGCCCACACTGGGGAATTGAACAATGAGAACACATGGACACAAGAAGGGGAACATCACACACCAGGGGCTGTTGTGGGGTGGGGGGAGGGGGGAGGGATAGCTTTAGGAGAGATATACCTAATGCTAAATGATAACAAACCTGCACGTTGTGAACATGTACCCTAAAACTTAAAGTGTAATAATAATAAAATTTTTTTACAAAAAGAAAAAGAAATGCCCACACTGAGCTCATTTCATTTAACAAACATTTATTTACATGGAAGCCATGTGCATGGAAGACAGGTGTTGTCTCAACTCTCTTGGGGCGTACACTGAGGGGGAGGAAGATCGAAAATAAACACATTGACAAAGAAATGAACAAGGTGCTTTCAAATGGCAACAAATGCATGAAGAAAGGGAAACAGAATAATGCATGATGGGGAACTGGTTTCAACTGGGTGAGGGAGGAAGACCTTTCTGAGATGTAGACATGACTGACAAGAAGCGGGCAGCCATGCAAGGGGCTGGGGCAGGGAGTTTCAAGACCAGGTGTAAGGTGAAAGCACAGGGACCGAGGGAGAAGTGGCATGAGGGAGGTCAGAGAGTTAAGCAGAGCTGTCATGTCAGGAGCCCCAGCCCCTGCAAGAGTCTTCCATGCCCCTCTAAGTGTGCTGAGAGGATAGAGAATTTTAAGTGGGGTGGTGGATTTGTGGCTGGAGTCTGCCCAGAATGGTCTGTGAATAGGCCAAAGACCTCAGGACAGGGAGAAAACGCTTAGTGGCACAGCATTATTTTTTATTTTATTATTATTTTTTGAGACGGAGTCTCGCTCCGTCCCCAGGCTGGAGTGCAGTGGGGCGATCTCGGCTCACTGCAACCTCCGCCTCCCGGGTTCAAGCGATTCTCTTGCCTCAGCCTCCTGAGTAGCTGGGACTACAGGTGCGCGCTACCACGCCCGGCTAATTTTTGTATTTTTAGTAGAGACGGGGTTTCACCATGTTGGCCAGGATGGTCTCGATCTCTTGACCTCGTGATCCGCCCACCTCGGCCTCCCAAAGTGCTGAGATTACAGGCGTGAGCCACCGCGCTCGGCGGCAGAGCATTATTTAAGGAGCATGTTAAACACACTTTCTTCCCACACCACCAACTAAAAAAGCAGGTATCAAGAGGGTCTAGGTAGGTGCTGAGACCACCTCCAGAGCACAGGCCCGCCAGAGTTGTGCTCAGCAGGTGAGGTCTACACTCCTCTCAGCCCGGAGGGGCAGCGTGAGTTATACTGCTGGACAAAGGGGAAAAAGACAAAATGCTGGGCTGGGGTAGAAGGGAAGGACGCGGGTGTTAAATGTGGGCGTGGTTTCTTCTGAATGTCCCACCCACTCCACTATACATTGCTTAAATGCAGTGCAAATTTCCCTACCCCCAGCGGAGGAGGGGTGAAGATTCAGCAGGTTTTAGGGTCTAGGACCCTGAGCTCCTCCATTCATGAATACCCAAACAACTGTAGCCCACCCTCTCACCACTGCCTAGGCGGACGACCAGTGTCCCCAGCTAGATCTCTACCCTTAGGAGCAGGGCACTGGCTGACCCGGAGAACCTGCGCCGCCTCTTCTCAGCCTGCTGCCAGCCCAGTGCACGAGCTGAATGCCGCTGCCGCCTGGCTGGCCGGGAAAGACGGGGATCTTGACGCGGCGGCGCCTGGGACACGGCAACCGCAGCACAGGGCATGGCCCTGCGGCTGGACCGGACGCGGCGGCTGCAGGCAGAGCAGGAAGAGAGCGCAGGCTGGGCAGCGGCGTACGCTTCGGCGACGTCAGCTTCCGGGGCCGTGGACGGGGGCGCGCCCGAGCCTCCTGGAAACCTCCCCACCAAGGACCTGGGGAACCCAAGTCTCGGCCCGCTTTGTAGCCTCTGGTTTCTAAATTCAGCGTCGAGGAGCGAAAACAACCCCCCTGAACTGGGCCCAGACCCTTAAGCTCCTGGAACCTCAGTTTTTCCTTCCGTCGAATGGCGACAATGGCTGTCTGGTTGAACGTTATTTTACCTAGGAAGTAATAATTTTCGTAAATAGGTCTCTGAGAGTATTTGCTTGCTAAAATCCTGCTTTGTCCTGGAAGCAAATTTAGGCCACGTTAGGGGCGGGGACTTCGTATTTAATGTTGAGCACCTGGCGAGCGCCACCTTCGCCTCAAAGCGCCCTCGGACCCTGATCCAGCATAAGGCCAGAGTTGGGCAGTGAGGGGTCTCGAGAGGTGGAAAGGGGATTATTGCCCTCTCAAGAGTCCTACGTAGGTGACTCCTAAGCCTTAGCATTTACTCCCTTAGACCGTGTAACAGGCCACCCCAATTACGCGCCAAACTCAGGCTGCGGCTCTTGGCGCAGCCTCGGTCCCGCCTGATTTCAGTTTCCATTTCGCTGCCCCTGGTGCCCCACCGCCCGCGGCTGTCTGGGGATTAGCCCGGTGATCAGTGACGTAAAAGAGACTAAGGTTCCCATTGGACGGCGAAGTTCGGCAGGAGCCAATCCCGGGGCTGGTCCGGGAGAAATCTCGGCGAAGGGCCCCGAATAGCCGGGAGATTACGGGGCGGGGACGAGCTGTCGCGCTGGTTGCTCGTGCAGGAGCGGGACCCGGAACAGACCGCCGTGAGAGAGGAGGGGCGCCGGCCGGGATTCGCGGCCCGGAGCTCGGGACCGGTGAGTAGGGGGTGCACATGAGACATACAGCGAAGCAACAGTCTCGTACGCTCACCGGGTTTGGGGCGACCCAACGCAGCCGCCGGGCCCGGGTTCAAAACGGGGCCAGGCCCCCGGGCGGGCTCAGGAGGGGGTCAAGTTCGCTGCGTCCTCCCTGCCAGCCAGATCCCTCCTGTTTGCTTGTCCTTACATTCTCCCCCTCCTCTTGGGTCTTTCTCGCTTTCTGGTATCCTACTCAGACTCCCATCCATTCTAGTCTGCGGAACCAGAAGTAAGCGGGGCCTGGATGACCGTCCGGTTGCTTGGAGCCTGGTAGATAGGCGACTAATCCAGCTCCCTGACCAAAGTGTCATGCTTTCTTTCTCTTTCTTTCTTTTTTTTTTTTTGTTCGGAGTAAACCGGTTTAGCCACAAATACTTGGAGCTGTGCTTTCACTCCTTCCAGCTCATTAGCATTTTTCTTACTGATTTTCTCCCTATTTGGCCTTAGAAAAAAAGTGTAAATTTAACTCTGTGGAGTAAATGGGAGGGACACACTTCCAAATCTCCAGTAGATTTCAAATTTTGACCCACGATTTGTGTGTACTTCAAAAGAGGGGAGAATGACATTCGTTTATGCATGCCTTAACCTCCTGTTTTTAACTCTTAGCTGAAATCATAATCCCTAACATGTTTTTCCCCAAGTTCAAAAAAATCACCTTTAAAAAAAATAGGCTTTTTATGTTTCAAAAATTGCAATTTTATTGTTTAAGTAGACTTTATTTCTTACAACACTTTTAGATTTACAGAAGAATTGAGAAGATAGTACAAACTTCCCACATGCTCCAAACCGGGTCCCCTGTTATTAACATCTTACCTCAGTGTGGTACATTTGTTGCAGTTAACCAATATCAATACATTATTATTGACCAAAGTCCATAGTGTGTTCAGATTTCCTTAGTTTTTACCTCAGTACTTTTTCTGTTTCATGATCCCATGGAGGTTACCACATTACATTTAGTTGTCATGTCTCCTTATGCTCCTCTTGGCTGTGGGAGTTTCTCAGACTTGTTTTGATGACCTTGACAGCATTGAAGAATACTGGTCGTGTATGTTGTAGGATGCCCCTCTATTGGAATTTGATGTTTTTCTCCTAAGACTGGGCTTATGGGTAACTGGGAGGAAGACCACAGAGGTAGATTGCCATTATCATCCCATCGTATCAAGGGCATGTACTAACATGATTTATGACTTAATATTGATTTGGGTGAGATAGTGTTTTTCAGGTTTCTCCACTGTACAGTTAGTCTCTTTTCCACTCTTTGCGTGTATTGTCCTCTTTAGAAGGAAGTCACTAAGTGCAGCCCATACCTAGGGAGCCAAGAGTTATATTCCCCCTTCTTGAGGGCAAGTATCTACATATTATTGTTTGCAGTTATTCTGCATGGAAGATTTGTTTCTCTCTTCTCCCCAATTTATTAATTTATTCAATCATTAATTTCAGTGTAGACTCAGGGACATTTATTTTATACTTTGGTTTATAATCCAATACTACTTAATTTTGTTGCTCAAATTACTGTGGCTTTGGCTGTTGGGAGCTCTTTTCACATTGGCTCCTGTGCTCTTTCATAGTATTTTTATAGAGCTTTTTGCTAATGAGACACTCGTACTTATGTGACTTTGCCTCAACCTCAAATAGCCTGGTAAACTTGGCAAAATATTTTCCCCTTGTTAAGAGGTAAGGAGACTGAAGGCCTAAGGCAGTGGGTGACTTCTTAGATATCACTTCCTGCAGGGGAGTAACAGGTTGGACTCAGATTGTGTGTGACCACCACAGAAGACACTGCAAACCCCCGAAGAGAGTCCATGGTCTGTATTGAGGCTTCTTGGAATGACTTCAGACTTGGACCCCCCCAGGATCAGAATAGAAAAGACACGGAGAATGGGAAGTTGGTTTGAGAAGACAAAAACATAAATTGGCTGGCATCAGGATGAATTAGATTTTGCCAGCTTTATAGAAATGGAATTTTGTTCTTCCCCCCAAAATTGTGTGTGTGTGGAGGGAGGCCAAGAGAGATCTAGGTAATGTGTGTGGGCAAGAATGTCTAATCTAAAGAGAGCCCTGGAAGCCTGCTGCTGAAGCAGAATTTTAATGTGGGAAAGGGGGGTGTGTAGTGAAAGGGGGAAGAATGGAGATGGCAGGGCTCTGGAATTAGAGGAGGTCATTCATTTCACAAACATTTGCAGACCCCCTACTTTGTGCCAGATATTGGAGATAAAAAGGTCAGTGAGGCATGACCTTTGGGTTCACATTCTGGTGGGAGAGAAGACAGATAAAAATATCAATTACAGCCACTTATCCATAGCTTAGTTTTCCGTGGTTTCCGTTACCCATGGTCAACCTCAGCCCAAAGACAGTAAACAGAAAATTCCAGAAGTAAACAATTCATAAGTTTTAGATGTGCATTGTTCTGAGTAGCATGATGAAATCTCTTGCCCTCCCACTGTTCCTTCATCACAAGAAGGGTAAGTACAGTACAAGATAGTTTGAGAGAGAGAGAGACCACATGCATATAACTTTTATTACGGTATATTGTTATAGTTATTCTGTTGTGTTATTATTGTTAATCTATTTCTGTGCCTACTTTATAAACTTTATTACAAGTGTGTATGTGTAGGAGAAACAGGTTTCAGACATCCACTGGGGGTTTTGGAATGCATCTCCTGAGGATTGAGGGGACTCCTGTATGAATGTATCTTTAGCGGATGGGGGGTGCTACTGTATGAAGCACTGTGATAGTGCTATTGTAGAAATACAGTATATGCAAAGCTGCAGGAGGAGGGATACATTCAACTCAGAGGTGGGATGGGTACAGGAAACACCTCACAGATAAGGGGACAAATTGTATTCAAGCCTTCAAGGATGCGCTGGACTGGAGAGAAGAGCATGTACAAGGGAATGGGTGGAGAGTGGGGAGTGAAGAAGGGGCTGTCTTCCTGGTTCAGTGTATCTAATGGCCAGAGAATTAGGTAGGACGAGGAGGGATTTGGGGCTGGATGGGTAAGTTGGGGCTAGCCGGATGCAGGGCAGGGGAGGATGTCTGTGCAGTTTTTTTTTTTGTTTTGAGTCAGAGTCTCGCTCTGTCACCCAGGCTGGAGTACAGTGGCGTGATCTCAGCTCACTGCAACGTCCGCCTCCTGGGTTCAAGCGATTCTCCTGCCTCAGCCTCCCGAGTAGCTAGGACTGCAGGCGCGTGCCACCATGCCCGGCTAATTTTTGTATTTTTAGTAGAGGCTGGGTTTCACCATGTTGGCCAGGATGGTCTCGATCTCTTGACCTCATGATCTGCCCACCTCGGCCTCCCAAAGTGCTGGGATTACAGGCGTGAGGCACCGTGCCCGGCCACCTGTGCAGTTTTGACCTCAGCTAGTAGGAGTTTTTTTGGTGTGTTTGTTTTTATTTTTATTTTTATTTTTATTTATTTATTTTATTTTAGAGACAGTCTCTCCCTATGTTGGCCAGGCTAGTCTTGAACCCCTGGATTCAAGGGATCCTCCTGCCTCAGCCTCCCACAGTGCTAGGATTATAGGCATGAGGCACCAAACCCAGCCTCAGCTAGGAGATTTGAAGCAGGAGAATAACAAGGATGAGATCCTGTGTGCTAGAAGGATGATCCTGGCAGCACTTTTTAGGAAATATGCCACATCTCACCAAATCTAAGATGCTATTTGTCTTAATCCATTTTCTGTTGCTGTAACAGAATACCACAGACTGGGTAAATTGTAAACAACAGATGTTTATTCAGCTCACGGTTCTGGCCAATGGACTCTTGCAAGAAAGGCATTAATCCATTCATGAGAGTTACACCCTCATGACCCAGTCACGTCTTAAAGACCCCACCTCTTAATACCGTTACATTGGCAATTACGTTTCCAACACGTGAACTTTTGGGGGACATGTTCAAACCACAGCACCACCAAATCTTTTATGTGCCCTTATTTTATGCTCCACATCAAAAAAATATTTTGCCAGTTAAATTATGACATGCAATTGATCACATTTCAGAGATGCTAAAATGTGATGTCACAGGTGTCTCAAATTTGATGAAAAGCACTAACTCCCTTGCTGATGGCTTAGATTCCTCCCTTTCCCTGGATTAATGGTTAGGATGTCTCCATCTCACTAACTCATAGATGGTAAGTTACCAAGGGAAAGAAGAACAGAAGCTGGGTGGGCCCTTCCCCTTCTCTCCCCAAAGATAAACATTTACAACATTTACTGGTTGGGTCGAGGAGCACAATATCTGGTCTGCTGCTATAGGATTCCTTGGCCTGTTATTGGGCCTGTCTCATGCTGTTTCCTTTTGGGGAGTTAAATACACACACACACACACACACACACACACACACACACACACACACACACAGATATTCTATATCCCATCCTCCAGAGTGGCAAAAATTAAAGCTGATATTATCAGGTGTTGGTGAGGCTGTGGGGCATCATGAGTGCTCATAGCCTGCTGAGCAGACTACATAGCACTATAGTCACTTTGGAAACAGTTTGGCCTGCTTAGTCAAATTGAGGGTACATCTTGCCTGTGTGTGCTAGAACATGTATGCAGAAATATTCACTGAAGCAGTGTTTGTAATTGTCCCAAACTGGAAACAACTCATATGGCTATCAGTAGACTGCATTAAAAATTGTATAGTTAGAGAGCAGCAATTAAGTAAAATCAGCTCATAATCACATGGATGAGCCTCACAAACATGTTGACAGCCCCCCACCCAAATACATGCAAAAAAAAAAAAAAAAGGAAAAAAATTCCATTCATTTGAGGCTCAAAACCTGAGAAAATAAACTCTGTTTATGGGGTGTATACCTAGGTCTAAAACTAAAGAAAAGGGAAGGAGTGATTCTCACTATTACAATTTACTCCACAACAACCATTTTCTCAGACACAGCTTTTTCTTCTCCTGGTTTCTGTAAGTTGCTGGAGCGAAACCTTGGATACGATGATTTGCTGGTGACGTGCAGCCCACTGTTCTTGCTGCTACAGGGAATATGAAGAAATTGCTTCTCTCTCTACCAATTTACTACCATCTTGCTGGAGAGAAAGGGCAGGTGGCTAAGATTGTTCGCATTCCTTCAGCAGATGTGTAGGAAGCATCTTCTTTGTGTCAGATACTCTGTGCTTGTGCTTTGTTTTCTCAGTCAGTTTTTATTGTCTACTCTGTGCCAAGTAATATGTAGATTCTGGGGATAAGACAGACACAATCTCTCTCCTTGTTTCATGGAAAAAGCTGGTGTTAAGCGAGTAATTACACTAATAAGTCAGGACTTAAAACTGCAGAGAAGTACAGGGTGCAGCATGGGGTGTTTTGGGGCTGTATAACTAGACTACATGTGGACCCAATCTGACAGGTCAGGAAAGAATTGCCAGAGGAGGTGGCTTTCAGCTGAGACTTCAAGCTAGAAAAGGCATTTGCTAAGTGGGAAAGGGATGGTGTTCTAGGCAGAAGGAATTACATTGTCGAAGGGCTTAGCCAGGAAAGAGCATAGCACTTTGAGGCATGGAGAGCGGTTTGGTTTGGCTGTGAGTTTGAGGTGGGGAGTGGCAGGAAATGAGCCTGGAGACACAGGCTGGGCCATGATTATCTGGGAATCCAGCTAGGATCTCCTGGGACAGCCTCCTCACAGAAGAAAGGAAGGACAGGAGTTTTGACTTTATTCCTGGAGCACCAGAAAGCCATTGAGGGGTTTAACCTGGTTGGTCACCCGGGCAGATTGGCAGTTTAACACGTGACCGAGTGTGTTTGAGGATCAAAAGGCCAGAGTGGCTGCAGCACTGGGGCAGCAAAGGGGAGAGGAGGTTTATGTAAATCAGGAAACCCTTGAGGGTTTGATGATCCCACAGTTGGATCTGATTTCAGCTTCTAAAGGATTCCTCAGGTCACTGGATGTAAGTTCTGGTAGGACAGGGAGTTTGCCACTTTTGTTCTCTGCTGTAACCTCGGTGCCTGACACATAGTCGGCACCTAATAAACATCTGCTAGCTGTTGAATAACTTTCAACATCCTGCTGCTTAAACCCTCAATGGCTTCCCAGGGCTGTTAGGATAAAGTCCAAAATTCTTAACCTGGGTCACAGTCTTGCATAATCTGTTCCCTCCTGTTTCTCCACCCTTCCTCTGCTCGCCTCACTGCACTCCACCTGTGGCCAATTGTCAGCTCCTCAAATTCACCGCTACCCTTTCTCCGGCGGATGATTTCCTCTGCCTGTGAGGCTAACCCTCCACAGCACTCCATATGGGCAGGGAAGAGTTCATTTTCCAGGCACCAAAGTGCAGTGTATGGTGGAATGGAAGGAGCCCAGAGCTGGGAGGTGCACCTCACCCCACCTCGTGCTAGTGCTGGCCTTGCTGCCAGCCAGCTCTGCTGCTGGGCAAATGAGTCCGAGGCTCTGGCACTCACTGTCCTCCTCTGTAAATAAGGGGTTCTAGTGATTCACAGTCCTGGATAGACTTTAGAATCTCCTGGGAAGTTTGTTTTTTAATACCAGAGCCTGGGCCACCTCTGGAGATCCTAAGTCAGTTGGTCTAGGTATGTTTTGAAGACTCACCAGTTTGAAGACTACAAATCTGATGTGTAGTCAAGGTTTGAACCATTCCACAAGATGATAAAGGATTCCTTCCTATATTTGGTGCAAAGCACCAAGTGACACTTAGGAATATTTTAGACAAGAGAGCTTGGTTCATGATTCAACATTAGACAGATATTCTGGCACAAATATGAAGAACCCTCAATTTTCCCCTGTGGGTCAGCCACAAGACCAGGGCAATTTAACGCCTTGTCTCATCCACCTCCCAGCTGGCTGCTACCTCCTGCCCCTCTTTGAGCCCTGTGGGGATTTCTAGCGTTCAGAGCCCTGGTAGTTTTTGTGGCCTGCACTGTGCTTCAGAGCACCACTGATGCTCGGCTCCGTGGGGAAAGTAAGCCAAGTGTGACCACAAGAACGCATCATCCACAGTCACTGGGATCTCCTGGGACAGCCTGGGATCCAGGCCTTTGGCCTGGCCAGTAGGGGTGCAGTCACTCCTAGTATGCACATCCAGATCACTTGCTTTTTGCCCCGAATTCTGGCCTCTCCAGGTTTGTTAGAGGTGTCTCACGGAAGTTTACCCCATGGAGAGTTTGCTTATCTCAGATTAAAATATGGGGATTAATCTGGGACCCAGGAGCCCTTAAATGGAGTACCCACAGGGAATGGAGCTCTAGGCTAAGTGCTTTGGGATTACAGGTGCTTTGCTCTTGTTTGGAGGTCCAGACATATGCTTGAGAAGCAGCTTGGGATACTCAAGAGAGGCCTGAACTGGTACCCTGGAGGCCAGGATGAAAACCCAGGCCTCTCCATTTACTTTCTTGGGCCCCAGAGTCCACATTTGGGATTCACTGTCTACCAGGGCACCTCTCTGGGTGGCATCTAGGAGCCGGAGGCAGGCCAGAGTTTCACCCAGGCTGGAGTGCAGTGGCGCAGTCATGGCTGTCTGCAGCCTCAACTTCTTGGGCTCGGGAGATCCTCCTGCCTCAACTTCCTAAGTAGCTGGAACTATAGGCATGTGCCATCGCACCCAGCTAATTCAGCTAATTTCTTTTTTTGGAGACAATGTCTCACTATATTACCCAGGCTGGTCTCAAACTCCTGGGCTCAGGCAGTCCTCCTGCCTTAGCCTCCCACAGTGCTGGAATTACAGGCACAAGCCCCCGTGCCCGGCTTTCAGCTAGTTTTTGTAGCTCATAGTGATTATTCTTGGAGCCAATAATCGTGCATGCATCCACATCTTGAAATTACATGGTGTCACCTTGACCAGTCTGTTGACATATGCAGATTAGGTATTTATGAGATCCAGAGACTTATAGGGGAGGGGTGGATTTCAGGGAAAAGGGAACCTCTTAGAGAAAGGTAGGGAGTGTCTGCAGTTCTGCCTGTGAGGAGGGTACCAGGACATTGCAGGGCTTGTTTGTTGCATCTTCCTGGTTCTATAGAATTGCAGCTAGCTTCTGGTTTATTTTTTCATTTTTATTTTTTGAGATGGAGTTTTGCTCTTGTTGCCCAGGCTGGAGTGCAATTGGCGTGATCTCAGCTCACTGCAACCTCCGCCTCCTGGGTTCAAGCGATTCTCCTGCCTCAGCCTGCCCAGTAGCTGGGATTATAGGCATGCGCCACCACACCTGGCTAATTTTGTATTGTTAGTAGAGATGGGGTTTCTCCTTGTTGGTCAGGCTGGTCTCAAACTCCCGATCTCAGGTGATCCACCCGCCTCTGCCTCCCAGAGTGCTAGGATTACAGGCAGAAGCCACCGCGCCCGGCCGCTTCTGGTTTATTGAAGAGACAGAAAAATACCCCCTCACCCCCAGCAGGGATGTGTGACCTCTGGTGCAAGGGAGTTCATGAAGTGACTTCTTCAGGTTCAGAATTCTCATCTGAGTAAAGGGAGTGGGGGTGGAGTGGGTCATCTCTGAGGTTTTTTTTTTTTGGCTCTGATTTTGGTTTCTGTCTGCCCAGGAGTCAGGAATGGAGAGAAGGGTAATGGTTTTACCTCTTATTGTGGAAACCTGTTGAGATCACAGAGAATATACTGACGGCATAAAAGGGCAGAACCATAGCAGGGTGCGGTAAGTTGGGGAAGAGTTTTTGGAGAGGGTGAATTTTGCATTGGACCTGACAGAATTGTGTATGGGGAAGGGGAGCGGTTATTCTGGTCTGCTCACATCTCTCATACTCAACCTCATTTCTCCTAATTCTGAAATCTTGAGATCCTCTATCACTAAGAAGGAAAACTACTGTCCAACAGGGACACTTTATTGCTCACCCCATATGTGAAAGTTTGTCATAGCTAAGGCTAGGGTGCTTTTGGTCAGTATCAGCAGAATATATGCCCCCTTTCTTTTGTCAGCATTACTCCGCTTACAAAGCCCTTCCATGTAGATGACCTCATCTGAGCTTCCTAACAAAGGAGCTGGTATTAGACCCCATTTTACAGTGTGCCTGGGTAGGGAAGAGAGTGTAGTGGATTGAGCAGAGGCCTTGGCACCAGACACTGCTTCCTAGCCATGTGCTCTTGGGCAAGTTGCTTAACCCTGCTGAGCCTCAGTTTCCTCAGAAGGAGTCTGTATAAGCAAGGGAAGGGATTGGTCATAGAAGTGGTACTGTGTTTCATTTATCTAGTTATGGCAGACTCTCAAAAACAAATGGTTCTATACAACTAACATTGTCTGCAATTCCCCTGAATCCATTCACTTGTTCAGTAAATGTGTATTGAGCTTCTACAAGGTGTCAAGCACCATGATCTCTGTATCAGTGATTTAACCATTTTTGATGGTTACTACAGACCTCTTTAAGAATGTGATAGAAAACTGTAGCTCCCTCCCCAGAAAACTTTTCTAGCTTTTTATTTTGCTTTGCAGTGAGCCAAGATAGTTCCACTGCACTCGGGGGACAGAGTAAGACCCTGTCTCAAAAAAAAAAAAAAAGAAAGGAACCATTTCAAATTAGGTGGGAGACATGGAGCTCTAAATACTACAGCATCCATTGCCTAGAAATACAGGTATTCTCAGCCGGGCGCGGTGGCTCACACCTGTAATCCCAGCACTTTGGGAAGCCAAGGCAGGTGGATCACCTGAGGTCAGGAGTTTGAGACCAGCCTGGCCAACCTGGTGAAACCCCGTCTCTACTAAAACTACAAAAAATTAGCCGGATGTGGTGGTGGGCACCTGTAATCCCAGCTACTAGGGAGGCTGAGGCAGGAGAATCGCTTGAACCTGGCAAGCGAAGGTTGTAGTGAGCCAGATTGCGCCATTGCACTCCAGCCTGGGCAACAAGAGAAAAACTCCATCTCAAAAATAAATAAATATATTAATAAATAAATAAGAAGTATAGGCATTCTCATACATAACCTCAGTAAATACCATTAAGAAAATAATTTTAGACATGGTGCAGTTGCTCATGCCTATAATCCCAGCACTTTGGGAGGCTGAGGTGGGAGGATGGCTTGAGCCTAGGAGTTTGAGACCAGCCTGGGCAATATAGTGGCAACTCTTCTCTACAAAAACCTTTAAAAATTAGCCAAGTGTGGTAGTATGCACCTGTTGTTGCAGCAACTCGGGAGCCTGAGATGAGAAGATTGCTTGAGCCAGGGAGGCCGAGGTTGCAGTGAGCCCAGATAGTTCCACTGCACTCTGGGGGACAGAGTAAGACCCTGTCTCAAAAAAAAAAAAAAAAAAAAGAAAGAGAGGAAATAATTTTTTAATATGATCTAACACCCAGCCTACTTACAAATTTCCCACAATAGTTCCAAGACTATTTTTATAACCTTTTTTTTCTTTTTACAGGATCCAATCAAGGTTCACGTATTGCATTTGGTTATTATTTCTCTTTAGTCTGTAAAAATCAAAAGCAGTTCTTTCGAAGGTTTTTTTTTATGACATTGACTTTTTAAAAGACTAGGCCAGTTGCCATGTGCAATGTCCAGCATTCTGGATTTATCTGGTTCTTTCCTTATGGTGTGGTTTAATTCCTCCATCGGTACTTTTTCAGTTATAACATACTTCAGAGTATTCCTTTCCTTTATATTTTTTATAAACTGGAAGTTAGATCTAAAGTCTTGACTAGATTCATTCAAGTCAAACATTTTTGGCACAAACACTTCATAGGTAATGTTGTGTGATTCATATAGTGCCATGCCAGAAAGCACATGCCACTTTGCCCCGTCTGCTGATGACGCTGGATTTGGTCACTTAGTTAAGATAACCACTGGATCTCTTCCTTATGAAGGTATGTCAGGAAGTAATCCATTCATTGGTGCTTTGGCACCATGGGTACTATCTCATCCCCCAAAACTTTTCACCTAATAGTTTTAGCATCTATTGATGATCCTTGTGCTATTATAATGGCAGTCGCAAAATGATTTTCTAATTCTGTTATCCCTCTTCTACTTATTTGCTGATTAATCTTACAGAAGGTTATTCTTCTGTAATCCCCAGACAATTTTAGGTATCTAGTACATATGCAATAATTTTTAGACAGTTTCAGGAGGTTTAGAGACCATCAAACCCCAGCATGGAGCCTGGGTGATGAGGTGTCCTGTTTTGCATGGAAGAAGAGCTGTAGCTGAGCTCTTCATAGTCCTTTTATTGTTCTTATTTTGCAAGTAAATTGCAAAATAAGTTCCCAACCCAAAGATAACACAGGCTATCCTTCAACAAAGAAAAACCTCAGCTTTTAAACTTCTAGGCCATTTGGCAAAGAGGCATGATAAAGGGCTTGAAAGCCCACAGACACGCCCAGTACCACTCCTTTTTCCTCTTTCCAAACACTTGCAGTATGTTACAACTGAAAAACTGCTGAGCCAGGCTTATTTCCTCAACAGTAAAGCCAAGGAGTTGGACCAGGCAATTCCTAGCATTTCTTTCTTTTTTTTTTTTTGAGATGGAGTCTCACTCTGTCACCCAGGCTGGAGTGCAATGGCACGATCTCGGCTCACTGCAACCTCTGCCTCCCGGGTTGAGGTGATTGATTCTCCTGCCTCAGCCTCCTGAGTAGCTGGGACTACAGGTGCATGCTACCACACCTGGATAATTTTTGTATTTTTAGTAGAGATGGGGTTTCACCGTGTTAGCCAGGATGGTCTCAATCTCCTGACATTGTGATTCACCTGCCTCGGCCTCCCAAAGTGTTGGGATTACAGGTGTGAGCCACCGTGCCCGGCCAATTCCTAGCATTTCTACCAGCATTACTAACATGTAGGAACTTGATATTACTTTCACTTGACAGTTAAATTCCTTGAATCCTTCATTTGAGCTTTGAAGGTGCTTGATTTTCCCCTCATTATGTCTCTTAAAGTCACACATACCTAGATCCATTAGTGCTTCCAGTTGGAATTTATTATCAGCACTATAAGAATCTCTTATATTTATGTAGTCCTTTTACGTTATAAAACACTTTTTATGTATTATTGTACTAGACCCTCAATGAGTGGACGTTATATCCCTGTTTTGTTTACTCTTGGGTCTTATAGACTGGGGGTTTTATTTCTGTCCCATTAATGTCACTACTGACAGAGGCCACTGAACTCTGTTGTGATGGACTTTCACCATACATAATCATTAATAGTATTGATTTGCCTGTAATTCAGGTTGCTTCATTCCAGCCTCGCAGTCACCTCTGTGCCCTGCTGGTTGTCTTCCCAGCGCTGCTGTAGTTGCCTTCCATGGATCTATAGGAGAGCAAGTCCTCCAGGTACTGCCCTGTGACGATGTTGTTGAACTCTGTAGCACGTGTGTCACTGTGGCTGGTTCTGCTCACTTCCTCTTTTGCTGCCACTTTTGAATTTAACTCTTTGTTTGTGGTTTGGACACTCACTGGATTTGGAAACCAGGGGTTGTGGGTTCTCTCCTAGATTTCCGTCTGTGTACCAGGCTTGTGCTTAGCACTTTTCCCATAATTCTTTCACATGACCTGCTTAGAAACCCTTAAAGGTAAGTATCACTCTTCCCATTTTACAGATGGATACACTGAGGCTCAGTACTTAAGTGACTTCTGTATTGTCACACAGAGTCAGGGGCAGGAGGCTGCTCTTGGGTTAGATGTGCTGAGGCTCATAACCTCAGCCTGGAACTGGGTCAGGACTACAAAGGTAAACAGAAGCAGAGTCCTTTCTGTGTGTCCCCGCTCCCTGTACAAGCCAAGGCCTCACAGCACATAGCAGCCACAGCCACCTGAGGATTCCTGCCATCTAGACGAGGCAGTTACAGCCAAGAACAAGTCCACTGAGGCTAAGCTGTGCTCCTCTGGAGGGCTGTGTTTAGAGTCCAGCCTTCTAGGGGAAGCAAATTAAACCCAAACTATAGAACAGCCCAGGGAAATACTCACAAAGGGAAATGCTGACAGTCAGACTCCTGAAGCTTCCTGATGCTTCTCGAGTTTTGGTAAAGAACCTCAGTGCTGTTTGTTTGTTTGTTTTTTAATGTTTTCTGGTTTTTTGTTTGTTTTGAGACAGTCTCTTATTCTGTTGCCCAGTCTGGAGTGTAGTAGTACAATCATGGCTCACTGTAGCCTCCACCTCCCAGATTCAAGTAATCCTTCTGCCACAGCCTCCTCAGTAGCTGAGACTACAGATGCATGCTACTACACTGGGGTATTTTAAAAAATTTTTAAATTTTTTTAGTTGAGACAGGGTCTCACTATGTTGCTGAGGCTGGTTTCAAACTCCTCGGTTCAAGTGATCCTCCTGCCTCAGCCACCCAAAGTGTTGGATTTACAGGGTGAGCCATGTCACATTGCCCTCTCTTAGTTCTTGAAACCTGAAACCTTGAGGAGCAAACAAAAGGGGTCTCTTGGCCAGGTGCAGTGGCTCACGCCTGTAATCCCAGCACTTTGGGAGGCCGAGGCAGGTGGATCACGAGGTCGGGAGATCAAGACCATCCTGGCTAACACGGTGAAACCCCGTCTCTACTAAAAATACAAAAAATTAGCCAGGTGTGGTGGTGGGTGCCTGTAGTCCCAGCTACTCGGGAGGCTGAGGCAGGAGAATGGTGTGAACCTGGGAGGCGGAGGTTGCAGTGAGCTGAGATCGCGCCACTGCACTCCAGCCTGGGCGACAGAGTAAGACTCCATCTCAAAAAAAAAAAAACCAAAAAAAAAAAACGGGCGGTCTCTTGACTCTGTCAGGACCCCCATGACTGCTCGTGTGTCTTGTGCTTTGCACAGTTGAGTGAAGGAGCACTGTGTCCACAGTAGACATTGTAGATTTATATATGTATCATTATGAGTTTCCCAGCAGGTAGTGAGAGATTTTTTATTACAGTTGGTGCATTACAGCGATTTTCCAACAGATAGAAGGAAAGGGTGTTGAGGCTCTCCCAACAGCAAGGTATAGGCTAGTGGCTGTCCTGCTCTTCACTCTACCAAGCTAATCTTTCTGGGTTTCCATATCCTTATCTGTACAATGAGGAAGTTGGACTAGATCTATAAGGTCCTCTTCTCGTTGACATTGTGTGAACCTTGTAGGAGCTGGTGGTGTCTGTCGATTGACTGAGTGCTGGAGCTGGCAGCCCTGTGCAGGCTGCCACCTTTGCCCCTTTACTGTGCTTGCTCCTGACTCTATGTCGCGTCTCCAAGGAGAAGAAGTCCTCACCAGTGAACGGAGACCTCTCTGAACTAAGGATACCATGGCCACGTCAGCCCCACTACGGAGCCTGGAAGAGGAGGTGACCTGCTCCATCTGTCTTGATTACCTGCGGGACCCTGTGACCATTGACTGTGGCCACGTCTTCTGCCGCAGCTGCACCACAGACGTCCGCCCCATCTCAGGGAGCCGCCCCGTCTGCCCACTCTGCAAGAAGCCTTTTAAGAAGGAGAACATCCGACCCGTGTGGCAACTGGCCAGCCTGGTGGAGAACATTGAGCGGCTGAAGGTGGACAAGGGCAGGCAGCCGGGAGAGGTGACCCGGGAGCAGCAGGATGCAAAGTTGTGCGAGCGACACCGAGAGAAGCTGCACTACTACTGTGAGGACGACGGGAAGCTGCTGTGCGTGATGTGCCGGGAGTCCCGGGAGCACAGGCCCCACACGGCCGTCCTCATGGAGAAGGCCGCCCAGCCCCACAGGGTAAGCCCTCTTCACCCCCGAGGGTGCCTTGCCACCTTCTCTGGATGCTCCACCTTGCAGTCCTCAGAGGACTCAGCCTGAGTCTCCCTTCCTGCCCCAGCCCAGAGCATCCACCTGTTGCCACTGCTTGTTTTTCCACAGGAAAAAATCCTGAACCACCTGAGTACCCTAAGGAGGGACAGAGACAAAATTCAGGGCTTCCAGGCAAAGGGAGAAGCTGATATCCTGGCCGCGCTGGTAAGTGAGGCTGTTTCAGGAAGCCCTGAGGCGGTGCGCCCGTGTAGGGCAGGGTGAGCCTGGGCAAGTAGGCGGCAGCTGGGAGGTGTTTCTAGGCGCTGCTCACAGGGAGGATGGGTGTCAGCCTGGCAGTAGCAGACCTGGGTTTTAGCCCAAGTGCTGTCTTTCTGAGCCGTGTAGTCTTGGGCCTGTTTCTTGTCTGAGAGACAAGTGGGCTGCCTGGATGTCAGCTAGAGTCCCTTCCGTTTTCTGTGACTGTCACCTTGAAGGCAGGGCCCATGTCCAGCTGCTGGTTCTCTTCTGCCAGGGGACTGAAGAAGGTGTGGCTTCATTCTTCCTTTCAAAGAGAGAGAGAGAGACAAGGTTGCCTGAGAGTGGAGAGGGTTTAGAAGGAGGGAGCTGGCTCCAGGGTAAGAACTGAGAGGGAAGGGCTAGAAAACAGCTAAGGCAGGTCTGCCAATTCTGATGGCACTGTATGTAGTGAGGTCCAGGCCCAGGATCATGGTTGCCAGTACAGTGGGACCTCCTCCATATCTGTGGGTTCCGTAGCGGCGAATTTACCCAACCATGGATCAGAAATATTCAGAAAAAAGAAAAAGCGTCTCTACTGAACATGTACAGATTTTTTTTCTTGTCATTATTCTCTAAACAATTCAGTGTAACAGCTATTTATATAGCATTTACATTATATTAGGCATTATAAGTAATCTAGTGATAATTTAAAGTATATAGTAGATTTTATGTAACTATTATTCCATTTTACATAAGAACTTGAGCATCCTTGGATTTTGGTATCCTTGGGGAGGGAGATCCTGGAACCCATCACCCACTGATACCAAGGGACAACTGTAGTTAGAAAACAGGCAGCACATTATGTACTTGATTAGAGTTGGGGTTGGGGGGAACTGATCAAATGGTTCTGATTTTCTGGGGAACTGTGTATGTTGAGGAAGTGGGCAGTGGAGGAGTAGTGGGGTCAGGGCCAGTGGTGAGTCATTAGGCCTAGGGAGAGGGAAACAGTAAGCTAGAGACAGCCAAGTCCAAGGACCCCTCCAGGCCCTCAGTGTGCATGGCTGCCCCCAGCTCAGCACCAGTCAACAGGGCCACTGAGGACTCCCCCAACCCCAGCTGGGGAGGAGATTTGGAGGCAGGAAAGGACATAGTCCCTAAGCACAGACGTCACACAATTTTGCTGAGGAAACAGGATGCAGTCTTACATGGCAGGGGTGGGGTACATATAGATATTTTAGACTGAACAGTGGGGTGCTGAAGAGAGGGCTGGTCAGGCTTAGATGACATTAATCAAGCAAAACTTCCTGGAAGAGGTGACAGATTTTGTCCAGGAGGGAAAAGTGCGTCGGCTCATGAGTGAGACCCACAGAGTTTCTCTAGGGGCCCCAGAGCGTACTGGTTTAGCTAGAACAGATTGTGGCTGACCAGTCAGGTGGAGACAGGGTTTTGACCATATAGTGGTGGGGTGAACTGAACTAATTCATTACTGGAGTCTTCTTTGAGAAGCGGAGTGTGGACCAGGAACCCTCTGTAGCTCCTCCCACTCCAGATCCTGTAGAATTCCTGAACGGGGGTAGCGAGGTGAACGAGCCAGCCTTGCACACCTCCAGCACTGGGCCCTCCACCCTGAGCAGAGGTGTCAGCCCTTCTCCCCTTCCTGCCCCCTGCAGAAGAAGCTCCAGGACCAGAGGCAGTACATTGTGGCTGAGTTTGAGCAGGGTCATCAGTTCCTGAGGGAGCGGGAGGAACACCTGCTGGAACAGCTGGCGAAGCTGGAGCAGGAGCTCACGGAGGGCAGGGAGAAGTTCAAGAGCCGGGGCGTCGGGGAGCTTGCCCGGCTGGCCCTGGTCATCTCCGAACTGGAGGGCAAGGCGCAGCAGCCAGCTGCAGAGCTCATGCAGGTGAGAGGCCGTCCCTGGGCAGGGCGCCAGGGACCAGGACGGTGGGTCCCAGCCCTGCCATTCACTTGCAGGACCTTAGAAGACTTGGGGGCTCAGTTTTGTCATCTGAAACATGGAGATGATAATCCTTACTGCTGCCAATTAGTCTGTAGATTGCATGAGCATAAAATGAAATAACTGGCATGCTGTCACTTCAAAAAATAAACTTTTTACACAAAACTGTTCAAAAAACTAAATGGTATAGTAGAAAATGGAAGGGAAGATTATTAATATCATTTACCATCCTCCATCCTCATCACTGCCATCACAAGCCCTCTTAACAAGTCATTGGCAGACACTTAGCAGCTGGTGGAAGCTTTTTATGGTGTTGTGGTTGGGGGTGGCTGAGGGAGGGCTGACCAGCAGCTCCTCTCAAAGACCCAGAGGATCTGGAAGAGATAGGGTAACTGGGGAAGGGAGACAGAGATGGCCAGGTTTTCTTTGGCCCATGGGATTACCACACAGAGAACAAGATGGAAAGCAGACAAGGGGGCCTCGGGGCACCTCCTAGAGGAGGGGGCTTTGATAGTGAGAAAGGGAGGGTTTGGGGCTGAAGAACTGGCTGTGAAGCTGAAATGGCACCACATCTCCTCCCCCCCGGGAGCCTCTGGGGATCACACTTACCCTGAAGAGGGCCCAGTCCCCTTTGGAGGGGTAGAGGGCTCAACCTTCCTGCTCTCATAGGCTGGGAGGGGAGGGGCTCTCTGATGGTATTCCCCCACTTGCACTGTTTAGGGTGGCTGGGTCTGTCTGTCAGCAGCAGAGCCACCCAGGATCTCTAGGAAGGTGGAGTCCCAGGCTAATGGCAGGGCAATAGCTAGGAGGGAGAGATAGCAAGGCAGACTCTGCAGTATGTGCACTGGGACAGACTGCAGAAGGAGGCGGCCACCTGCTCCTCATTGTTGTGAATTCAGATGTACAGAATGAGGACTGGCAGGGATTTTAGACCTTCCAGTTCAGCCCCTACTGATGAAGTCACTGAGGTCCAGAGAGTGGGAGGAGTTTGTCCCAGGCCATGGGGTGGGTGTCAGGTCACAGCTTGAGCCCAGATGTCCTGACTCCTGGGCTCTGAGCTCTTGTTCTTATTTTGTCCAGAATGTCTCTCTGGCCCCCTCTTTTCCTCCAGATGTCATTCTGTTCTCTCAGATTTCTCTCGTCATACTCTTTGACTGGGTCATTTTCTGCATCTCCTTTTGCCCGTTTCTCTTCTCCTTCCTCTCCTCACGCCCCTGCCATGTGTGAATGCCTACTGTGTGGAACAGAGGCACACAGCTGAGGATGTGGTGGGGCTGAAATCCATTGTGTTTGCCCGGAGGGGTGCCTTTTCCTAATGCACCCAGAGAAGTGGCCCTCAGAGCAGAAGCCTGGCCCTCAATGACTCAGAGCACTCAGATTGCAGCTCTCCCTGGGGTGGGATAAGGTCAAGGGAAGGGAGAGAAAATGGCGTCAGCTTGAAACTAGTATAGGAAATGTTATTGGTACTGGTAGGTTTCTTTTTTTGTTTTGTGTTTTCTCTTTTAATTTTAGTGCTATATAATGTATATATTTATGGGATGTAGAGGTTTTTGTTTGTTTATTTTTGAGACAGAGTCTCGCTCTGTCTCCCAGGCTGGAGTGCAGTGGCGTGATCTCAGCTCACTGTAATCTCCGCCTCCTGGGTTGAAGCAATTCTCCTGCCTCTGCAACCTCTGTCTCCTGGGTTCAAGCGATTCTCCTGCCTCAGCCTCCCAAATAGCTGGGATTACAGGCGCACATCACCACACCTGGCTATTTTCTGTATTTTTGGTAGAGTCAGCGTTTCACCATGTTGGCCAGGCTGGTCTTGAACTCCTGACCTCAGGTGATCGCCTGCCTCAGCCTCCCACAGTGCTGGGATTACAGGCGTGAGCCACTGTGCCTGGCCTAGAGTGATACTTTGATACAAGTATATAATATATAATAATCAACTCAGAGTAATTAGTATATCTGTCACCTCAAACACTTATCATTTCTTTGTGTTGGAACATTCAAAATCCTCTCTTCTAGCTTTTTGAAAATGTATAGTAAATTATAGTTAATTATATTCTCCCTGCAATGCTGCACAACACTAGAATTTATTCTTCCCATGTAGCTATAACTTTGTATCTGTTAACCAACTTCTCCCCACCCTCCTCTCCCCAGCCCCCTTCCCAACCTCTAATCATTACTATTCTACTGTCTTACTTCCATGAACTCAAATTTATTATGGATGAATAGTACTCCATTGTGTATATATGCTACATTTTCTTTATCTATCTGTTGATGGATGCTTAGATTGAGTCCACATCTCAACTATTGTGAATAGTGCCACAATAAACATGAGTGTGCAGGTATCCCTTTGATATACTGATTTTCTTTTCTTTGGATAAATACCTAGTAATGAGATTGCTGGATCATATGGTAGTTCTATTTTTAGTTTTTTGAGAAACTCTCATACTGTTTTCCGTAACGGCTATACTTATATGTAGAAAAACCTAAAGGCCCCACCAAAAAACCCTTAGAACTAATAAACAAATTCAGTAAAGTTGCAGGATACAAAATCAACATAAAAAGTCTACTGCATTTTTAATACACCAATAACAAACTAGCTAAAAAAGACATCAAGAAAGCAACCCCATTTACAATAGCTACAAAAGTAAAATAAAATACCTGGGAATGAAGTTAACCAAGGAGGTGAAAGACCTCTTTAATGAAAACTACAAAACACTGATGAAAGAAATTGAAGAAGACACAAACAAATGGAAAAATATTCCATGCTTGTGGATTAGAATTAATATTGTTAAAATGACTGTCCTACCCAAAGCAGTCTACAGATTTAATACAATCCCTGTTATCAAAATACGAATGACATTCTTCAGAAAAATAGAAAAAAAACTAAAATTCATATGGAGTCACAAAAAACCCCAAATGGCCAAAGCAATCCTAAGCAAAAAGAACAAAACTGGAGGCCTCACACTATCTTACTTCAAAATATACTACAGCCAGTTGTGGTGGCTCACACCTGTAATCCCAGCACTTTGTGAGGCCGAGGCAGGCGGATCACGAGGTCAGGAGTTTGAGACCAGCCTGACCAACATGGTGAAACCCCATCTCTACTAAAAATACAAAAATTAGCTGGGCGTGATGGTGCGCACCTATAATCCCAGCTACTCGGGAGGCTGAGGCAGGAGAATCACTTGAATCCAGGAGGCAGAGGTTGCAGTGAGCCGAGATTGTGCCACTGCATTCCAGCCTGGGCAATAGAGTGAGACTCCATTAAAAAAAAGAAAAAAAAAAAAAAATATATATATATATATATATATATATATATACACACACACACACACACACACATATATATATACACACATATATATGTATATATATACATATATATGTATATATACATATATATATATACTACAAAGCTGTAGTAACCAAAACAGCATGTATTGATATAAAAGCAGACACATAGACCAATGGAACAGAGTAGAGAACTCAGAAATAAATTCACATATTTACAGCCAACTGATTTTCAACAAAGGAACCAAGAACATACAATGGGGAAGGGACAGTCTCTTTAATAAATGGTGCTAGGAAAACTGGGTAACCAACCATACGCAGAAAAATGGTATTGGTAGATTTTGTCTGTGTGCTTATTTGAGTTTGATTGTACTGCGTGGGAACTGGACAGCTACCTCCCTAATTAGCATTAATATTTTCCCAGAGATTATTTGGCTGTCAAAGTATAGTAAGAAAAAGACCTAAAATAGGGTCCAGAAGTCTGATAGAGAAATACAGGTGAGGCTGGTGTGGTGATTCACACCTATAATTCCAGCACTTTGGGAGGCTGAGGCAGGCAGATTGCTTGAACCCAGGAGTTTGAGACCAGCCTGGGCAACATAGTGAGATCCTGTCTCAAAAAAATTAAAATAAAATAGAAATACAGGTGAGAGGGAGAAGCAGCAGGACAAAATGTGTAAAATAGAAGAGACCTTTTGATAGAGGTGATAGGAAAGGAAAGACAAACCTATGGGCTGGGAGCATCAAGAAGACATTAAAGGGATTGGGGTGACAGGAGAGGCCCAGAGAGACACTGCATCCTGCCCTGGTAACCCGGGCAGGCCCTGCAGGATCAGGTGGCATGCTTGTACCCTGCTTCTCCTGCTGTACACCCCCGTGAAGAACTTTCTTGATGCTCTCTGTTAGTAACCGGGCACATCCCCTCCGGGAGCTTGCCATGACTCATTGCCGCAGCCCCACTGCTCGGCTCTGCCTGTTTCATGACAGCTTCAGATGTCTTGGGTGAGAAGAGTCCTCCAGGAGACTTGGGCGGATCACTTCCCTCCAGAGGCCCTGTATGTGGCTGTGGATGGGGGCTCCTGAGTCTTTCAGCCTCTTCTCCGCAGGGCCAGCCCTGCCCTGGCTCTCGGGACCCACCCTCTCTGGGCTGCTCACAACCTTTAACCTTTAGAGGACTCTTCTTTCTCCTGTATGATTCTCTCCCTTTCTACTGTTCTAGGAACTTCCATGTCAGGAAATATGCCCAAATGGGCCTCTGGCCCACACTCCAGCTACTGCTCCATTCATTTGCTCTTTTATGCCACCTTTGTCAGCAGAGCTGTCAGGACACACTGTCTGTTTTGTTGCCTGTCCTCTGAAGCCGCCTTGGACTTACATGTTTTGAGGGGCATGTTAGAGGACTTGGCCAGAAATGTGCTACCAGTCTCTGGGCACTTGCTTCATAGCGGGGGGTTGGGATGTGCCTCTGACTTCTTGTCTTATTCCTCTGGAGTAAAGCTCACAACTCTTCCCAAACTTTTGGAAGCAGTCATCAGCAGCCACAATTTGTTAATTCCATTTGTTTCCCAAATCTCACCCTCTCCAGGAAGCCAGCCTGCACCCCACCGGCCCCTGCTCCCATCCCCCTTCACTCTGCTCTCTTTTCCCGTGGTGCGTTATCACTCACGTAGTATGATGTATTTGCTACATTGATTATTGTCTGCTTCCCCCTGCTAGAATGTCAGCTCTACAGAAGTAGGGATTTGTCTCTCTCTCTCTTTTTTTTTTTTTTTTTAACTGTTCTGAGGCTTCTAGATGAGTGCCTGGTACCTAGGAAGCACTTAATAAATATTTGTGGAATGAGTGAAAGGAAGGCAAAAATCAATTAATACAGGGTATTAAGGAGGCTTTTGACTCACAAAAGGGAATCTGAGCATCTCAGAATAGCCCTCTTCCCACTCACCCTGCCCTACCACCTGTCTGTCACAGAGATAGCACCACCATTCTCCCCCCTGTACAAACCATGCTCTGTTCTTGTTTATCCTTGACCAGTATGTCCAGTTGAATCTGTCTCTAAAATACCTGGAATGTATTGCTTCTCTCTTTTTCTCCCTACTGCCACCACCTTAGTTCAGGCCATCTTTAGCTCTCCCCTGGTCCACGGCAAAAGCCTCCGGACCAACCTCCCCATGTTCCTCTTGCCTCCTTAGTCCCTTCTCTGTGGGGCAGCCAAGTGAGTGGTCACTTAGGGTTTTGGCTCACTGCTGTACAGTGACGCAAACAGAATAGAAGTTTATTTCTGCCTCAGTTAACAGTTCAGAGGTGCAGGGTCTAGAGCTATCACAGTAGCTGTACATAAGCTTATCCAAGGGACTGGGTTACTTCCATGTGGTTCTTCCACCAGCTTCTAGGGATGTTGTCCTCTGCTGCGTGGTCAAAGTTGGGCTCACCACCACCATGTCCAAAATTCAGTTGGGGTAAAAAGGAAGTAGAAAGCAATTTTCTTTTTTTAAAGGACAATGCCCAGAATTATGGTCATTGCTTTCTATCACATTCCATTGGCTGGAACTTAGTCTCATGACCAGACCTTGTCGTAGGGGATCTGGAAAATGTAGTCTTCCCAGGTGGCCGCCTGACCAGCAATAACTCCGGGGGTTCTATTATTAAAAGGAGGAAGGGGAGAGTGGACTCTGGAGGTTACACAGCAGTCTCAGCCACATGTAGAGCGGATCACACATATCATGCCCCTACTTGAAACCCTTGGTGGGTTTCCACTGTACGTGGAGCAAAAGTGAAACTCCTTACCATGCATATCCAGCCCTGCGCAGTCTGGCCTCTGCCGTTCTCACCAAGCCCTTTCCTGTTTTACCTTACCTCTCTTCATCCGGCCAGTACTTCTTATCCGTCAATTCTCTGCGCAGGTATCTCCCAGAGAGGTTGCCCATGTCATCTCCCAGCCATTGTGGCTTCTGTCATTGTGCCGATTTTGTTTGTTTTCTTGTTGTTTTATGCAGTGACCCCACTGGAATGTCAGCTCCATAAAAAAGGGACCACATTTGTTTTGTTCACTGATATGTCCCATCTCTGCTACAGTGTTGGGTGCAGATGCATTGAAGTCTTATTTGATTCATATTGATACTTGTGCTTTTTTCTTTCCCTTCTAGGACACGAGAGACTTCCTAAACAGGTAAAAGAGTCTCCTCTCCATGGCGTACCTCATCCCCCTTGTTTATGTTCCCCCGCTTCTGACCAGGTGCATTTGAATTCATGGGGAGTGGTATGGTGCCAGAGGTACTCACATCCCATGGTTCATCCTGATGCCTTTCTGAGGAGCAGGACACATCATTGAGAACTGGAGACTTGCTCTCCTCCTTATGAGTTCTCTGTGTAGCCCCAGCTCCTTGGCCCACTGGCCTTATTTGAGGTGGGACAGAGCAGAGAGGTTAGAAACATGGCTTAGTAGACAGAGCGCCCTGGATGTGGAGTCTACTGATGTTCTGAAGCCCTGGTTCAGCTGGTGTCTTTGGGCCACTGTTTTTCTGTCACTTGTTTGGGGATAATCATACCTTTCCTCTCCCCTTCATAATTGCCATGAGGATTGAGAGATAAGTATGAAGGAAAGTAAGAAGAGCTGAGTAACAGCTTGTTATGTATGTCATCTTCTTAGGTATCCACGGAAGAAGTTCTGGGTTGGGAAACCCATTGCTCGAGTGGTTAAAAAAAAGACCGGAGAATTCTCAGATAAACTCCTCTCTCTGCAACGAGGCCTGAGGGAATTCCAGGGTAAGGGTTGGGGAGCGCACAAAGGGTGGGAGTCAGAGCAGGGCTACCTCGTAGAAAGAGCGCACCCAGCTCCTTTCCATCACCTTGTCGATCCTCACTCTTCTGAGGGCCTCTTGTCTTAGACATGGATCCCTATCAGGAAATTGATACTGCCCGAGCAAGAAATGGGCTCATAAATTTTCGGGACTTGAGTCATTGCTGTCCTTTTTTCTCCCCAGGGAAGCTGCTGAGAGACTTGGAATATAAGACAGGTGAGTGTCTAGAGGGTGTTTCCCAGATGTACATCAAATATAGAAAACTCCGCCTGCAGAGATTCTGACTGCTCACTTTTCCCCCAGGTAGCCCCTTTTGCAACAGGAAGAATTTCCCAGCTGCACAATAGAAGCCCCCCTCCCTCTTTGCACTTTCTAATCAGCCTACTCTTTAGTCTGCAGTAGAGGCCTCTGCTTGCTAGTCTGATCCTTCTCTGCCCTGTGTTTGCTTTTCTTTTTCCTATCCTCACAGGTCCTACCACCAGTCCTTTTCCTGTGGCCGAGCTTTCTCTCATCTTCCTGGCTGCATGGCTCCTATATTCAGAGCAAACAGCAGGGGCAACCTAAGACCAGAGGCCATATCCACCACAGGCCCCACTATTGTGCCCCCTCTCAGCCCTGCAGTTAGGTTGTACACTGCATACCAACCACCAAGGAGCGCCATCCTCATAGACCAAGATGTGAATGGTGCCCCTTGGATTGTGAAGACTGGTGGTCTCCTCCTGGCTCACTTTCACACTTGCTTTCGTGAGAACCATTGAGGAGGTCGGCCTGTCTGGGAGCAAACGAGGCCCTGAGAGCTTCATCTAGTTCACAGGATAAAATCCCATAGCAGAACTGAGTTAGCAGTGGTTAAACCTTAGGTGGTTGTAGCTTCTTTATTAATGTCTGAGCTGTCTGTGAATACCGTCAAATTTTACCTATCAGGTTATTCTAATTATAGAGAATCCTATGAGGATGATGGTGAGGATTATCCCACTCTGTCAGTACCTGTTCAGGGTTTCTTGAACCATCTTACAGAGCAGGCTGGTAGTTTTGAAACTGAAATTGAACAGTTTACAGAGACCCTGAATGCTTGTGTTACAACAGATGATGCTTTGCAAGAACTTGTGGAACTCAGAGGCCACATCTGTCCCAAATTTCTTTTCTTTTTTTTTTTTTGATACGGAGTCTCGCTGTCGCCCAGGCTGGAGTGCAGTGGCGCAATCTCGGCTCACTGCAGGCTCCGCCTCCTGGGGTTCACGCCATTCTCCTGCCTCAGCCTCCCGAGTAGCTAGGACTACAGGCGCCCGCCACCTCGCCCGGCTAATTTTTTGTATTTTTAGTAGAGACGGGGTTTCACCGTGTTAGCCAGGATGGTCTCGATCTCCTGACCTCGTGATCCACCCGCCTCGGCCTCCCAAAGTGCTGGGATTACAGGCGTGAGCCACCGCGCCCGGCCTTTTTTTTTTTTTTTTTTTTGAGATGGAGTCTTGCTTTGTCTTCCAGGCTGGAGTGTAGTGGTGTGATCTCAGCTCACTGCGAGCCCCGCCTCCCAGGTTCACGCCATTCTCCTGCCTCAGCCTCCTAAGTAGCTGGGACTACAGGTGCCCACCACCATGCCCGGCTAATTTTTGTATTTTTAGTAGAGATGGGGTTTCACCATGTTAGCCAGGATGGTCTCGATCTCCTGACCTTGTGATCCACCCGCCTCGGCCTTCCAAAGTGCTGGGATTATAGGCGTGAGCCACCGTGCCCAGCCCCAAATTTCTCTTACATGGGAGCTCACCTGTGTAATTACCTGACATCATCTGACAGTTAGCACAGAGAGTAGCACCTTCCGCCAATTTCTACTTCAAAGATATCGGACTGAATATGACATTAAAGATCAAGCTGCAAAAGGGGATGAAGTTACTCCAAAACAATTTCATGCATTTGTACCCTTTCTGGGAGAGCTTTATCATAACCTGGAGATCAGAGGAACAAATGGACAGGTTACAAGGGCAGATATTCTTCAGGTTGGTCTTCAGGAGTTGCCGAATGCCCGAATGCCCTCTTTTCTAATCCCATGGATGACAGCTTAATTTGTGCAATAAAATTGCTGAAGTTGACAGGGTCAGTTTTGGAAGATGCTTGGAAGGAAAAGGAAGGACTGATATGGAAGAAATTATTCAGGAAATTGAAAATGTTGTTATAGATGCAAGCTGTGGCAGAGACATGAAACAGATGCTCTTGAAGCTTGTAGAACTCCAGTGCAGTAATTGGGGTAGAGTCCATGCAACTTCATCATACAGAAATACAACAGCCAAAAAAGATCCCAATTACTATGTGAATGAACCAACATTTTATAGTGGTCATTCACATAGTTATTGTGTTTCATAGTGTTCCTTTCACTGCAGCTGATCCGGATTACCAAGAAGCATATCAAGAGTTACTTGAAAAAGAGGACTTTTTTTCTGGATTATGAAGAAAATGGAACAGATTTTTCAGGGACTGGTGATCCACACTTGGATGATATTAATGATGAGTTGGACCCAGAGATCCAGAGATAGAGGAAGCTTATGAAAAGTTTTGTTTGGAATCAGAGCGTAAGCGAAAACAGTCAAGTTAAATTTCAGTATATCATGTTTATAAAGCAGTTTAGTTATGGTGATTTAGCAGAATACAAAGCCAGAAAATGTGTCACACTTATACCAAATTAAGGATGTTGAGTTATATTACTAATGTATGCAACTTTAATTTTGTTTAACGCTATCTGCCAAAATAAATTTTATTCCCTCTGACTTAAAAAACAAAACAAAACAGTGATGCTGTTTTTTTTTTTTTTTCCCTTGTCCCCACAGTGAGCGTCACCCTGGACCCACAGTCGGCCAGTGGGTACCTGCAGCTGTCAGAGGACTGGAAGTGCGTGACCTACACCAGCCTGTACAAGAGTGCCTACCTGCACCCCCAGCAGTTTGACTGTGAGCCTGGGGTGCTGGGCAGCAAGGGCTTCACCTGGGGCAAGGTCTACTGGGAAGTGGAAGTGGAGAGGGAGGGCTGGTCTGAGGATGAAGAAGAGGGGGATGAGGAGGAAGAGGGAGAAGAGGAGGAGGAGGAAGAGGAGGCCGGCTATGGGGATGGATATGACGACTGGGAAACGGACGAAGATGAGGAATCGTTGGGCGATGAAGAGGAAGAAGAGGAGGAGGAAGAGGAGGAAGTTCTGGAAAGCTGCATGGTGGGGGTGGCTAGAGACTCTGTGAAGAGGAAGGGAGACCTCTCCCTGCGGCCAGAGGATGGCGTGTGGGCGCTGCGCCTCTCCTCCTCCGGCATCTGGGCCAACACCAGCCCCGAGGCTGAGCTTTTCCCAGCACTGCGGCCCCGGAGAGTGGGCATCGCCCTGGATTATGAAGGGGGCACCGTGACTTTCACCAACGCAGAGTCACAGGAACTCATCTACACCTTCACTGCCACCTTCACCCGGCGCCTGGTCCCCTTCCTGTGGCTCAAGTGGCCAGGAACACGCCTCCTGCTAAGACCCTGAGCCCTGACATCTGCCCCCAGCCCCAACCCTCAGATGCTTCACTTCTTTGGAATTCCAGGACTCTCAATGGGGGGACGGGATGCCTGGCCTAAGCACCTGGAGCAGGGGACCCCATATCCACTGGTAGCCACCTCCCCATTGCTGTGGCCCCCTGAAATCTCACTCAGTGCTGTTGCTCCATCTACTGCCCTAATGGGGCTCTTTTCCCACCTCCTGCTGGTTTCCCGAGGGAACTTCTGACCCTGGAGTCCATGAGGGCTCCTTTCCTTTTTGACCACGACCTTGGCCCCAGCTCTGCACTCTCTGGAATAAGGGCCCGATGCAGCATTTTCTTGCCCAGTGTGGCAAGACCTCAGAAAAACCAGTCAATTACGCCTAAGATCATTTTGCTGTCCTTAAACCCCCCAGGTTCCTTCTTGCACAAATCCACTCTGCTGCCCACCTTCCCTGGCATTTTAAACAGACCTACCCCACCCCAACTCAGAGTTAAGCATACATGGCAATGCTGAAAATAAACAAAATCCACTGAGGCTTCCCAGGCCATTTAAAGCCTGGAGTACCAGCGCATATCATCTCATGGGGTCCAGAGTGGAGTCCAGGCTTCTCTGAAACCAGGGCTGAGCATATTTCCATAGCCAAGGAGGTGGGACTCCCTGGAGCTATCTGTGGTCTTAGGGAAGGATCCAGACATACACGGCTTTGGGGTACAAGCTGTGATCACTGATCAATAAATTATCTCTAGATTGGTCCTTGTGAGGGGAGTTTTAAGAATCCAGAACATCTTGCTCTTGATCAGCACATCCAAAAACACCAAGACAAACATCCAGTGGAGCAGAACCTCTCCTGCCTCGGGAGTTCTGACCAGGTTCCCCAGCAGGGTGTTAAGCCTCTGTCTCTGGCCCTACCAGCATCCAGGTTCCACTTTCCTAGGAGAGAGTGGAGATGGGAAGACAGGGAAAGGAAGGCAGCAGGAGGCCACAAGCCCACCAGGTCTTCATGTCAAGAGAGGGAGTAACATGTCTTCTCATTGCCCACGGACCCAACCTCTGTCCAGGTGCCCCTCATCATCACAGTTTAACACAAGCTCCCCTGCTCCAGCCAAATTGATCTCCCAGTCTTGTCCTTACCCATTCCAAGTGCTCTGCCAGCCCCTGTTCATCCAAGTTTTAAGTCCTCCACCCTGTTCTAAGAGACTGTTCCAACGGCTCTGGGCCTCAGTGGTCACTTGACCACCATTGTCTCAGAGCTGCCCACTTTGTGTGTGTCACATGCTGCCTGAGTCACACGTACATCTTATTTCTGCCTCTAGTTTTGTAAGCTCCTGGAGGGCGGATAACATCTTATACTACTCTTGTATTCTCATGGCACCTAGTGCAGTGCTGGGCACAGAGTAGGTGCTCAATAAAGACTTGTTGAATGAACAGCCTGGAGATCTGTATTTGTAGGTCTATATCTATATTATATCTCAAATGCCACCAGACCTCAGTCTGGCTACAGAGAAATTCCACTGATAGCAGTAGCCGAAGGTTTTCCTTCTCTGCCTTCTGTAACAGTGTAACTTTGCTTTCTGTTCTCTGCACACATGCTGTCATTTCTGGAAGTCCCTCAAAAAGAGCCTACTGCGGAACACAGACGAGTTGTTGCGTGGCTCCACCTTTTTATTCCTCCTGCAGTGGTGCCCTTGAGCTGAGGTCCAGCGTTTTGGAGCAAGTGATGACTCTCCCTGAGAAGGGAGACCTCCAGTATAGCACACCCAAAAATTCTTCCTTGGAAAATAAGCACTGCCTCAGAGGAAATAGAATGTGCAGAGATTCAGCCTTGCATCCTAACACAGTCAACTGTTTTTCTTGTCCTTTCTGATTTTTTTTTTTTTTTTTTTTTTTTTTTTGAGATGGAGTCTCACTCTGTCTCCCAGTTTGGAGTGCAGTGGCGCCATCTCGGCTCACTGCAAGCTCTGCCTCCCGGGTTCACGCCATTCTCCTGCCTCAGCCTCCCGAGTAGCTGGAACTACAGGCGCCCGCCATCACGCCCGGCTAATTTTTTTGTATTTTTAGTAGAGACGGGGTTTCACCATGTTAGCCAGGTTGGTCTTGATCTCCTGACCTCATGATCCACCCACCTCGGCCTCCCAAAGTGCTGGGATTACAGGCGTGAGCCATCGCGCCCAGCAGTCCTTTCTGATTTTTTAAATTGCCATCTTAAAGATGGAAAAGGGAGGATTATACGAAACTACCTGTAAAATTACGCTAGTGGCAAAGAGCATATTTCCTCTCTGTTCTCTAAGTTGTGGGCTCATGTAAATTTTCCCTTTTTATTTTTTATATTCATAGTTTTTCATTTTGTATAACTCTACTTGCACATATGGTAAACTTTCTACAGTGCTTCTTACAAATAGGAACATTTCCCTGCCCCATACCTCCCTCCAAAGACCCAGTTCATACCTTTCAGCAAACTATTTTGTGTTTGCCTTGCTGGGATTACAGGTGTGAGTCACCACAACTGGCTGAATTTTTATTATTTTAGAGACATGGTCTTACTCTGTCACCTAGGCTCTAGTGATGGTGCACTCGTAGCTTACTGTGGCCTTGAGCTCTGGGGCTCAAGTGATCCTCCCACCTCAGCCTCCCAAAGTACTGGAATTACAGGCGTGAGCCACTGTGCCCTGCCTGAATTATTTCTTGTTGACTTTTCCTCCTATTTTCTGTATTCTCTCAAATCTGTTATCTCCAGGCTTCATATGTCTCCTGAATTCATTTATTAAGTACCCGTGATGTGCCAGGATGTTTCTAGGTTACAACAGTGATAAGGTTAACAAAGTTCTGCACTCTTGGAGGTTATATTCCAGCAAATGGTGACAGGCAGTATGTTAAAATTGAAAAAAAAAAAGTAATTAGCACTATGCAAGGAAGTGAAATAAGTCTGTGATAGATAGTGACCTAGTATCTATTTTATAATGTGTGATCAGAAGGGAGTTCCCTGAAAAGATGGCATGAGAGCTGAAATCAGAATGGTGAGAGGGAAGGTCTAAGATCACATCAGCTAGAGGGAACAGCAAAGTCCTAAAGCAGGGACAAACTGGGTACAGAAAGAGTGCATTTAGAGTATGGTTATGGGAGAACAGAAAGAGCCATAGATTTTCTCTTTTTTTTTTAATAGAGACGGAGTCTCGCTCTGTTGCCCAGGCTGGAGTGCGGTGGCATGATCTTGGCTTACTGGCAACCTCCGCTGCCCAGGTTCAAGCGATTCTCTTGCCTCAGCCTCCCAAGTACCTGGGACTACAGGCGCACACCACCATGTCTGGCTAATTTTTTTGTGTTTTTAGAAGAGACGGGGTTTTGCCATATTGACCAGGCTGTTCATGAACTCCTGACCTCAGGTGATCCACCTATTTTGGCCTCTCAAAGTGCTGGGATTACAGGCATGAGCTTTAAAAAGAAACTTTTTAAAAACTGATGCATCCCAAGTACCCAGAATAATGCCTATCACATAAGTCTTGACCTGAGGCCGGACTGATGTGGCGCTGCTGTTGCTGCTGCTACTGCTGCCACCTGGCAAAAAAGAGATGGGAGACTGAGCACTCCCATGCACCCACCTGGACAAATCCCATCGCCACTGCTACAGGCTGCTGTGAGACCAGGGCTTGAGAAGACTGCACTCCCTGTGGCTACTTGTCCTTGCTCTTCCACCTGAGAGGGGTCCTGCCCTCCCGGTGGCAAACCTGTAGTCATTATTCTGAGAGCTCAACCACCCGGGTCTGCATTCTGCCCCTGGGCCTGGCTGGGGCTGCTGCCGCCAAGCCAAGGCTAAGTTGAGGAGGGAGAGTAGAGACGGGGCACTTCCGCACGTTCCTAGGACAAATCCCACCACTGCTGCTATGGGCTGGTGTGGACAAAGGTGTGAGCAGATGACACTTCCCACAGCTACTTGCTCATGATGCGCCAGCTGAGAGTGGCCCTGCCTTCCCTGGTTGCAGGACTACAGTGCAGCCACCACAGCCAGCCCACACCTGAGCATTCTGCCAGTGGTCTGGGGACCTCTCCATCTCTTGTCTATCACAGCTAGCACCTGAATGCATTGCAGGGGGCCCTGAGGACAGGTCTGCTGGCCTGATCCCATCCCCCCAGTACACAAGCACATCATCCAGGGGCCCGGAAATTGCCCAGCCCAATCTACCACCACTGGCATCTGAATCATTCCTGTCAGGATCTGAGGTCAGTCCAACTCAATCTACCAATACCACCACAACTGACACCCACCCACACATGCTACCAGTGGGTCAGGGTACTAGCCTGCCCAACTTGTCACAGCCACCACCAACACCAGCACAGACTGCTTGGGTCCTAGCAGGTTGTTCCACCACTGCTACTGCCATTACCCATTTCTCACCAGCTGCCCAGGAGCCTGAGAAGTTGCCCACATGTCTGGCCCACTGCTGCCACTGCTAGCATCTGAGCAAGTCACCTGAAGGCCCAATAATTGGCCCTCCAAGACCCACTAACGCTGTTGTCAGTTTAAGCCACTCTGTGGGCCCTAGCACAGGCTCATTCAACCCACCGCTGCCATCACTAGGGCCTGAAGACTGGCCCACCTAGCATCTTAGTTCCCAGCCAAACTTCACCACAGCCTTCACTAATAAGTGCACCTTAAGTCAATGAGGAAGTCACAGATACCACTGATGTTGTATACTGCCAAATAAATCATACAGGGATCACACTACTATAGGCACTCAAAATCAAAGCCAAAGCACCCTACTCAACAAACAACACGTAAAATCTTCAGGAAAAAAATCCTCCCCTATGAAAGCAATTTCAAAAATGGAAGAAGTGACTGTTGCAACTAAATGTGCAGATATCAATGTAAGGACACAGAAAACTAAAGAACAAAGAAATATGACACCAACAAAGGAACACAATACCTCTCCAGCTACAGTTATCAATCAGAAAGAAATTCATGAAATTCTAGATAAAGAATTCAAAGTACTGATTTTAAAGAAACTCAGTAGGCTGGGCACGGTGGCTCATGCCTGTAATCCCAGCACTTTGGAAGGCCGAGGTGGGTGGATCACGACGTCAGGAGATTGAGACCATCCTGGCTAACACGGTGAAACCCCGTCTCTACTAAAAATAGAAAAAATTAGCTGGGTGTGGTGGTGGGTGCCTGTAGTCCCAGCTAGTCGGGAGGCTGAGGCAGGAGAATGGCGTGAACCCGGGAGGCGGAGCTTGCAGTGAGCTGAGATCGTGCCACTGCACTGCAGCCTGGGTGACAGAGTGAGACTCCATCTCAAAAAAAAAAAAAAAAAGAAACTCAGTGATATATAAGAGAATTCTGAAAAACAATAGAAAGAAAAAAGATAATAATGTAGGATATGAATGAGAAATTTAATAAAGCAATAGATTGTTTTTTAAAAGAAAAATAGAAAATCTGGATATGAAGAATTTATTAAAGGAAATACAAAATACCTTTGAAAGCTTCAACAATAGAACTAGATTGGGGAGAAGAAAGAGTCTCAGAGCTTGAAGGCAGCTCTTTTGAAATAACCTAGTCAGACAAAAATAAAGAAAAAATAATTTTAAAAAATTCAATTTACTTTGCCTAGATAAAAAAATTAGCAAAGCCTTCATGATATTTGGGACAGCATAAAGCAACTGAATATATGAATTGTTAGTATCCCCGAGGATGATGAAGAAATGAAAGGATTAGAAAATCTATATAATGAAATAATAGATGAAAACTTTCCAAGCCTAGCAAGGGATTTGGACATGCAGGTATAGGAGGCTCAATGTTTCCCAGGCAGATGCAATGCAAAGGGTCTTCTCCATAGCACATTATAATTAGACTGTCTAAAGTCAAAATAAAGAGCAAATTCTAAAAATAGCAACAGAATAGTGCCTAGTCACCTAAAAGGAAAACTCATCAGACTCACAAACAGTGGATTTCTCTGCAGAAACCCTACAGGCCAAAAGATAATGGGATGGTATATACAAAATGATGAAAGAAAATAACTGTCAGCCAAGAATATTAGATCCAGCCAAATTAAAGTATAAAGGAAAAAGAAATAAAGTCTTTCCCAGACAGGCAAATACTGAGGGAATTTGTTACCACTAGATCAGTCCTATGAGAAATGCTCAAGGGAGTCCTAAACCTGGAAGTGATAGGATGATATTTACCATCATAAAAACACACAAAAGTATAAAACTCGCTAGTAAAGCAATCACACAAAGGAAGAAGAGAAAGGACTCAAATGGTGCCTCTAAAGAAATCCACCAAACCACAATGACAAACAAGAAGAAAGGAACAAAGAATATATAAAACAATCAGAAAACAACAATATGACAGGAACAAAGTCTCATATATCAATAATAATCTTGAATGTAAATGGAATAAATTCTTTACTTGAAAGATGTAGAATGGCTGGATTTATTTAAAAAGATAATACACCTGTAAGCTGTTTCAAGAAACTCAGTAAAGTTTCTTACCAGTAAAGACAAATATAGACAAAGTAAAGGGATGGAAAAAGATATTCCATACAAATGGAGACAAAAAGTGAGAAGGAGTAGCTATACTTATATCAGATACAACAGACTTTAAGTCAAGAATTGTGAAAAAAAAAAGCCAAAAATGTCATTATATAATGATAAAGGGATCAATCCAGCAAGAAGATTCAACAGTTCTAAATATATATACACCAAACACCAGAGCACCCACATTCATAAAGCAAATATTACTAGCTCTAAAGAGAGAGACAGATTGGAATACAATAATAGTGGGGGACTTTAGCACCTCATGCTCAGCATTAGACAGATTATCTAGACAGAAAATCAACAGAGAAACATTGGATTTAAACTGGACTTTAGACCAAATGAACCTAACATTTACAGAACATTCTATTCAACAACTGCAGAATATATATTCTTTTCATCAGAACATGGAACCTTCTCCAACATAGACCATATATTAGGCGACAAAACAAGTCTCAATAAATTTTTAAAAATTAAAATCATATCAAATATTTTCTCAGACTGCAATAGAATAAAATGAGAAATCAATACCAAGAGGAACTTTGGAAACTATACAAATACATAGATATTAAACCACATGGTCCTGAATGACCATTGGGTCAATGAACAAATTAAGATAGAAGGCCAGGCATGGTGGCTCACACCTGTAATCCCAGCACTTTGGGTGGCTGAGGCGGATGGATCACCTGAGGTCAGAAGTTCGAGACCAGCCTGGCCAGCATGGTGAAACCCTGTCTCTGTGAAAAATACAAAAAAATTAGCTGGGCGTGGTGGCAGGCGCCTGTAATCTCAGCTACTTGGGAGGCTGAGGCAGGAGAACCGCTTGAACCCGGGAGGTGGAGGTTGCAGTTAGCCGAGTTTACACCATTGAACTCCAGCCTGGGAGACAAGAGCAAAACTCCATCTGGAAAAAAAAAAAAAAAAGAAATTAAGATGAAAATTAAAAAAAAAATCTAAAAACAAATGAAAATGGAAACATAAAACCTGTGGGATTCAGCAAAGGCAGTGCTAAGAGGAAAGTTTACAGCAATAAATGCTTACATTAAAAAAGTAGAAAGATTACAAATTAACAATCCAACAATGTACCTGAAGGAGCTAGAAAAGCAAGAACAAACCAAACCCCAAATTAGCAGAAGAAAAGAAATAATAAAGATCAGAGCAGAAAGTAGAGACTTAAAGAAATACAAAGGATCAATGAGATGAAAAATTGGTTCTTTGAAAAGATATACAGAATTGATAAGCTACTAGCTAGACTAACCAAGAAGACAGAAGACCCATATGAACAAAATCAGAATTGAAAAAGGAGACATTACAACTGACATCACAGAAATATTAAAGATCATCAGAGACTGTTATAAACAACTAGATAAAATTGGAAAATCTAGAGGAAGTGGATAAATTCCTGGAAACACACAACCTACCAAGACTGAATCAGAAAAAAATAGAAAACCTGAGCAGACCAATAATTAATAGCAAGATTGAATCAGTAATTAAAAGTCTCTCAAAGAAGAAAAGCCTAGGACTGGAGGGATTAACAGCTGAATTCTACTAAACATACAAAGAACTAATACCGATCCTCCTGAAACTGTTCAAACAAGTCAAAGAGGAAGGAATTTTCCCTAACTAATTATATGAGGTCAGCATCACCCTAATACTAAAACCAGACAGATACACCACAACACCAACAAAAAGAAAATTATAGGTCAATATCCCTAATGAACATAGATACAAAATCATAGATAGATACAAAAATCCTCAACAAAATACTAGCAAACCAAACCCAACAGCACATCGAAAAATACTACATCAAAATCAAGTGGGATTTATAGTAGAGATGCAAAGATGTTTCAATATGAATAAATAAGCATGATACATATTATCAATAGAATGTAGAACAAAAACCATATGATCATCTTAATAGATGCAGAAAAAGCATTTGATAAAATTTAACATTCTTTTAAGATAAAAACATACAACACACTAGGCATAGACGGAACAAACCTCAAATTCAAATGAGCTGTATGTAACAAACCCATAGCTAACATGCTGAATGAGGAAAAGTGGAAAGCTTTTCCTCTAAGCACTGGAACAAGGCAAGGATGTCTACTCTCAATACTCTTATTCAACATAGTACTAAAATCCTAGCTATAAGGATCAGGCAAAAGAAAGAAACACAATGTGTGATTTCACCAAAAAACTCTTAGATATGATAAATGAGTTCAGTACAGTTTCAGGCTACAAAATTAATATGCAAAAGTCAGTAGCATTTCTTTACATCAGTAATGATTTAGCCAACAAAGAAATCAAGAAGGCAATCTCATTTAGAAATTTTTGCTACCAAAAACAATTTAGGATTGAATTTAACCAAGGAGGCAAAAGATCTTTACAAGGAAAACTACAAAATACTGTTGAGAGAAATTCAAAACAACACAAATGGAAAAACACCTTATGCTCATGGATTAGAAGGAATATCAACATCATTAAAATGACCATATTGTTCAAAGTAATCTGCAGATTAAATGCAATCCCTAACAAAATATCAACATCATTCTTCACAGAATTTGAAAAAAAAATCCTAAAATTCATATGGACCAACCCCCCCCTCCCAAAAAAAGCCCAAATAGCCAAAGAAATCCTGAGCACAAAGAACAAATACTCTTGGATTAAAGGTAGTTTAGTAATTAATAGATTAGTAATACTTGCTACTAGAGACATTTTTGTCAGGTTTGTCAAATATCAGATGGTTATAGGTGAAAATCAAATCAAAACTACAATGAGATACTATCTCGCACCAGTCAAAATGGCTATTACTAAAAAGTCAAAAAGCAACAGATGCTGGCAAGGTTGTGAAGAAAAACGAATGCTTTTAACACTGTTGGTGTGAGTGTAAATTAGTTCAACCATTGTGGAAGACTGTGTGGCAATTCCTCAAAAACCTAGAGGCAGAAATACCATTCAACCCAGCAATCTCATTTACTGGGTATATACCCAAAGGAATAGAAATCGTTCTCTATAAAGATACATGCATGTGTATGTTCATTGCAGTAGTATTCACAATAGCAAAGATATGAAATCAAACTAAATGCCCATCAATGATAGACTGGATAAAGAAAATGTGGTACACATATACCATGGAATATTTTACAGCCATAAAAAGGAATGAGATCATGTCCTTTGCAGGGACATGAATGGAACTGGAGGTTGTTATCCTTAGCAAACTAAAGTAGGAACAGAAAACCAAATACAGCATGTTTTCACTTATAAGTAGGATCTAAATAATGAGAACATATGGACACATGGCAGGAGGCGGGGGGAACAACACACACTGGGCCCTGTTGGAGGGCGGGGGTGGGAGGAGGGAGAGGATCAGGAAGAATAGCTAATGGGTGCTGGGCTTAATTCCTGGGTGATAGGATGATCTGTGTAGCTGACTACTATGGCACACATTTACCTATGTAACAAACCTGCACATCTTGCACATGTACCCCTGAACTTAAAAGTTGAAAAATTTTTTAAAAAAGAAAAACATTAGGGAGTAGCTGCCTTTGGGAGTGAGGAGAATGGGAATAAAAATTGGGGAGAGAGGAGAAAATACAAATAAAACCAGAAGACCTTGCATGGACTGATGATGATAGTGTTCCAAGAACTGAGAGGTATGACTGAGTCAACACTCTACACTGGAAGTCTGAAAGAAGGAAAGAACTGAAAATGAAAAAGAAAATAAAGGCCATGAGTAGAGCTAGGAAGCTTCCTTATAGACAGGAGAATGGGCCCCACATCCAGAGCAAAGTAAGCCGACCAGAGAGACAATGCATCTGCCTAGGCTCTAGTTCCCATTACAACCAGCTCACTGTCATCACGGTTCCTGGGCTCCAGAGAGATTCCCTTATAGGTCCCACCTTGGTCCTTACAATAACCCCTCTGGTTCTCCGAGGCACATCAGTGTGACTGCTCCTCACATAGTCCAGCAGCCCAGCAATTATTTTGTGGGATCTCTTTGCCTCCTGCCCAGTAGTGGACAGAACTCAGCACTTGGAATTCAGGAACACCTACAAAAAGCATTAGGGGCAAGGCAGGTTGTGCAGAGGATCCTGTAGGGGAGATAGAGGACAGTTTTACATCACAAACACAGGAACACAGCCATCCTGTGGCTCCAGCTGGACCACCAAATGAATAATTTTCCTCTGCTTTTCCTTCAGGCAGCTCTCAGTCCTCACCCTGAGGTCTTAGCCACTCCCAAATTTCTTTTGGCTTCTAAATTTCTCTTTCCTTTCTTATGCAGAACAATTTATTAATATAGGCACAAAGCCTCCAAATGTGCATATCCACACTTTTAAATTATCTGGACCACTCTAAAATTAGAAGTACCAGAGACTTGGAAATACAGTGTGCTTATGGTTTATCGGTTCTTTTTTTTTTTTTCTGTTTCATATGAAACCAAAAATGCCCTGTCTAAAACATGAATTCAATGGGTAGCAAATGAAACATAGCCCCATTGGGATGTGTCTGTTTTAGAAGTCTGAGTGTGGTGGAAATGTGACTGCACTGAGCTCCAGGACAGGTAGATTCTACTTCAGCAGGTCACAAGGACCAGCTGTGAAAATTGTTAGACAAGTTCATTTAACTGTGTGTCAGTTTTCTCAACCACCACATGAGAAAAACAAAATAGGTCTTATGTATTTCACAGGCTTGTTGTAAGGTTCAAATGAAGATATAATTAAAACAAATTTGACCAATGGTACAATTAGCATGTGTTGCACATAGTTTTTCTTTTGGAGGGGTTGCAAAGAATACTTATGGCATAATCTAATTTATGTAAAAAAAAAGAGAAAGCAATATATATTTGTATTCAAAACTTGCAGGATATACAAAAAATTGATATCAATGTTTAACTATGGGGAGTGGCAAGGGGAAGTGTTGAGTGGGTGGGGAAAGAGGTTTTTATTTATACACTTTGAAAATGTTTGAATTTTCTTAACCATGAGCATATACAACTTTTATAATAAGCATTGGGCAATACTACTACTACTACCACTACTACTACTACTAGGTTGGACTACCAAGCCACTTGGGTCAGATAAGGATGGCTCTGCTCACCACACTGGGGGGCAGAAGAAACCCCACATTGTCTGGCTTCTTTTATATCAAGAACCTCTATTTCCCCAACAGTCAAGTTAGGGTTAATTATTCACATCACATTGATTCATGTTACAATTTTTAAATAAAATTCACATATGGTCCAAACTCTTTGAGTGCTTTTAAAACATCTGACCCATGCTTTAGGAGCAGGGCTTACGCAATAATGAAGATGTTCTTTGTTTTATTTGTTTGTTTGTTTCTTGGAGACAGAGTCTCACTCTGTCACCCAGGCTGGAGTGCAGTGGTACAATCTCAGCTCACTGCAACCTCTGCCTCCTGGGTTCAAGTGATTCCCCTGCTTCAGCCTCCCAAGTAGCTGGTCTGCCACCACACCCAGCTAATTTTTGTATATTTAGTGGAGATGGGGTTTCACCATGTTGGCCAGGCTCAAACTCCTGACCTCAGGTGACCCACCTGCCTCGGCCTACCACCGTGAGCCACCGCGCCTAGCCTGTTTTTTGTTTTTTGTTTTTTTGAGATGGAGTCTCACTCCGTCACTCGGGCTGGAATGCAGTGGCTTGATCTTAGCTCACTGCAACCTCCGCCTCCCTGGTTTAAGTGATTCTCCTGCCTCAGCCTCCTGAGCAGCTGGGATTACAGGCGCCTGCCATCTCGCCCAGCTAATTTTTATATTTTTAATAGAGACAGGGTTTCACCATGCTGTCCAGGCTGGTCTTAAACTCCTGACCTTAAGTGATCTACCTGCCTCAGCCTCCCAAAGTGTTGGGATTACTGGCGCAAGCCACCGTGCCGACCCTAAAGTGTTCTTGTACACAGGGTATTGTCTTACACTACAGGGAACCTGGATTGGAGTTGAAGGCAGATTTTTTTCAGAGGTTGGGGTGGAAGGGTGAGAATGTGAGTGTTCAACTTGAGAGGAGAAAGGGTAGGGGTGGAAGGAAACATCACTTGTATAGGGATTAATACTTTGCTTTTTAAAGTTATTTTAACCTGTGGTCTGTTTCTGTGTCCAAATAATAACTGCAGTAATAACAAATATTTGAGAGGTTAGTTAGACCTGAGCAAAAGCCTCGTTTTATTAAACAATGGGGCCTGGTGATTGTCCCACTGTCTGTCATCAGGGATATCCTGACTAAAAGAAGGGACAGGATTGTGTCTTGGTCACAGAGGGATCATCACCCTTCCTCTCTGCATCTACTCCCTCGAGCCATCTCGGCCCTAAATTGCCAACACAGGCAGATCCCATTGGATTTAAGCCTTTCTCCAGTCCCATCAGCGCTAATTGGACACATGGAATCCAGAGGTCTGTGAGTCACACTTTCTTAGGACATTCTCTACAAGTCCAGAGAAATGACCAGAAGGGAAGGGAAAGGAAGGGGCCCTGGGGTCCACCCAGGGCTGATAAAAAGGCCCTAAGCCCTACAAAGGTGGAGGCATCTTCAGGTGTGTGTCAAAGTACGAAGTTAACTGTACAAATTAGTGCAAGTCCAGCAAAACCCTGATTTTTCCCAAGATAATTATTTTGAAACAGTTTAAACATTTTATTTTAGATGTCTTTTTCTTTTTTTTCCCCGAAAGCCCGCTGGCTCCTAGGTTGGCTGTTGCCCTAGGCACAGCCGAAGCCGTCTGTGGTTCTGCACTCTGAGGTGCAGAGAAGGCCAGAGCGTCACAGGGAGGCTCAGGACGTCAGGGAGCTGAGGGCCTAAGATAAATAAAGTAAAAACAACCGCTGTTCGAGACTCAAGTCCCCTGTTCTCTCGCCTCACGCGGGCACAGGGAGCCCCCGGGCCGCACACTGGCCAGGGGCGGAGCTGGATCCCGGAGAGCCGCCGTCTCCGCTTCGCCGCCCTTCGCGCGCCCCACTTCAGCCTTTCAGCGTAAGGCAGGAACCTTTTTTCCAGACGGCAAAGAAAGGGAAGACTTTGCCGGAGAAAGAGGCAGTGAAGGTGAAGATGGGCTCCTGGGTCTGGGCGTTGTGGAGGGTCACCTGCCCCGCCTCGTAGTCCAGGGCGACTCTCACGCCGCGCGGGATCTCGCTCAGCGGCAGGTCGGTGCCCGGGGAGGTGCTGGCCCAGCACTGCTGGTGCGAGATGATCACGGCCCAGACGCCGTCCTCGGCGCTGAGTCCCATCTCTCCCTTCCTCCTCACCCCCTCCCCGGCCACCCCCACCGTGCAGCCGCCGCCGTCGCCCAGCTGCAGGTCAACCTGCCAGCGGTGGCGCCCGGAGGAGAAGCCCGGGAAGCCCAGAACCGCCGGGAGGCCGTCGAAGCGCAGGGGGCTGTCTGGCAGGTTCTTCTTCTGCCGGGTGTACCTCACTGACTTCCTGTCTTCCGAGAGAACCAGGCTCCGGCTGGCGGTCTGAGGGTCCAGAGTGATGACCCCTAGAGGGAGGAGCGCGCAGACATCAACAGCGGGCGGCAACCACAGATGTTCCTAGAGCAGGCAACGCACGTGGGAGGCAGAAGGAGTACTGGACTTGGGCAGCCTGCCATTGGGCCACTTCTCTGAACCGCCCTTCTACCTAATCAGCAAGTGGTGCTGTTAAGGATTTGCTTCTCAAAGTGCAGCGGGAGGGACCAGCAGCATCCCCACCACCTGGGTGTTTGTTAGAAATGCAGAATATTGGGCCCCATCCCACCCTACTAAATCAGAATCTGCATTTTAACAGGATCCCTAGGAGACGTTTCTGCATATTAAGTTTGAAAAGCACTTACCTATACCAGAGTGAGTGAGGTGATGCTTATGGAAACAACTTCTAAATTAAGCACCAATTTAAAAATAAATGTGATTTTTAAAAAATTGCACATTTTTTGTTCAAATCAGTAGAGAGCCCAGCACAATGCTCTCAAAAAACTAGGGCTTGATAAGTATTTTTCAACGAGTAATATCTACACAAGTAGATGACATTAATTGAGCACTTACTATGAGTCAGGTAATATACTAAGCTCTTTGCATGTATTAATTTATTTTGTCCTCACAGCTACTTATGGGACAGGTACAGTACTTTTATTTTCATTTTACTGATGAAGAAAATATTGTGGGACAGAGGCTTAATAACTTGCCCAGTGTCTCAGAGCTAGCAAGAACTGGAATCGAGAACTCAAGCAATCAAGCTCCAGAATTCATGCATTTTATTGCTCTGTTTGCTGCCATGGATTGAATGGATGAATGGAAGAATGACTCCCCAAATCCCAAGCTGTTTACCTGAATCTATTTCCAGATGATGCGCCAAGTTTTCTGAGGGAAGCAGAAATAGAAAGAGAGATCTGTGACTTATTACTTCTTATAGGCACCCCCAGGGGCAAGGTGACTTGAGTACAATGTGAAAATGAGGACAGAAGACTCGGCTTCTGCTGTGGTCTAGTGGAGGAGAAGGGTCCTCACCCTCCTGGACTCTCAGTCCTGCACCTGTCCTTAGGGAGTGGAGGAGATGCTCTGGGAATAGTGCCCCTGAATAAATTGAGATCACTAAGGGAAGGCTCTGGGGAGGGAAGATGTCTCGAGCCAGGTTTCAAGGGCAGAGAAGGATGGAGATGGGTGGAAGACAGGAGGGCAGCTAATGGGACTGGGGAAAACTGTGGCGCCTTCCCCTTTACCTGAGAACATCCTCATCATCTCTGGGAGGGTGAGTATTTTCCTGTGGAAATCACGGATCTTCTTGACAAGGTCAGGAGAAATGGCCTCAGGACTCACAAAAGTCTTCATCTCACACCTGCAGACAGGTTTGGTAACCAGTTAGGTCCAAATTCCAAAAACAAATGTTCGGGTGAGACCACGTGAGGCTAAAATCAGACTAAAGAATGATCTTGGCGTCTGTGGTGAATAATGAAATTGAGTATCATTTCTTTACTTTTGCTGGAAATGTGTAGTTACTAAAATAGTAGGCATTTCAGTTAAACCTAAGAGGAACTAAGGATAATCACTTCTCAAGAATTGGAGGTAAGCCCCTTTAGGAGAATGTTTGGTTCTGTAGGGGCTGAGGGACAGAGATCATTACCCCTTTTGGTCTCTAGAGGGCAACAGGGTACCATTTGAAAACAGCCTTAAACTACCCTTGTGTATGCTGCTATTTGTAAAGGAAAAGAGGCTAGAAGGGAAGAAAAAAAAAGGATCAACGAAAATATATATTGCAATGAAAAAAACTCCTGATTCTGGTCCCAGCTCAGTCCTCATTAGACACTTGCTGCATTACCTTGAAGACTCTTCACCCCCTGGGTCTCAGTTTCTTCCTCAGACTGGAAGACCTCCAAGCCCTTCTAGATCTAAACCTCTAATGCTCTTTGAAAAGCATGTTTGGAGACACTTCCTGATTCATGGACCCTGGGTTTATCCTCCCTGCACGGGAATAGGCACAAAGCACGTGACAATTGTTCCCTAGTCACTACACCTCTCTTCATCTCAGTGCAGACTGCTAATGCTTATAGCAGACAGGGAAGGAAAGGGCCATGCATTTACAATGCCACTGGCTCCTGGTGGCTGTCCTTTTACAGTAGCATTAGAAAATTCTGAAGGAAACCAGAGATGTGTGTAAAAAATGAATGAATGAAAGAACAGGCTGGTATTCCTGGTTTCCATGCTTATCATAGTCTACAGAAAGTATTCCCCCTTTAAATTACATTTTAAATGGTGTTAGATACTGACTCAAGTACTAATAATTTCATAGATTAAATAAATGTTCCTGGATCAACCTAAAAACATGATTATTATTTATAACTTCACTTCTAGGGGAAAAAATGTGTCCCCAATACCAACCAATCAATTTAAAAATGAACCTTTAGAACGCAAATCTTTAGTGAGTTTGGACTGTTTGTGCACAGTTGAATGAGACAGTGTGTCTGCCAGAGTGCCTTTGCTTTCCTGGCAAAGTGGGTGGCAGTAAGTGCCCCTGCCCCTTCCCATTCAGTCTTGATGTTGAGTAAAAGGAGGCAGGACCGGGGAGTGGGCCCTACCTGCTCTGGTTGACTCTGACATCCTGCAAAAGAAAGACAAGAACATACATTTAGTTTCCATAAGTCCTTCCTGTCAGGGATTCTGTACATCACTTTTCCCTTAAAATATGAACTCAAAACTCTCCTTCTGCAGAGAGTTGTCCTGTTTAATTACCTACTCATTAGATTGTTCTTTTACATCATGTTTTCTTACTAATTTGGGTTTCTGTAGTCAGTTCATTTGTGCTGGTTTCCCTGTTTCAGCCTTATCGTGGGGGTGGGTTGTGTCTGCAATGATTAGGAGGTGGTAGAGAGCAGGGGCCTGCCTTCAGTTATCAGCTGGACCTGATGTGAGCCAGGATCACATATTCATAACCATAGCAGACACCAGTTATTGAGTTCTTTCTGTATATCAGGAATCATGCCAAGCATTTTTTATGGATTGTTTCTTATAATTTTGCAATAACTTTATGAGGGAGGTGCTATTGCTGTCCCCATGTTTAGAGAGGCTAAGAGACTCACTCAAGTCACACAATTGGAAGAGCCAACATTCAAATCCAAGACTGTCTGACCCTAAACCCCTTAACATGACCACAGTGTATGACTTGGGCAAGTCTCCAGCCCCTCTGGATCTGCACCCCGTTAACCTCTCTCCACTTCCCTTTCCTGCCTCTCTCCAGCCCAAAGCATGGTGCCCACCCCCTTCCCCGTGGAGTCCCTCTCTTATCCTACAAAGTGGTGAAGTGTCTCTCACTTGTAGAAGCTCACTTGCTGGCTGCTGACACTTCTCCTCCAGCTCCTTGACCTGGGCTCCAAGCCGGGTGACTTCCTCAGAGACCTTTGTGATATATTCATCCCTCTCCTTCCAAATCTGCTGCTCCAGCTCCCTCAGCCTGGCCAGCAGGAGACATCGCTGCTGCTCCAGCTCCTGCTGCAGCCTCTCAAAAGCTGTTTCCACCTGATGCTTCTTGCTTTCGATCTGAGTCTTCAAGGGATAAAAGGCAGACATGGTTAGGAAGGGGCTCAGAGATAGCTTCCAGGATGATCATCTATATACTTATTATTGATTAACAGGGATAGGGAGCAACTGGTCCAAGACTCATTCCATTTACTAATATGCCTAGAAGTAGTTAGGTCTCAGGATGAACTTACCAATGATGAGGGCTGTGCTACTGTCTTAGCTAGATACTCTAATAATAATGCTACATTATGCTCTCAGAATGATGTTGAACTTTTCAAAAATATTTCCACAACTACAATACCATCATAACCCTACTATGCCTTCTTAGAGTTAGGTGGGGAAGACTGTAATAATTTCTTAGAGGCAAAAGGAAGTTGTGATTGGAGTCAACACAACTTAGTGGGAGAGTGTGTAATTTTGGTTTTAGCCGTGGAAATCACCAACTACAGGGCATACGTTGATGAGAGCTGAGGGATGGTGGATAGGTTGCTTTGTCCCCACACTCTCTCCTTGGTCAAGGTACCAGAAATCCTCACACTGTGATTCCTCCATAACTTTATAGCATGAAAAGAGAGGCGTGAGGGATCCAGATGTAGCCACACCATCAGCCTACTCTCCTCAAGGTCAGCCTGTAGTCAGGACTAGAATCCCGACACTAACATATGTTTTTGACCCCAAGCTTCCCATCTGAAGGTGGTGTGTTCAGGCAAACAGACTAGGATGGAAAGAACAATGAATTAAGGGTCAAGAAATCCAGGTTCCTCATGAACTTCAGCTTTGCTATGTGGCCTTGGGAGCATTGCTTTTCTGGTCCTAAGTTTTCTGCTCTGTAAAATGTGATATACAAGATGGATCTTGGATTGCAAGACATCAGAACCACTTCTAGTGCTCATGGTCTGAGATCCCAAATGCCTTTGTGCAGCCACAGGAAGGTGAACGAGAACAGTTTGTCAGTTCTTTTCAGCCAGGAAACAGATACCAGCCAACGGGTTTCCCCAGAGTCTCTTAAGAAAACCTTCAAAGGAAAAGGTAGCCAGTGACGTGGCCTGTACCAGCAGCACTTGAAGCTTCTGGTCTTCTTGACACTTTACATCCTCAATCTCATCTCTCTCCGTGCTCAGAGCTTCCAGTCGACTCCTGAGACGATCCTGTGGGGAGAAGAATGGGTGGATAGAGGTGACTGAATTAATAATTCAACTCACAATTATTAACTATCACATCCTGGGCACACTGTTGAGTGCTGAGGGGTTCAAAGGTGGAAAAGGCCCAGTCCTTGCCCTAAAGAGACCACCATCTCAGGAAGAAGTCAATGTCAAGTGATTAAAATACAGATAGATAAATGCAATAGTCCAGGGGTACACACAGTGAGATGGGAACACAGAGGTCAGCTCTGCCTGTAGGCCTAAGGGAAGGTTTGGAAAGCAGAAAACATTTACAATGTGCCTTGAAAGATAAATTTCCAGTTGAATAGAGAGGGAGAGAAAAGGACTTAGTGCCCACAGATGTGAAGGACCTCTTCAAGGAGAACTACAAACCACTGCTCAAGGAAATCAGAGAGAACACAGACAAATGGAAAAACATTCCATGCTCATGGATAGGAAGAATCAATATTGTGAAAATGGCCATACTGCCCAAAGTAATTTATAGATTCAGTGTTATCCCTATCAAGCTACCATTGACTTTCTTCACAGAATTAGAAAAAACTACTTTATATTTCATATGGAACCAATAAAGAGCCCACATAGCCAATACAATCTTAAGCAAAAAGAACGAAGCTGGAGGCATCATGCTACCTGACTTCAAACTATACTACAAGGCTGTAGTATATGATATCAAATATGTCTGGTATCAAAACAGACATATAGACAAATGGAACAGAAGAAGGGCCTCAGAAATAACACCACACATCTACAACCATCTGATCTTTGACAAACCTGACAAAAACAAGCAATGGGGAAAGGATTCCCTATTTAATAAATGGTGTTGGGAAAACTGGCTAGCCATATGCAGAAAACTGAAACTGGACCCCTTCCTTACACCTGAAATAAAAATTAACTCAAGATGGATTAAAGACTTAAACGTAAGACCTAAAACCATAAAAACCCTAGAAGAAAACCTAGGCAATACCATTCAGGACATAGGCATGGGCAAAGACTTCATGACTAGAACACCAAAAGCAATGGCAACAAAAGCCTAAATTGACAAATGGTATCTAATTAAATGAAAGAGCTTCTGCACAGCAAAAGAAACTATCATCAGAGTGAACAGGCAACCTACAGAATGGGAGAAACATTTTGCAATCTATCCATCTGACAAAGGGCTAATATCCAAAATCTACAAAGAACTTAAACAAATTTACAAGAAAAAAACAAACAGCCCCATCAAAAAGTAGGTGAAGGATATGAACAGACACTTCTCAAAAGAAGACATTTATGTGGCCAACAAACCTATGAAAAGAAGCTCATCATCACTGGTCATTAGAGAAATGCAAATCAAAACCACAATGAGATACCATCTCACACCAGTTAGAATGGTGATCATTAAAAAGTCAGGAAATAACAGATGCTGGAGATGATGTGGAGAAATAAGAATGCTTTTACAATGTTGGTGGGAGTGTAAATTAGTTCAACCGTTGTGGAAGACAGTGTGGCAACTCCTCAAGAATCTAGAATGAGAAATACCATTTGACCTGGCAATCCCATTACTGGGTATATACCCAGAGGATTATAAATTATCCTACTGTAAAGACACATGCACACATATGTTTATTGCAGCACTGTTCACAATAGCAAAGACTTGGAACCAACCCAAATGTCCATCAATGATAGACTGGATAAAGAAAATATGGCACATATATGCCATGGAATACTATGCAGGCATAAAAAAGATGTGTTCATGTCCTTTGCAGGGATATGGATGAAGCTGGAAACCATCATTCTCAGCAAACTAACACAGGAACAGAAAACCAAACACCACATGTTCTTACTCATAAGTGGGAGGTGAACAATGAGAACACATGGACACAGGGAGGGGAACATCACACATCGGGGCCTGTCAGGGCTTGGGGGACTAGGGGAGGGATAGCATTAGGAGAAATACCTAATGTAGATGATGGATTGATGGGTGCAGCAAACCACCATGGCACGTATATACCTATGTAACAAACCTGCACGTTCTGCATATGTATCCCAGAACATGTATAATAAAAAAAAAAAGAAAAGGACTTAGTGCCCCTGAATTGTATACTTAAAAACAGAGAGAGAGGTGGGAGGAAGGGAGAAGAGTATTCTAGGAGGAAGAGACTATGTGCAAAAAGTATTGGAAGCAGGAATGAATAAGACAACTCAGGAAAAAACAGCAAGTGCAGCTCAGTCTGGCCAGACACGTGGTGCCTTGAGGAGGGAGGCTGAGCGATGAGGCCGGACAGGGAGGAAGGATCCCGACTGCAAAGGGCCTTGAATGTCTTGCTAAAGACCTTGGACTTTCTTTGGGCACTAGGTATACATGGGAGGATTTTGTGCAGATGAGTGACTTTGTGTTTTAGGAGGATCTGTCTCCCAGCAGATTGGAAGGTGACTGGAAAGGGTGAGAATGGAGACAGGAAATGCCATGGAGACTGCAAAGTCTGCGCAAGAGATAGGGAGAACCTGGCTGTGAGGATAAGGCAGAATTAAAGATTTGGGAGATGTTTCTAAGGTAACCACTTCCAGACCTGGTGACTGGATGACAAGAGAGAGATCTGAGAGGCTGACAGGAAAGTGCCCCAAGGCCAGATGGGGAATTCTCACAATTCTGGACTACTGCCACCCTCCCTTTCTCAAGAAGAAGAGCAGTGCTAGCAGGTTCCCCTTCCCAGCTCCTCCCTCCCCTCTGCGCCCTGGCAGTCAGGGCCCTATAAACCCCATTTCCAGTCTGGATCCTGGGAGAACAAGTTTACCCTGCCCATAATCTGCAGAAGATCCCACTCGGCATTGGAGCTTTCTTTCCATAGTGAGTGAAGCCAAGGCTACAGTTCTTTGCACTCCACCTCTGTGGGGTCCTCTGAGAGCTGGAGCTGAAGTTCCCCCCAGACCAGGAACTACCACACATCCAAGTGGAGCCCTATCTGCCTTCAGTCTGGGAATGCCTCGAAAGTCCCTGTAACCTTAGGGTTCCCTGATGTGGAAGCCTTTCATCCAGATCCCCGCCCGATTTCCTCCCCTCATAACAGGACATCATCCTGCCCCAAACAGGCCCTAGGTAAAGCTACACTTCTTACCCGGTAGGGCTGAATGGCCTCGTCCAGGAACCCCACGGTGTGCGCCTGGTGCGTGGGACCCTCCCTGCAGAACACACAGAGGAACTCGGCATCGTTCTCGCAGAAGAAGTAGATCTTCTCGCCGTGCTCCTCGCAGTAAGTTTCTCCCAGCGGGCCCAGGGGCACAGGGGCCATGGGAGTCTCTGCCTGCTCCTCCTCTTGGCAGAGCGGGCAGAGCAGGATCTTGCCCGAGGATTGGGCCCCCATCTGGGAGAGCGCGGGGAGGCAGAGCCGGCAGAAGGTGTGTCCACAGGGAATGGTCACCGCATCCTCCAGCGGCCCCGCACAGAGGGTACAGGCAGGCAGCTCATGGACCACCTTCAGGGACGGGGTTGCGGGCATCACGGTGCCTTCCCCAGCCCGTCCACTCCGGTCTCCTCAGCCCACGCGAGTTCCCTTTCCCTGAAATCGAGTCACACTTACATGAATCGCAGAGGGAAACGGCTGCAAGGCTGAGAGACAGAGAGAGAGAAAGAGAGAGAGAGGCAAGAATGCCAGCACAGGGAAGCCACCTGGCTCCGCCTCTTGTGTTCCCTAGAACCCTGGCCACCACCTATCAGCGGAGTGGGTCCAAATTCCAGGGCGTCTCGAATTACCCAGAATTTCCCAGTGGCGGCCAAGTAAGCCAGTTCTTTACTCCTGGCTCCTTCTGGTCCCTAGGGTGGAGAACAGAGCACACCATGAGGTCACAGGGGGATGGGTTTCCTGGAATCTGTAGACCACAGTGGCTGGGGAGAACTGGGGAGCAGAAGCTTCCTGTCAGATTGAGCAGGTGGGAGCCATAAACTTCTGGCTCTGAGGCGTGCCCACAGCATCAAAGTCCAGGCTGGAGTGAGAGGTGTGGACTTCGGGAGATTCTGCCGGAAGTGTGTGGGCGGGACGCTGTTTCGACACTGCAGGTAGGGTGTAAGGATTGCTCATCGGGTCCCCTCTTCTGCTCTCCTTTCCTCCCTCACCACATCTGCCCATGGTGGCCCCTCCTACGGTCCCAAATCCCCCACCACCTGGCACAACAGTCCCCTTTGGGGTTCGGGTAACACTGGACTATTTTATTTATTTATTTATTTATTTATTTATTTATTTATTTATTTATTTATTTTTACTGTAGCGGGGAGAAGGCAAGAAACCATAATGCAAATGATTTATGTTGATACACATTAGAAAACGATTAGTCAGATAATCAGTTTCAACCACATTTATCTAGGGTTTAGTATTTTTATATTACTACATTCAATTTTAATAACCCTCTAGGCAAACATTATTACCTTCATTTTACAGAGAAAGAAATGTAAACTGACTTTCCAAATGTAAAGTGACTTTCCAAAGGTCACAAAGCTAGAAAGTATCACGTTAAGGACGATCCCAGTCTCCTGGCTTAAAGCCCTACGCTCCTCCCACACCTCATGCCAAGACCAAGATCTGCAGCCACGGTCCTTCACCCATGCACACATCTGTGGATAAAACCAGGCCTTCCCCCATTCTCCCACTGGGTGATCAGCCTAGCCCCTTGTGGTTGCTCCCTTTTTACTCTAATCACTTTATTACCTCCCCTTCCCATCCAATCTCTGCTCTTCCTGCCACGAGTGCAGCCCAGGAACTAGTTTGTCCAATACAGGAGCCACCAGCCACATGTGTCTACTGAGCACTGAAATGTGGCCGGTCTGAATGGCGGCATGCTGTATATGTAAAATACATACCGGATTTCTTTTTTTTCTTTTTCTTTTTCTCTTTTTTCTTTTCTTTTTTTTTTTTTTTGAAATGGAGTCTCGCTCTGTCTCCCGGGATGGAGTGCAGTAGCGCGATCTTGGCTCACTGCAAGCTCCTCCTCCCGGGTTCACACCATTCTCCTGCCTCAGCCTCCCGAGTAGCTGGGACTACAGGCGCCGGCCAGCACGCCAGGCTAATTTTTTTGTATTTTTAGTAGAGACGGGGTTTCACCGTGTTAACCAGGATGGTCTAGATTTCCTGACCTCGTGATCCGCCCGCCTAGGCCTCCCAAAGTGCTGGGATTACAGGCGTGAGCCACCGCGCCCGGCCAACACACCGGATTTCAAAGGCTTTTCACAAATTTAAAAATGTAAAATATCTTATTAATGACTTTTTATATGGATCACATATTGAAATGATAATATTTTGGAAATATAGGACTAAATAAAATAACATCATTAAAATTACTTTCACCTGTTTAGACTATTTTTATATGGCCACTAGGAAATTTTAAATTGCATATGTGGCTCACTTTGCGTTTATGTTGAATAGCATTGCTCGGAAGACAGATCTGACAGCAAATTATTTATGGTCACTCACCTTCTTACTTGTGTGCCTAGGGCAAGCTGAATAACCTGGCTGGGCCTCAGCTTTCTCATTTATGAAATGGAGATCCTAATAGCACTGATGTTGCAGAGCAGACACAGAAATAAGATCATACTTTTAAATTGCTTGTATCAATGTAAGTTGTACCGTCATTGTAAATAAATTCTGGCCAAATTGCTTGTATCAATGTAAGTTGTACCGTCATTGTAAATAAATTCTGGCCGTTAGTAGTTTTCTTTCTCCTCCCCATCATAGGGAATATTCCAGCCTCTTTTGAGGCCTGCAGCAGGCCAGTTGAGGCATCACCATTGAAGTTGCTGGTGCAGTGTACACCCTGGCACAAGGACCTTATCTGAGCCCCCACACTCTCCTGCTTGCTGATGGGCAAGCCCTGGGCTGGCTGATACCTCCAATCTCTTTGGAGACAGCTGGCCATATGGCAGAAAGGCTGGAATGGCATCTCCACTCTGTGACCCAGTCTCCCACTTGCCCCCAAAAGAATATTTCTTCTGACAGTGGACAGCTGACATATCACCACTTTCCTTCTACTGTGAGTGTCTCTGGATGGGCAGAAAGGAATGGCCAGCCCCTGGTTATGGTCATCTAAGGTCACCTCTGAAATGCTGTGAGCCCCTCTTCCTTCCTCTCCTCTGCTATTTCCCATCTCTGCTGTTGGCAGGAGAATAGAACCCTGGCTGCCAGAGATGCAAGTGTGTGACGATATGGGTGCTGGTGCATATTTAGTATGTGCCTGTGTCCAGCCATGTGCATGTGTGGGTGTGTGAGTGTGTGACCCAGCCCTTCCCCCGTGGCCAAGCAGAGAGAGTGGCCTTGAGGAAGCCATAGCAGCAGGACCAGCATGGCCTCTGCTGCCTCTGTGACCAGCCTGGCAGATGAAGTCAACTGCCCCATCTGTCAGGGTACCCTGAGGGAGCCGGTCACTATCGACTGCGGCCACAACTTCTGCCGGGCCTGCCTTACCCGCTACTGTGAGATACCAGGCCCAGACCTGGAGGAGTCCCCTACTTGCCCACTCTGCAAAGAACCCTTCCGTCCTGGGAGCTTCCGGCCCAACTGGCAGCTGGCTAACGTGGTGGAGAACATTGAGCGCCTCCAGCTGGTGTCCACACTGGGTTTGGGAGAGGAGGATGTCTGCCAAGAGCACGGAGAGAAGATCTACTTCTTCTGTGAGGATGATGAGATGCAGTTGTGCGTGGTGTGCCGGGAGGCTGGGGAGCACGCTACCCACACCATGCGCTTCCTGGAGGATGCAGCGGCTCCCTATAGGGTAGGAAAGGGGAACTGGGGGATCCCAGGGTGGACTGGACTGGACTAAGAGAAACAGCAGAGTTGTGGATTATTTAGGCCACCCGGAGGCCAAATTCTTTCTCCTTACTTACATGATCACCCAGGCAATAGACCCAGGCATGGAAAATTGTGTTTATGTTTTATGTTTTTTTGAGTGTGTTCTGTGTTCACTTGTGGCCAACAGATAACGGGAGTTCAACAAGTACTTGTTGAATGAATGAGTGACCAAACATGAGTGTGTGTGTCTGTGCCATGGATCAGGTGTGTCTGAAGTTTGCATTTGAGGGAATGATTGTACAAACAGTGTGTATATGTGTTAATGTTTGCATGTTTAGAAGTGTGTCTGGTGTGTTTGGATGGGAGTCTGAGTATGTATATATTTGAGTGTGTAAGTGTAACTGAGAGCTCCTGTTTGTGAATAAATTCGTGTTTACATATATTCAGGCTGGGTAAATGTATGTGGCATGCCATTTTATCTGTCATTAAATGAATGTGTGCTGGTTTTAGTTGTTTATGCATTGTGCTTATGAATTATGTTTTAGTACAAGTCTGTGTGTGGATGTCTTAATTAGTTAATTAGCAGTTGATAGTGAGAATTCTAATATATCTTTGAACACACATATTTATCGTGTGTGTACCTGTTCCTAACTCTATTCTGGAGCAAATAATTTTGAAAACAATTTATCAATTATTTTTACATTACCCAAGTTTCTTCTCCCCTCTGGAGTCATACACAGATAATTGATTTCAGTAACAAGGGAGGGTTGTTATTTACACATGTTCCTTTGGGATGAGTCGGAAACTCAGAATGATTTCAGTGCGGGGCATATCAAACTCAGTACAGACCCCAGATACCACTTACCTGAAGCAAAACACAATAGAATGTTAAACCTGAAGAAAGACTCAAGTGGGAAAACCAAGTCACAGCCTCTAATGGCACAGGATAAAGGGGGAAAGTCCTGATCCAAAGTCTTAGAGACAAATCAAGAGGAAGAAGACCCAAAGGGAGTAAGCTGTCAGGGTGGTGAAGGCTCGGGGATTGTCAGCTAAGGAAGGGACTCCTCTCCTGGGGCCATTTCATTCCTGGAGGCAGAGGGTCAGATGACCAGACAAACCTGAACAAATCATTTTCCATCTTGAGTATTTTATGTTCCTTCTCCCCAGGAACAAATCCATAAGTGTCTTAAATGTCTAAGAAAAGAGAGAGAGGAGATTCAAGAAATCCAGTCAAGAGAAAATAAAAGGATGCAAGTCCTCCTGGTAAGTCATCACCCCTTCCCCAGGTTCCTCCCCTTCCTCAGGGTCCAGTGTCTTCCTGAAACTGAGGCAACATAGATTATAGGGCTTTGAAGTTATTATGAGTTTAAATCCTGACTCTGACACTAACTCTATGACCTCAAGCAACTCTCCAACTTCAGTTTACTTATCTGTAAAATGGAGAGTAAAAATCATCATGACCTCATTGAATTACTGTAAGCATTAAATGAGATTGTGACTGTAAAGTAGCTCAGGGCTGTGCACATAATGTGCTTTTCATACAAGACAGGAGGTAGGGTGTCCCCACCACCTCCTCCTACACCTCCTGTAAGCCCTACCCCTTTTAGAAGCTGCAGCAGATGGTGCTGAGACAACACTGTGAGTCTTGCTTCTCGAAATGGGATGACAAGTGAAAAGGAAACCATGACACAGTTCCAGATCTACCTGGGGACAGGGGAGGAAGAGGAGCAGAGGGAGAAGGAGGAAGCAAACTTTCTCTTGGGCTTGCCTCCTGCCCCCTCAGACTCAGGTGTCCACCAAGAGACAACAGGTGATTTCTGAGTTCGCACACCTGAGGAAGTTTCTAGAGGAACAGCAGAGCATCCTCTTAGCACAATTGGAGAGCCAGGATGGGGACATCTTGAGGCAACGGGATGAATTTGATTTGCTGGTTGCTGGGGAGATCTGCCGGTTTAGTGCTCTTATTGAAGAACTGGAGGAGAAGAATGAGAGGCCAGCAAGGGAGCTCCTGACGGTGAGGCCTGAACCGGAACCCTGCCCCACCTGTGCTGTCCTGTGACTCTTGCATCTTTGTCTTGCCTAAGCCATGTCTCCCTGACTCACACATCTCTGTATCCCAGATGGGAGGTGGGTCAGAGGACCAGAAAGTCTCAATTCTAGTTCATGCTTTTCCAAGAGTTCCCTGGTCACTTTTTGCTCTCTGGTCTCCACCTCTCCGTCCCACCATCTGCCAAATAGGGAAGATACTTTCCTTAAATATTTCACAGGGCTTTTGTGAGGATCCAACAGTAAGATGGAAGTGAAAGTAGCACTTTGAAAAAGTATTAAGTAAGTTGCAAACCATTCTCTATAACCTAAATGTCACCAACCACCAGTCAGGAAGTTTGTCCTGGTCTATTTCACTTCCTCACACTGGAGGAGAGGTATTGGGGTCCCCACAAAGTATTGGAAAGGCAGCATGACTTAGAATGATGCTCTTAGGACTGAGAAACAGGAGACCTTGGTATGAGACTTACTTTGCCTCCAGTGAGCAGGGGAAGGTCACTTCACCATCTTTATCTAAAAAATAAAGGCTTTGGGCTCTGATCCACAGAGATGGGTGAGTCCTAATGCTCTGTGACTCTATGCATCTGGTATCCTTTTCCTGTCCAGGGCTAGAAATATATTTTGTCTTTTCCAGTCATAAGAAAAGTGGGAGGAGCCTGGGCAACATAACAAAACCCCATCTCTACAAAAAAAAAAAAAAAAAAAAAAGAAAATTAGCCAGGCATGGTGACAAACACCTGTAGTCCCAGCTACTCAAGATGCTGAGGTAGGAGGATCCCTTGAGCCCAGGAGGTTGAGTATGCAGTGAGCCATGATCACGCCACTGTATTCCAGCCTGGGCACCAGAGTGAGACCCTTTCTCAAACAAACAAACAAGCAAATAAAAAATAAATAAAATAAAAGTAGAAAAAGAAAGGAAAGAAAAATGGAAAGGAGAAGCTGGAAACTGAATTTCTGGTATCTCTTTCTCCTAGGACATCAGAAGCACTCTAATAAGGTAAGCAATATAGTTTCTCTCTTTTCTTTTTCCATATAAATATACATACATGTACTGCATGCCTAGTTATTGCCACACAGGTATATAACATTCTCACTTAAGGATACAAATTTACATATAAACCTCTATATACCCAAATGCCTTCTCAGGTATATCCATAGATGCCCAAAAATGGGCAGTGGGATTCATCCTAGAGGAAGTACGTCTGCCTGCAGGAACTAGCGCCATCATGCCCTATTAGAAGATGACCAGCTGAGTCTGGAGACATTATTAAGGATGATAATTCCCAGACCCAGCCATTTCTGTGCCCCTAGATGTGAAACCAGAAAGTGCCGGAAACCGGTGGCTGTGTCGCCAGAGCTGGGCCAGAGGATTCGGGACTTTCCCCAGCAGGCCCTCCCGCTGCAGAGGGAGATGAAGATGTTTCTGGGTAAGAGAACCCCAGGCCTCCACAGAGCGCAGGTGGCCATGAAGCCTGGGTTTAGGAGTGGCCTCCACGCTCCACTGCTGAAAGGTGTGACTTTGGCAAGCCTTATTCCTTCCTGTGCCTTGATTTCCTTATTTGCAGATTTTTATAAAATCTGCCTATTAGGATATTGTGACAATGAAGAAAGAGAATAAAGGTGAATATTTCTGGTGAAAAAGTTAAACTGATTTTAAAATAATTCAACAAATCTGATTAGTGGTCATTAAGCAATATGAAAGATAATGATTAACAATATATCATTCTTAATAAGTTAAAAAATCCCACAGCAACATTTGTAATATGTGATAAGTTTTTGATGATGAACATTGTTAATTAATAGCCAACAACAGTATTTATCTTGACCCTGTGGTATCTGGCTCGTCCCTCCTTCCTTCTCACTTTCTTTCTGTTAGTCTGGCTCAGAGTTAGACGGTCCTACGGGGACTGTGCTCCACTTCCTTTTCCGGAACAGGGAGTGGTGGTAGGGTGTGGGGGAGGGTTTGGATGAGAGTCAGGAATGGGACATGGCTCTCTGCCAACCACCTCCTCACTAACCATGACAGAATGAATGATGACACCAATTTTGAAATGACCCACCCACAGTTATGTCACCCTAGAAGGACTTTTCCCATAATTCCATTTCCTGCAAATACTTCCAGTGACCTGTCAGTGAAGGAAATTTCACTCTAATCAAAGGCTGACCTTTGACTCTCCCCAAAATTATTTCCAAGTGGAATAATAAATAAATGAACCCATTTCTCTATTCACTAAGCAGATATTTCTTGAGCATTTACTATGTCCTGGGCTCTGCGGGTACAGAGGTGAGCAAGGCAGTCATGGTCCCTGTTTGATCAGGGCTAGGGCAGTGGGGCTCCCACCAGCAGCAGCAGCTGCATTGCCCAGGAAATTGTTAGAAATACAGATGTTCAGCTCCACCCCAGAGCACCTGAATCTGAAACAGATGTGTTTTAACAAGAGCTCCAGATGATTCTGATGCAAGCTTGGAACCACTGGTCTAGAGGATTCCAGCTTACATTCTTCTTCTTGTCCCTTCCCTCTTCTTGGCCTCAGTTTTCTCATCATTAAGTGTCTGATGGTTTTGTAAGACTAATAAAATCTCATCCTGGTTTATTTTCTTTACAGAAAAACTATGCTTTGAGTTGGACTATGAGCCAGGTAAGGAGCCTATGTCAGGATGGGAGAGAATGAGAAGTCCTCGGAAAGGAGAGAAAATTTTGCAGGATTTGCACTATGACTATGTTATGACTATGACAATAGTCATAACAAACACCCATGGATACATATACACATCATATATATTATATATACACATATGTGTGTGTATATAATACATGTGTGTATATATAGGTTGTGTGTGTGTGTGTGTCACATTGTTTGTAAGGCTCTCAGGAGAAACATGAAGAAAGGACAAGCACATACACATACTACATTCGTGGTATGAAGCTCACATCCTGATCTGCGCATGTCGAGTAGATAGAAAGATTAATGCAGAATGGGATAAAGTCCATCTGGGAATGCTTTCTGGATAAAGGGGACTTTGATCTGGGTTTATAATCACCTCTTTAGAACGTAAGGAACCCCTGCTTCCTCTCAGATGTCATTTCACAGATGACAGAAGGAGGGCGGCCTGTGGGTGGGAAAAAAATGAACAGAATGGACCCCTTCAAGGCTGTCATTTCTCAATCAACCAGCCTAAGACCCTGGGAGTCACGGAGTTGTTGGAGGGGGTTCTCTAACCCACAGATGGACCTAAATTTATGGAAGCTTCTCAATTTATGAATACTAAAAGTAACAAAACGCAAGGCTCTGCAGCAGTTTTTGGTGGTAAAAAGTGGTCCTCAGACTCTGACAGTTTCAGAATTACTGAGGCAGAGTGAATAACCCAGGGGTGAGCCAGAGAGCCTGCCAGGAGGGAAGACTGTAAATGAGTCACCAGTGCCCTGGGAGGAAAACAGGGAGGAATCATGAAGTTTGGACTGAAGGGAGAAATGTCGCTGCACTGTGGGATAGAGATGGGAGGAGGGGAGAATGTGGTATATCAGCCCCAGGAGATCCAAGCTGGCACGCACAGCTTTGGAAACCAACCAACTTGCGGTGAGCAGAAGAGCTTTCCCGAGGACCACACTGAACTAAACGAGAGCTTTCACATCCTCTGAGGCAGGCTTTTCAGGCTTTACCTGTGTGCAAATCACCTGGGCATCTTGTTAGGATGCAGATTCTGAGAGCGTATATCTAACAAGTTCCCAGGTGGTTCCACACTGTTGGCCCACGTAGGCACTATACATGTTTTTGGTAATAATAACACTAACAGGAGGGGCCCAGGGGGAGTTTCTATGCCTTCCTTGGAGGTAATAGCATGTCTGCTGACATCTGTCCCTTTTGGTTATCCCCACAGCTCACATTTCTCTAGACCCTCAGACTTCCCACCCCAAGCTCCTCTTGTCCGAGGACCACCAGCGAGCTCAGTTCTCCTACAAATGGCAGAACTCACCAGACAACCCCCAGCGTTTTGACCGGGCCACCTGTGTTCTGGCCCACACTGGCATCACAGGGGGGAGACACACGTGGGTGGTGAGTATAGACCTGGCCCATGGGGGCAGCTGCACCGTGGGCGTGGTGAGCGAGGATGTGCAGCGGAAGGGGGAGCTTCGGCTGCGGCCAGAGGAGGGGGTGTGGGCTGTGAGGCTGGCTTGGGGCTTCGTCTCGGCTCTGGGCTCCTTCCCCACACGGCTGACCCTGAAGGAGCAGCCCCGGCAGGTGAGGGTGTCTCTTGACTATGAGGTGGGCTGGGTGACCTTCACCAACGCTGTCACCCGAGAGCCCATCTACACCTTCACTGCCTCCTTCACTAGGAAGGTCATTCCCTTCTTTGGGCTCTGGGGCCGAGGGTCCAGTTTCTCCCTGAGCTCCTGAGAAGGAGCAGTTACCTACTCTCCTCTAAGTACAGGACTCATATCAACCCAAGTACCATGTGGACTTGATCCCTGGCTGAATCACCTGGATGACTTGGAATAGAAATGACTGCTTTAGAAGATGGGATGGGGCCGGGTGGTGAGGGATAGAAGAGAGGACTCTCAATCTACTGATCAAGTCCTTTCCCCAATGCCCAGTGGATGGCCAGGGTACCTGGGGACTCAGGCTGCTGCCAGTTCTGCTCACCACCATCCGTGCTTGGCACAGAAGTAGCTGCATAGAAAGAGCACTGGATTTGAAGTCAGAAGACCTGGGTTCTTGAACCAGCCTGTCAACCAGTTGTATGACTTTAAACAAGGCATCTCACCTCTTTTCATCTTGTTTTCTTCCAATAATGTTAGAGTTCATGTAATCACATTCTCTAGAACCATTTAGTTTGTGTTAACTATGAACCAAGCAGTGTGGTGGCCACTGGTGACTTGAAAATGTAGAGAAAAAAAAAACCTGCTCTATATCTGAAAGAGCTCTTGGGAAGACAGAGAAACATAAAGAGGAAATTATAGCACAGTGTGGTGGGTGTTACGGGAAGTCCAACCCCAGCATTATGGGAGTTCAGGGGAAGGGGCATAGCCCAGCCTGGAAGGAGAGGATGAGTGGGGGATGGCTTTCTGAAAAGGGTAGTCTAAAGGATGCCTATAGTCAATAGGGAAAAGAGGGGAAGAAGCATCTTAAGAAGAGGAAACAGCAGAGAACTGGCTGGATGACCTGTGACTCTGGAGCACTGGGTTGTCTCCATTGTCCTTATGGGCAGATGTGTGCCATCCCCAGCCGACACCACTCACTGCCTCCTTCCTCCTGGTGTTGCCACTTCTGGGTGAGATTAAGGTGCAGGGCCTGGGGGCAGGAGGACATAAGGTATAGCCATAAATCATAACCCAGGGACCACACTCAACCCTAGGGAAATTGTCTTCCTGATCAGTTGATTACCATCTGAGGTCAAGAAATGAGATAGTGGGAGCAAATGGGTCACAAATAGCTCAGCTGTGGGCTCAGAAACTGCTAGGTAAAAGAATTCCAGAAGGAGGCCAGGGCATAAGTTGGATGACCTATGACCTTTAGTCTAAAGAATTGAGACTACCGTAATTGAGACTACTGTAGTGACATCTGAGAAATGGGATGGAAGAGTGACCATGTTTTATTTTCTTGTTCTTGTCACTATTGTATTTTATTTTGCATAATCATGCCCTTCACTGACAGTCTCCTTAACATCATCTGTTTACTCTGCTCAGATGTAAAATACAATGCTCTGTCATCTCCCTACTGGGTCTCCTGGGAGGAGGGGAGCCATCCAGGGTGCAAACTCAAAGGCAGAGGGCACAGCGTGCTTAGGCCCAAGCTTAGAATTCAATTGAGAAGTTCTGTTGTTCATCCTTACCTCAGCAGGTAGAAAAGAGGTGGAGATCAGAAGCCAGGGATTAAAGATTGAATTGCTTTCCCTGGGAGTGTGCAGTATCTCATTAAAATGTTGTATATTCAAAAAAATACAGACACACACAAGTGCCTATATAATGATAAAACATATGCAAAGCACCCAAACCTGTGATTCCAGAAAGGTAGATCCTATTTTTCTGTTTATTTTTATTGGCTTTAGCTGTGTCTTTTGAAAGGACTATTATCCTCTAAAATGTATGTGTATGAAGATCCTGGCTTGCAGCTCGGGAGCTTTACACACCTTGTGTCACTTTATCTTGGTAACGAGCCAAGATCATGCAACCAGTTCATCCATGTCTGACCCAAGAGCTCTTAACTGCTATGCTGCACTGCCTCATTCAGAGATAGATGCCTGCATGGGTCCTGGCGATTATTTTAATGCTGGCTACACCCCCACAGGTGACTTGGATTCAGAAATACAATTTATATTTCTTCTTTTTAAATTGTTTTATTTTATTTTTCTTTTAATAGTTATATGTCAGTGAGAACAATTTATATGTCTTACACTGAGAAATAAAACTGCTCATAAGTGAAAACACTCATGTTGGTCTGTCAGTACCTGCTTCTCCCCTAGGGTAATTTTACTTGAAGTTTACTTGCTTTCGGAGTATGGAGTCAGCACAGGGGAAGTGGATAGATCCTAAAACCTGGTAACTTCAAGATAAGGCAGCTTAATGAACCTCCTTGCTCTGCTGGCCGGAAGTGGGACTCTGGGTTCCCTCCCCAGGAAGTGCTCAAGTCTAGAGGCCCCAGAGTCCCAGCTACCCTTTCCGACTCTGAAGGACTGTTGCACATTTGTAACATCCACAGTTTACACCTCATTTTTCACAGCTTACATGGTAGCAACCCTTTCTATTGCAAAGAATTGAGACCCACTCAAGTTAGTTCAAATGATAGGTAAGTTTATTATAAAAGCAGAAATAAGGAAAATGCGATTTTCCACCATGAGCCAGGCCCCGTGAGAAGCTATGTCAGGCGTGAGTGAGTTGGTGGGGTCACCACTCGTTCCTGTAGGAAGAACTAGAGATTCCAAAAATGCTGATAACAATCACACACATAGAACTTATTTTGGCCAAACACCATAATAAATATTTGTATATATTAACTCATTTAATCCTCACAACAACCTCAGGAGGTAGGTGCCCATCTTGTACATAAGAGAACTGAGACATGTGGAGGCCGAGCAGCTGGTCTCAAATCAGCTGATAGTAAGTCGCAGAGCCAGCATTTGAAGTCTTGTGGTTTGGCTCCCGAGTCTGTGCTCATGACCATTATGCAGTGGTATGTTGTATGCCCAGGACCTACCGGTAAGAAGTGGGCTCGAAGTCCAAAGAAGCGTGAAGACTGGATATTCCTGCGGCCTCTCAGCAGCATGGGTCATGGACACCTGTTCCAATACATCGTGGCTGCACATGCATCTCTGATTCTCTCTGTGTCTGCTCTTCTTGCCAACTAATGACACATTCATCATGGATCCCTTCTGAATCTCCGAGAGGACCTGATGGTTTCAGTTAATTACTATTGTCCCTCTTTGATAAGGTCTTCCTTGATAGGTGACCTCATAGACTTGTTTGGCCAATTATCTGCTGTTCAGACTCCCACCCCTGGCCTGATCATCTGCGGTGACGTCAGAAGGGACCAAGGGGGGCCTGGAAGGCATCTTCAGTATAACTGACTTCTCTCCTGAGGAGAGACCCTGGGGGCTGTCAGCCTCCTACTCCTAGTACAAGTTCTCTTGGTGACATTAACTCCATCTGGGATGCAGGTATTGCTAGCTGTCACTTTCAGGGGTGTTCTTTCCTTGGCTAATGTCTTGCTCTTAGATTTGGGATCTTATGTTTCTCTGAGATCTGCAGCTTCTTGCCAAATAACTATACCTTTTTTCTGAACATCTACACTAGGCTCTTTCTCCTCCCCTCTCCTTCCAGCCCCCAACTCTCTGTCCCAGTCCTTCTTGTGCAAACGATCCAGACTGGCTTTCATTAAACACCACTTCTCCCTTCATTCCTGACTCAGAAACCTCACTATGTCTTGGTGTCATCCATTTAGCCTGTTGACTTCTCGTCTTCCCCATTCCTGAACATTCCAGCCTAACCAGGTTGGTTTCCTCACACTCCTACAAAGGTGCCGTGGCTTTTTCCTACCTCTATGCTTTCATTCATGTGGTTATTGTGACCTAGAATGTTCTCACCTTCCTCTCCCACTTGTCCAATCCCCACCTCCCCCACAAAACCTACCCTGACTTTCCCAGGCTCGCTGTTTCTTTCCTCTGAATTCCCAGGGCACTTAGCCTCTGTGATACCTAATTCAGTGCAGTTACACGCTCTCTTCTTTTTCTGTATCTGTTTAGTCATAGTTCCACAGCTAAATTATAAACTTCTGGATGGTGAAGTGGAATTTATTTAAAATTTTTTTATCATTCCATATTTCATTTCAAAAGGGGAAGTGGTTTTTTTAAAAAAAGATGAAATGAGAAAGGATAAGTTCATGTCCTTTTTAGGGACATGGTTGAAGCTGGAAACCATCATTCTCAGCAAACTATCGCAAGGACAGAAAACCAAACACCGCATGTTCTCACTCATTGGTGGGAATTGAACAATGAGATCACTTGGACACAGGGTGGGGAACATCACACACCAGGGCCTGTTTTGGGGTGGGGGGAGGGGGGAGGGATAGCATTAGGAGAAATACCCAATGTAAATGACAAGTTAATGGGTGCAGCACACCAACATGGCACATGTATACATATGTAACAAACCTGCACATTGTGCACATGTACCCTAGAACTTAAAGTATAATTAAAAAAAATAACAATAAAGCCAGAATACACCAAAAAAAAAAAGATAAAATGAACATATTTGAATGTTTACGTTTTAGACACTTTAGCAGACACTCAGCATGTATTTAATTTTGACAACAATCCCAGGCCACAGGTACCATAACCCTTATTTTAGAGGGGGGAGTACAGAGGTTCAGAGAGGCTAAGTAATTTGCCCAAGGTTACAGAGGCATTAGGTGTCAGGACCGAGACCTAAACTCAAGTCTGACCCTGTAGTTTTCACTCTTTGCACCACCACGTGGCTTGTTTTATAATTGTGGCCATGTTTTATTCCTTATACCTCTCAGTATGGTATTGACTACTTTGGCAAGGGCTCAATAAATACTGATTATAAGGTAATTGATGGCTCTTTTTAATCAGAGGATTGAGAAGAGCCCTTCCTTATGCTTTCTTATTAGTTCACTTATACATACATTTAAAATTTTATTGGACACCAGCTATGAGCCAGACACTGTTCTAGACATGAGGACACAGACAGAATATGATCCCTGCTCACCCAAAGAAGTGAGGCTTATACAAAAATGACTAATATACAATTGTATTCATTATCCATTACTCCACAAAAATTACCACAAATTTACTGCCTTATAACAACACATGGCCAGGCGCGGTGGCTCACACCTGTAATCCCAGCATTTTGGGAGGCCAAGGTGGGCTGATCACCTGAGGTCAGAAGTTCAAGGCCAGCCTGGCCAACATGGTTAAACCCTGTCTCTACTAAAAACACAAAAAATTAGCCGGGTGTGGTGGTGGGCGCCTATAATCCCTAGCTATTAGGGAGGCTGAGGCAGGAGAATTGCTTGAACCTAGGAGACAGAGGTTACAGTGAGCCGACATCACACCACTGCACTCCAGCCTGGGCAACAGAGTGAGATTCCATCTCAAAAACGAAAACAGAAAACAAAAAAACACACACACATTTATTGTCACACTGTTTCTGTGGGTGGGAAATTTTGGCACAGCTTCACTGGGTCCTCAGCTTAGGTACTCACAAGACTATAATCAAGGTGTTGGCTGGACTAGGTTCTTATCCGGCTCAGTTGGGGAAGAATCTGCTTCCAAGCTCACTCAGGTTGTTGGCAGAATTCAGGTTCTTGCAGCCACAAGACTGAGGGCCTCTGCTTGTTGTTGGCTGGAAGCTGCTCTTGGCTCCTAGGAGGGGCTCTAAAAGGGTGGGCCAGCAAGGAGGAGTTCTATACAATGCAACACAGTTGCCAGAGTGACACCCTATCACCTTTGCCTTATTCCATTGATTAGAAGCAAGTCACAGATCCCACTTACACTCAAGGGGAGGGGACCAAACAAGGGCATGAATTCCAAGAGGTGAGGATCACGAAGGGAGGCTGTCTTTGAGTCTGTCTTCCACAACAATAATAAATAAGTGCCAGGTGAGTGGTACAGACAACAAGTACTGCAGGAACTCAGCTGGGCTCCACATGTGAGGTGATGTCACTGCTGATGAGCTCGGGCCATTCAGAGGCCTGGAGGATCCTATTTGAATGAGATTGTGAGAGATGGGCACTACCATCAGTTTACAGGCAAAATGGAGATTTCACAAATGCTCCTGGAGACCATGGGCCCCGACCTCCACAGTGGCAGCCCCAAGCATGAGCCTGTCCTGGAAGGAGGCTGGCTATCGTCCAAGAGTCAGAGGGTCAGGCATCAGGTGATGACTGTGGACATGAAGAAATGGTGACATGTTCAGGAGCTGGCAGGCCCGAAGATGCACTGGGTAGACCCAGTGGGGGCCTGGACAGGTTGGAGGAAGGAGAGAGAGGAGGCTGAGGTGAGCCTGAAGTGAGGTGTCCCAGGGATGAACAGGTCAGAGCTTCTGAGGGGGCTGAAGAAGCAATTCACTGACTCCTTTCTTCAACTGGGGATAAATAACCTCTAATTTCTGTGGAGCACTCCTAGAAACAAAGAAATCCTTCATAGATTAATATGTATTCATATATTCCATTGGCTCTTCCATTGGCCATGTAGCATCAAGATACAAAAGCTAACGGAGCAGTGGGTCTCCTTGACCTCTGTGCATGTCTGTGTTGTGTGGGTTTATATGCACATGTGGGAAAGAAGAAGGGACAGCTCGTACCTGTTCAGTAAGTCACCAGCATTCTAGGAGAGAGAAAAAGTGAGAATCATAATTGGTTCTCAGGTTCCTATCACCTCCAAATTCCTTTCCCAATTCACTCTTGGAGGCCACTCTGGGGTGCCACCTTGAGAACTGGGGGAACATAGCAACACCCCTCTTCTGTGCCCATTCTGCTGCAGCAGCACTCTGTAGCCTGGAACAAGCCACATCTACCACAAGTCACCACATATCACACAGGCCCCTCCCTCTTACACCTTCCAGAAGGGTGATGCAGATGGGCTGCCTCCTATCGGGGAGAATCCCAGCCCTTGGGGAAGGCCTCAGGGTATGCACCTTCAGTGTGTTGGTGTCTAATTCCTTGGCCATCCTTTCCAGATCAATGACCAGGCTTCTGAGCTGTGTTACTGCCCTGGAGATGTCAAGGATTCTGGCCGCTTCTGCTGGCATGTGCTCCAGCTGGCCCAGCCACTGCTGGGGGAGGGCACCCAGCTGTTCCCTGGTTTGGTGCTGGCTCTCCGGCCCAGCCTCCAGCCTGTGGTTCCCGTGGTCTACCTGAAACTACAGGAAAGGGGCTCCCTAAGACTCAGTGTCAGGTGGCTCCCTCCTGGCCCTTCACAGTCTCTGAATGTCTGAGCAGGAATGCTGATTCCTCAATCCTCTTGCCCTCATGGTGTTGCCTCTGTGTGTCACAGGTATTGCAGAAGCAGCTTTGATTCTCATAAAGGCAGGGACACCTCACCTTTCCACCTCACTCTCTGAATATCTACAGATGCCATGTGACCAAGAGGAATAGAAAGGTAGACTGTCAGAGACAGAAATGGAGGCCTATGGCGGCCGGGCACGGTGGCTCACACCTGTAATCCCAGCACTTTGGGAGGCCAAGGCGGGCGGATCACGAGGTCAGGAGATCGAGACCATCCTGGCTAACATGGTGAAACCCCATCTCTACTAAAAAATAGAAAAAATTAGCTGGGCGTGGTGGCAAGTGCCTGTAGTCCCAGTACTCGGGAGGCTGAGGCAGGAGAATGGCGTGAACCCGGGAGGCGGAGCTTGCAGTGAGCGGAGTTCGTGCCACTGCACTCCAGCCTGGGCGACAGAGCAAGACTCCATCTCAAAAAAAAAATAAAATAAAATAAAAAGAAACAGAGGCCTATGGCTTGTGTAGTAATTTTCAGTTGACGAGACACTGGTCTCCTTTGATCCCTACTGTGATCCAGGTAGAGCAGGACTGGTTCTCATTTAACATGTAAGTCACATAAAGATCAGAGGGCTTAACTTGCGTAGGTCACTCAACCAGCAAACTTTGACGCCAAGGCCAACACCCGGGTTTTCAGCCTCCACGACCATCTGCCCACATCAGGCTGCTCCAGGGACAGACAGATGTCCAGAATAGTTAAGTAAGGGCTCCTGAGAACACTCCAGGGAGTCCTTCCCAGGAACCCGAAAAACCCACCTGCAGAGCCTGCAGTTTCTTCTCCTGCTGAGCCTTGAGCCGCTGAAGTTCTGCAATGTCCTTTCTGAGCTTCCTGCTCCGGCGATTGAGTCGTTCCTAAAGAGACAGACACACCTGCTTGTCAGACTGGGAGTGAGGGGGGCACCCACTGGGAGGAGTCAATGGAACACGGTAGGGGGCCTGATCCCAGAATGCAACTAATGTAAAATTCTGCCTAAAAAGAAATGCTTTTAGAGCATCATGGTTGGAGTAAGGGACTTGAGAGTTTATTTATTGGATAATGATGGGGGGAAATAGTAATGGGTAATTTTTTTACAGTCTTAGAAGTACAGAAAAAATAATAGATAGCAACAGAACCATTTCTACTTGACTTCAGGGTGCTTTCTCTCAACATATAAAAGTTATATGACAGTCTTCTAGCACTTCTTACTATTTTACATTAACACATGAAGCCAGTCTGGAGGGAATTGCCTTAAAGAGGAAATGGCAACCCTCTGCTACCTCTGCTGCCTGGTCCTCACTAGGATGAGTGACAAGATAGAGCCCTTTACTAGGTGCAAACTCATAGCCCAGGTAGGCAGTGCCTTCTCTCTCAATCTTAAATCAGCATCTGGATGTGTCTCTGTGTCCTTGAAGCTATGGAGTTAAAGAATGATTTGAGTTTCTAAAAAAATTTTGCTTTCAGGTTTTTGATGACCTATAAGAGAAGCAAAAATAACAACAAATGCTTTAAATGGCTGCCCATGGTTCGGGGGGCAGTTGGAGGGTGAATGATAAAATAGAAAACAAAACGAGAAGAGATTTGTGAACTAAAGATCAGGATGTGCTATTAGCTGAAAAGTGTGTGTTTCACTAAATCTTTCCCACTTCAGATTTTTTTTTTTAAATCTTTTTTGAGGAGATTTTGGAGATGTACAGGTAGAAGTCAGGGGATGGTGAAGACAACTGAAAGTTCTTTCCGGCCTGAGAATTTCCTGGTGAAATCAAGGTCAAAGGACTGTGTGTGTGAGGGGTCAGCAAGGGCATTTGGTGAACAGAAAGCTGCAGTAAGCAGAGAAGACAGTGATGTCACCACAAAGTTACTAAAAACGTGTCACGTCACTGGGTGTTTCCTGCAGGCATTTCCCAGCAGAGACGAAATAAAAAAGTCATAGGAGTGGGAGGTAATAAATGGGCATCATGGATGTCGCTCATGAGTCTCGCTGAAGAAGGTGGCAGGCTGGTGTGGAACTGTTTGTGTGAGCACAAGAGTTCATGTCCTGAAAAGCACAAACAGCCTTCACCGCTTGCATCTACTCACTTGCTGCCCTCACAGTCAAGTTGTTTGGTGTTGCTGTCTTCACCTCCTCACTGTCGTCATTCCTCAGCCAGCCGCCTTGTTTCTCATCACTCCTTTAAAGCCTCTCTCTCCAAAGTCACCTGAGATCTCCAGCCATGAAATCCGCAGGTGCCTTTCTGCACCTCCTCTCCACCCCATCCTTCCTAGACCTGTGCCTTCTGCCACTGCTTCTTTGCCTCTTCATTTTTTTCTGTAAAAAGGAGCCTTGAAGTTGGCTCCTCAACCCTTTTCTATCTCAGACTATGTCCTTAGCTTTCCTTTCTGGAGCCTTCAGATCTTAGAATTCCAAAACCAAATCTTTTTTCCTAGCAATCCATCTCATGCTTCCAAGTGAGAGCTAAGTGCTGCCTACTGCCCTGTTGGCAGCTCAAAATCAATATGGTAGAATCAAACATGCTGCCCAGTTCCCCAAGCTCTTCTGCAGTCCACTCCTCTTGACCTTCATGTTTCTGACATTGGGACTGCCATTCTGCCTGCCATTCAGCTTGAAATCTGTCACATTTCACCTTTGTTGATGTTAGTCCTCCCTTCAAAATGGCTTCTCAGCAACAAAGATAAGCCCAAACTCCTTCACCCAGCATCCAAGGTGCCCCAGAACCCAGCCCCAACTGACATTGTCCGGGATTCTCTCTCTGCTCACTCTGAACTCTCTTCACCAGCACACAATATTGCTCTCTGCTTCCCAAACACACCCGTGCAGCCACACCTCCTCATGGCCTTTTACTTCTCTCTGTCAGGAGTGCTTTATTTTTCTGCCTGTCAAAGTCAGGCCTATTAAGGTCCAGTTCAAAAAGCCACAGTCCTATCATCTGGCAGTTTAAAATTTAATAAAGCCAACTACAGACACTGTGTAAATGAAAAAAAGAAGGCAAAGATAACAGTAATAAAGATAAAGGCATAGAATGACTGAAGATAATACAGTCATATTGTTTACAATATTCAAAATGAGTAAGGTAAAGTCCTCTGTTTCTAAAAAGTACTTTTTCACCAATTTTTGCATAAAAGTATTTAATGGGTGCATATAATATAAATAAGACACTCACTAGAATTGGAAAGCTAAATTCTATACACTTTCACCTACCAAAATATTCCTCAGAGAAAAAAAGACAAGTTGAAATCTAGAAAATAGTCGAAGACCTGTCTTGTCTAAATGAATATTTTAAAATTCTGTCATTCAGATTAAATCATATTAAATTTTTAAAATCTGACAAAAAAGGGCATTAAATTTGTTCTTAAACAACTTGCTAACACAATGTACAAAAGAAAAGTGGTTAACAGACAAAAAGTACCTATCCCTGACACTGAAAAAAAAAAAAAAAAGAAAAATTAACAGCTTTCAAAATGCATGCTCCTTACAGAACTGTGTCCAAAAATATGAATTAAAAACAACATCACTCACACAATTATGATCTAGAAAATGTCAGAAAATTTTAAAAAATGTATGGTAAATACATGAGCTCAGCAAAGAATCTCATTTGAATCTACAAGTAAAAATTGTCAAAAAAAATAGTGTTATAAAATACATAGCTACCCTCAATAGAGTCAGGGCACATGAGGTTTAAGTAAAGACAATTTAATATCTGATTCAGATACATAGTGGAAAGCCGTTAGTGATGTATCTTGGTACTGGTTGAGAAGACTAACTAAATCCCCAAAAGTCATGATTCTTAGTAATCAACAAATTTAATGCAATAACCATTAAAATCTTATGGAATGATCTATGAAATTTAGAAACATTGTAAAAAAGCACTCATCTTAAAAGACAGCAAAAATATCAGGTAATAAAATTATTAAATGGCAAAAATGCTGCTAGATTTAAAAATAAACCATAAAGTAACATGTTGTCAAAACTATATAACAGAAAGAATAATCAATGGACTAGAGTAAAAAAAAAACAGCCCATCATGAGAACTTAATTGATGTCAAGCGAGAAACAACACGTAAATGTGGAAAGGACTCACTGTTATATAAATATTTTGGGAACAACTGGATACCAGAATAAAGAAAAATTAACGTGGAGTCATCCTTCACACAACATACTATATGAAATTCCAAGTAAGCCAGGAATTAATAAACCTTTAAAAATAAAACAGAGCAGCACACTCATATTAAACAAATTTCTGTGTATTTAAGACATGGAGATTATATTATAAAAAAGAATAGAGCCAATTTAAATGCAAATTTCTAAAAATTTGCCCAAAAATATAATTAAGAAGAAATAACAGAATAAAAAAATGTAGGTTAAACAAACACAACTAATGGAGCTCATTATCCAAAAGATAAACTATTTTGATGCAATCATGTAGAATTTATGCCCTGATTCTAGGGGAAAATGCAGACAGCGAGTCTTCATGGATAAAAGCCTCACCACTACTAGCATTCATAATCAAGCAAAGTAAAACAACGTACATCACTGTCACACACTTACTAAACCAGCAAAATACATTAAAGTGATTGACACTGACATTGATTGGTCAGTGAGGAAACAGGTATACAAATAAGAATTTGTAGATTTTATAAATTTTTCGGTCTTTTTAGAGTACAGTCAGGGATTATATGATTCTTTTAAAAGAACAAAATTTACAATACTTAACTACAAAGTTTAATTCAAATAAATAGAGATATGGTGAAAAAATCAGTAAAAAAAAAACCCTCCTTAATTTCAAAAGTACGCTGTCAATATCCATGAGTACACATAGGGTCCACCATTATAATCACTTCTTCAGAAATATACTCAACTCCCTTACCCTCCCTCTCTGTGTTACTTTTCAGACAACTCCTTATCCATGGTAAAATGTACCATCACCTTCTTGTTTGCTGTCTGTCCTCAGGCAGCCTCCTGAAACATGTTAAACATTTCAGACCTCAAATTGGTGCTACATACTGTCTGCCAACCCTACATAGTTTCTCTTGTAAGCGCTCTCCCACACTGCATCACACCATCTTGTTTCTTTTCAAACCTTTCACATCCATCCTGATCCCACCCATACTGCTGATGTTCCTTCCTCAAATATTATGAGAAAATAAAAACCAGAACAAAACCTGGACTTCCAAAACTGCAAAACTATGTAGGCTTGCAGACACCTTCTCTTGTTCCCTGTTATTACTATGGAAGAAATGTGCCTCCTCCCAACTCAGCTCTCATGCCTCTGCCACCATCTTACTGAAGTGTTAGCATTGTTCAATGCAATCTATTATAATCTCTTAAAATACCCTTCTCTCTTAGCAGCTGGGGCACCATTCCCCTTGTTTTTCTCCTGCCTTTCTGGCAACTCATCCTGTCTCCTTTGCTGGGTCCTCCTCTGCCTACATCTAAATGACGGCCTTTCCCAGAACCTTACCCCAAAACTTCTTTTCTGTCTAGCCTCTTTTGAGGCAATTACATCAGTTTCCTTGGTTTCTTGGTTGTTTGTTTCTTTGTTTGAGACAGGGTCTTGCTCTGTCTTCCTGGCTGCAGTGCAGTGGTACAATCACAGCTCACTCCAGCCTCACTCTCTTGGGCTCAAGCAATCCTCCCACCTCAACCTTCCAAGTAGCTGGGACCACAGGCGTGAGCCACTGCACCCAGCCCCAAATTGTCACGTTCTTTTTTTTAAATCCTGTTAATTTCACTTTGTTGTTGCTGTTGTTGTTCTAGAGATAGTATCTCACTGTGTTGCCTAAGCTGGTCTTGAACTCCTGGGCTCAAGCGATCCTCCCACTTTGGCCTCCCAAAGTGCTGGGACTACAGGTGTGAGCCACCGTGCCCGCTTTTCTTGGATTTAAATATTGTCTTTGTCTGGATGGATCTTTGTTCTAGGTTCTAGGAATAAGACTCTGGAGATCTAAATTTGTGATCCAGCTGCATATGTAAGATCCTATTTTGATGTGTCTCAACTTGGACTCAACTTGTCTTAAATGAAACTCTTGGTGTTGCATTCAAACCTGTTCTACCAAGTTATTATCTTTCACATCATCTATTCAGTTTCTCAAACCAGAAACTCATGAAGTCATCTTTGACCTTCCTCCTTCCTTCAACCCACTTTTTAAAATATATATACTTTAAGTTCTGGGGCACATGTACAGAACATGCAGGTTTGTTACATAGGTATACACGTGCCATGGTGGTTTGCTGCACCCATCAAACCGTCATCCACGTTAGGTATTTCTCCTAATGCTATCCCTCCCCTACCCCCCATCCCCTCACAGGCCCCGGTGTGTGATATTCCCCTCCCTGTGTCCACGTGTTCTCATTGTTCAACTCTCACTTACGAGTGAGAACATGTGGTGTTTGGTTTTCTGATCTTGTGTTAGTTTGCTGAGAATGATGGTTTCCATCTTCATCCACGTCCCTGTAAAGGACGTGAACTCATCTGTTTTTATGGCTGCATAGTATTCCATGGTGTATATGTGCCATATTTTCTTTATCCAGTCTATCATTGATGGGCATTTGGGTTGGTTCCAAGTCTTTGCTATTGTGAACCATGCCACAATAAACATACGTGTGCATGTGTCTTTATAGTAGAATGATTTATAATCCTTTGGGTATATACCCAGTAATGGGATTGCTGGGTCAAATGGTATTTCTGGTTTTAGATCCTTGAGGAATCACCACACTGTCTTCCACAATGGTTGAACTAATTTACACTCCCACCAACAGTGTAAAAGCGTTCCTATTTCTCCACTTCGTCTCCAGAATCTGTTGTTTACTGACTTTTTAATGATTGCCATTCTAACTGGCAGAGATGGTATCTCATTGTGGTTTTGATTTGCATTTCTCTAAAGACCAGTGATGATGAGCATTTTTTCATATGTCTGTTGGTTGCATAAATGTCTTCTTTTGAGAAGCGTCTGTTCATATCCTTTGCCCACTTTTTGATGGGGTTGTTTTTTTCTTACAAAGAACCCACTTCTAATCTCTCAGTAAGTCCTGTCGATTCAAACTCTAATGATAAATTCTTCAAATATAACAAGACTTCTCAGGTGTGGGCATCTGTATGCACTCCCTACCCCCTGTCTTTGCAGGTTGATTTCTCTTCTGCCAGCCCTCAGCTTCAAGGTCACTTCCTCTATGAGGCCCTCACTGACCAAATGGACATGGGCCACCCATTACTGTTCATCCCAGACCCTTGTTTATTTTCTTCCTAACTAATAAAAAGTTACAGTTCTTTTGGGAGGCCAGCGCAGATGGATCATGAGGTCAGGAGTTCAAGACCAGCCTGGCCAAGATGGTGAAACCCCGTTTCTACTAAAAATACAAAAATTAGCTAGGCCTGGTGGTGGGTGCCTGTAATCCCAGCTACTCGGGAGGCTGAGGCAAAGAATTGCTTGAACCTGGGAGACGGAGGTTGCAGTGAGCCGAGATCATGCCACTGCTCTCCAGCTTGGGTGACAGAGTGAGACTCCATCTCAAAAAAAAAAAAAGAAAAAAGAAAAAAAAAGTTACAGTTCTTTGATTACTTATTTGTGTCTCCCTTACTACACTGCAAACTCCTGGCAGAAGGAATGGCATCTGTCTTCATTGATTCCTAGCACATGCTGCAGTTTCTCACACACAGCAGGAACTTACTAAGGTTTACTTAATGAACAAGTGTCATCGTTATTTATTTGTTTTAGCTTTCTTGTCATTATTTAAAGACAGATTTGAAACAAGAATTATGAATCATCTTTGTACTTTCTACAATGCCTAGCATGACATCTAACACAAAGGACAGACCTGAAAAAATCATTTAGTGAGGAAATAAATTTCTCCATCTTATGCTGCTTCATCGGCAGGTGAGGAATCCCTCCCCACTCTCCTGTGGACATTGCACCTGGAGGGAATGATGTTAGAACCAAATAGAACTTTGCCTCTGGCTTTTTCAATTATTTCTCTACCTTTCTGTAGTCACTTTTAATCTGGACTCCCCACTTTCTCATTCTGTATCATAACATGTTCTCCAAAAGTCAAGTATCTCAAAGCTACCTCAGCTTTGGAAGTTCAGCCTTCACTATTGGATAGAAGGATGCCATGTGAAAATATTGTCAATTGTCCAGTCAAATACTAACTGGATTGGGGTCAGGGGAAAGGTTGATAAAAATAATTCCAAAGCTAATTGGCAAAATAAAGATATACAAATATCTGCACGAATTCTGAAAAATAAGAGTATTGTGAGGATTCTATCAAAATACCTGACATTAAAATATATGGTAAGGATAAAATCTCTAAAATACCTTGGCTTATAGGCAAGCATAGACAGAATAGAACAGCATAAAGAATCAAGGCAGTATGCAAGAAAATATGCATATATGGTATATTATGACATTGGCATTCAAATCAATGGGGAAACTATATGAATCATTCAATAAATGGTGATAGGACAAATTGATTATAACTTGGAAAAACTAAAGTTAGATTTCTACCTTATGCTCTCACCAAAATATATCTTGGATATTCTAGGTCCTCCAATATATATGTTGAAGGATATTCATTAGAACATTCTGTGTAATCTTAAAACAAAACAATAGCTTGGAAATGACCCAAAGTCTGCCAATTTATGGTACATTCATAGAATTTAATACCACACAGTTCTTGAAAATAATTCAGAAGATCTATACATGCTGATGAGAAAATGTTCAAGCCACACTTTTAGATAACAAAAATGAGTTACAGAAAAAAATATAGAGAGAATCCTTTGAGGGTGTGTGTGGGTGTGTGTAAGAGTGCATTCATAAGCACACACATTTTTTGGAAGGATGTACAAAAATCAAACAATGGTTACCTCTGAGGACTATGAATGGAGGGAGAAAGGAAGACAAGTTTTTAGTCTTGACTTTATACCTTTCAGTGCTTTCTGAATTTATTACCTACAGCATGTAACTTTTGTGATAGAAAATTTAACAGAATAAGATAAAATAATTGCCATAGCAAAGAAAGGAAAAGGAAAGATAAGACAAATGCAGAAGGAAGAAAAAGAGAGAAAAAATTATGTAGTAACTTTCAGGTTTTAATATATTTTCAGGATAATTACTAGTGTATATAAAACCTGATTACATTTCTAGCCAAGTTTCTAGTACTATCAACCAGGAGTTCACACAGTTTTAGTCCTGAAAGGGTTTTGCATTAGTTAGTCCAATTACTCTATTCTACAGATGAGCAGACTGGGACTCTGACATCACACTGACAATATCCTCTTTTAGACAGACTCACATTGATGCATGGAAACATCAGCCTCAAAATATACACAGAAAAGCAAGACAAGGGTCCAAAACAGGATGAAGCAGAAGAAACAAAGAGAGATGTCCATTGTTGAGCTACTCTGAGGTGCCAGGCATGATGAACATGTAGGATGCAGCACCTCAGCGAGGTGGAGGCAGGGCCTGGCTGCGGTGACCCAGGCTTACCTTGTAGTGGCTGAGGGCATTTTCAATGGTCAGTTCATGATGAGACATGTGTTCAGGGGACACCAGGCATTCCACACATAGAAGAAGTCTGCTCTCCTCACAGAACCTGCACACCCTCTTCTGGTGGTTGGGGCAGATATAGCCTGTCCCTAGCACCTCCTCAGAACAGGGCTTCCGGCAGAGGGGGCAGCAGAAGACCCCAGAGGCTGAGGCCTTCTCCACATGCTGTGTCAGGCACACTCGACAGAAGAGATGTCCGCAGTTGGTGCTCACGGCCTCCTTCAGGCTCTCCTGGCAGATGGGGCAGACACCCTCCTCCTGGTTGTCCTTCTGCAAAGGGATCATGGCCTTGTTCCTACCCTGTCAGCCTCCTGTCTGCAGGGCCTCCTTCTTCACTGGTCTTCGGAAGGCCTGTTGCCCTCAACAGTCCCAGATAAGAAGGCCCAGTCGGAAGGAGGCAGCCCTGGAGCAGCCTGGGGACAGGACACAGCCTCCAAGTTCAGGCAATTGCCCACTCTCCCTCAAGGGTGCCGTGACATAGACCACACAAACCACAATTCTGCACGAGTTTCAGAAATAGCTCATCAGCTTTGACATGGACCCTGCGGTTTCCTTGTGTTTGTTAAACTTGAAATTATTTTTCATACACCTAGAGGAAGCAAGTGATTCAATAACCAACTCTGTTTTCCTCTTGACAGCTTTCAGTGAATATTTGCACGGGCCCCAAATTAAAAGGGCAAGGTGTCATTGTCATGGCCAAAAGCCAGACCACTATAAACTTACAATTTGAGTCTCCTCTGATTTGCCATCAGTAGAGAGAGTTTGGCAGGAGTTTGGACTGTTTTCTCCTACACTGTCACACCGGGTGGCTCACTGCTGCCCATTATTACCACCAATAATTACAGCAGCATCTCCATCAGCTGGTCATTCTTCCAACCAACATCCCTCCCAGGGTCATATAGATTCCACACTGAAAGAATGAGAAAGAAAACAGGACACAGAACAGACTAGAGACTTGTATAATGTTTGAAGCCACTTTGTTCCTTCCTGTCAAATCACCACCAAAGATGACCCAAAGAAAGAAGTCCCCCGCCACCTGCCACCTCCCTTAGATACTGAGGATTCACTCTTATTCCCTCATGCTGCACCTCTTGCCTAGCCCCACTCCTGAAAAGCTTTCTTAGTATCCTACCTCAATTTCTCCTGCTACAATTTCAGATCATCTTCTCTGGCTCCAGACCTGGAGAGATGGCCAGCAGACGAGTGGTTCTTATATCATGCCAATCATATGTGTTCATATGTCAGTAAATCTCAGGGCAGGGGGTGGAAAGACTCATGCTTTCCTAGAAACACTGAATTACCAGGAAAATTACCTAGGGTAGCTGGAAGGTGAGATGGACTTTGGTGCAGGGCATGGCTTGTTTGCTCAAGGGGAGGAGGAAGGTCTTGGGCCTTTGACGTCGATATGACAGGAAATGAGACTCAACTAAGAATGGACATCCTAGAACCCCAGCTTATGGAACCCCAGGATCCAGGTGTCACAGAATAATGGCACCCACTCAAGATGCTGGAACATCAAATGCCCACCCCATTGTCTAAGTTCCCTCCAGTCAGGCTAGTCTTGGCATTGAGTTTGAGGGAGCCCCTAAGGGGTGCCACTAATAAGGGCTGTCACTTGAAACTTCTAAGGGTCCAAGACGCTTGTTGAAAACCTCATTTCAGAGCCTCCTCCCTCAATCCCACTTTGCCACTGTTTGCTGTGGGCTGTGTGATCTTGTGAGATATATATATAATTAGTCTTGGCACAGAGCTCCTAAAACCCTTGAAAAGATGATCCTTAACTTATGATGGGGTTACGTCCCAGTGAATTCACTGAAGTCAGAAATATTGTAAGGTGAAAGTGTACTCAATACCCCAGTAAACCCATCATAAAGTCAAAAATTTTAAGTTGAATCATCTTAATTCCTGATGCACCTCAACTTACCACATGGTTATGTTCTGATGAGTGTATCTTTTATTATTCATAATAAGCCCTTTTCAACCATACCAGGGTTTATGCTAATGAGGTGACTCTTGGAGGAAGAATGGGGGCTGGTTGGCAGAAGAACCATGTGATTAGAGGGTGGGATCTTTCTTTCTTTCTTTCTTTCTTTTTTTTTTTTTTGAGACAGAGTTTCACTCTTGTTGCCCAAGCTGGAGTGCAACGGCACTATCTCAGCTCACTGCAACCTCTGCCTCCCAGGTTCCAGCGAATCTCCTGCCTCAGCCTCCCGAGTAGCTGGGATTACAGGTGCACACCACCATGCCCAGCTAATATTTTGTATTTTTAGTAGAGACGGGGTTTCACCATGTTGGCCAGGCTGGTCTCGAACTCCTGACCTCAGGTTACCTGCCTGCCTTGGCCTCCCAAAATGCTGGGATTACAGGCGTGAACCACCACGCCTGGCTGGTTGGAACTTTCAGTCTCACCTCTGACCTCTGGGGAGGGGAGAGGAGCCCAGGGACTGAGTTAATCACCAACAGCCAGTGATTTGATCAATCATACCTAAATAATGGAACCTCTGTAAGATCCTGAACAAAGAGGTTTGGAGAGATTCCAGGTTGGTGAGTGCATCCACATGCTGGGAGGGTGGCACATCCCACACTCCACCGGGGACAGAAGCTCCTGTGCTCAGGATCCTCCCAGAACTTGCCCTTCATCTGGCTGTGAAATTACCATGATCCTGGTGATTTCAAAGACTACGTACATGATCATTTAACACCAAGGCCTTTCAGTTCTTGTCCTGCTCACATCCAATGACCTTTGCTTTTGCCACCCACCCTAGTGGCCACTCTCTTGACCTTGTCAGGATTCAGATTTCACCACCTGAAATTATAAATGTAGGCATTGTACTCACTTATAGTTCTCTTCCTAAGGCATTTCCGACAATGTCTGTTTTTTAACCTTCAATCCTTGACCCCTCCACAATCTACGTTCCTGTCGTATCTCATGAAATAGTATAAGAAACAAAAATGTGGACAGATTAAGTAACCTGCCCAAGGCCACAGTGGTGTAAACATAGAGCTGGGATTCAGATCTGGGTGTCTCTTATCGCAGCCCATGGGCTTCATTACCATAAAATGTCATCTCTCTATATATACCTTTTTTTGCTCTTAGAAAGGATTCAGTAAAAGCTTGATAAATGGATGGATTAATGGACAGATGGACAGATAGATTGATAATTAGATGTATGGATAGACAGATGAAGAAACAGCACTTTGTACCAACTTATAGTACTGACTATATAGTAACTTCTACTAGTTACTTAGGTACTTTTCTTGATTTTCCTACTGGTTTATTGAGCAACTTGAAGGCAGAAATCCACTGTATTTAACTAGCAGTAGCTTGAGAATGTTTCAAATGTAGAAACCATAAAAGGAAAGAAAGATAAATTCAGCCACATTAAAAAAGACCTGCATGGGGGAAAAAAAACCGTAAGTGCAATGTCAAGAGACAAATGACGAAATACCATTGGAAGAAGAAAAATATTTACAACTGCCATCAAAATCAAAGGGCTAATTACCTTTTATATACAGCTCTTGCAAATAAGAATTTATCAACTACCAAGAAGAAAATTGGGCAGAGGTATCTCAGCAGACATTTCATAGAAAAAGAAATACCAAATGTCTCTAAAGCATATTAAAAGATAATCTCAATCTCATGAAGAAAATACAAATTAAAATAACACTGACATACTATTTTTCCTATCAGATTGACAGAAATCCAAACATTTGGTAACACAGTGTTGGTAAGTGTGTGAGGAAATTGGCACTCCCATACACTGCTGATGGGAATGCCAATTAGTACTCCTCCTTTAGAGGAGTAGGAATTTGAGAATTTCCTCCAAGATTACAAATGTACATTCTCTTTGAGCCAGCAACTCTGATGTTAGAAATTTTACATATATATTCATGCATATGTGAAATAATATATGCATATACCTATTGCATCAATGTTTTAGAAACATTTGCTTCAAATTTTAGAAAAAAAACAAATGTTCATCAACGGAAGTTAAGCTAAATAAACTAGCTACATTCATACAATAGAACATTGTGCAGCCATTAGTAGGGGGTGGGGTGTGGAAGGGAACTTTTGCTATTGGAATAATCTCCAACATAAATTGATACATTAAAAAAAAAAAAGCTTGGCCAGGCATGGTGGCTCACGCCTGTAATCCCAACACTTTGGGAGGCCGAGACAGGTGGATCACGAGGTCAGGAGATCGAGACCATCCTGGCTAACATGGTGAAACCCTGTCTCATTAGCCGGGCATGGTGGCGGGTGCCTGTAGTCCCAGCTACTCGGGAGGCTGAAGTAGGAGAATGGCGTGAACCCGGGAGGTGGAGCTTGCAGTGAGCCGAGATTGCGCCACTGTACTCCAGCCTGGATGACAGAGCCAGACTCTGTCTCGAAAAAAAAAAAAAAAAAAAGCTTAATGGTGCCCATCTCACATCAGACAGGAACAAAGCAACCCCCTGTTTATCCCAGCTTGGCTTCTGGTCTATGCCCATGCCTGGTTTATGCTTTGGACACATAGATTACTGATTTAAAAAAATAAAAATAAATTAAATTTAAAAGCAAGGTACAGAACAGTGTGTATAATATGCTATTATTTGCACAAATCGGGGAAGAATAAATACATTCTTATTTGCTTTTTATGCAAAGAACATCTCTGGAAGAATATATCAATGAACTAGTAAAATTTGCTTCTGGAGAGAGAAACTAGATGTGTGGAAACCAGGGGCAAGAGGGAGACTTTTTCCTGTGTTTTTAAAATTTTGAGCCAGCAAATGTGCCATCTATCTAAACAATTACCTAAATTTTAAAATGTTTAAGAAGAGGATGGTCAGAATGAAAGGAATTCTGGACTAGTCAAAGAATCTGGATTATGGTCCTAATCGTGGAGATTTGTAGCTTCATGTTCAGGGGCAGCCACAACTTCAGCCTCCTTTACAAGAAAGTGGACAAAATGTCATAGCTGGAAATGGATGTGCTTCATAAACTACAAACTAATGCGCAACTGTCAGGGTCCTTATTTCCCTGAGTCAGCCTATTCGGCATAGCTCCTTGAATATATTAGATGCTCAGTAACTGTTTTAAAGGAGTGATCTTATCTAATTTCTCCTGCTTTAAAAATACTGGAGCCAAGAGTCAGGTGATTTTTGTCTTTTCCCTCTCCTTTATGACTCTTAATTGCCTCTGTTTTGACATTTCCCAGCAGGGAAGACCTAACTCCTACCTCTTTCACACAGCTGCTCCAAACCCTTCACATCAGTGGAAGCCCAGCTCAAGTCCCAGTTTCCTGAATGAAACTTTCCTAACAAGTCAGTCTTCATTCTGATGAATGGGGGCTGAGACCTAGCCCAGAGGTTGCTTGCCAAGCTGTGGGCTCTGGCTCAGGGCAGCAATGGCCCCAAGAAAGTGAACTGATCCATCCTAATTTTCACAAAGGTGTCAGAGGGGCCTGCAGGTTCTACATGGATCTCTCTTTCCTAAATCACCGTCTCATTTATTACCATTTGATTTTTGCCAACTTCCCTGGCTTTGGCTCACATTTAGCTTCATGAGGGATAGGACTATGTCTTTCTGTCTTTCCATACTCTCCTATGCCTATCCCAGGGCTGGGCACCCTAAACCACTCTCTAAGGGTCTCCAACTAAGTCCTAAACTCAAATCCCAGCGGTATTTTCTCAGTTCACATCCAAACTGATGACTCAAACTTTAGATCATCAGCAGTCCCCTCCTTAAAATTCTCCTCTCCACTGGCTCCTGGGTTCCCTCTCACTTATTTGATCATCCATAAAAGGAGATCTACTCTATCTTAGTGCAGCGAGGTGGAGCTACGTGGACTTCACAGGCGGAGTGTCCGGATTCAGATTCCCATTCTACCGATGCACAGTTGTTAGCACTATGCAGATCCTGTAACCTCCCTGAGGCCCGATGCCAGCTTGGTATTACTATCCCTATTGAGTTTAAACTTCTGTGCATTCTTAAGTGTTCCATCACCACCTCAAGTTCAATGTACCTTCGAATTATTCTTGCCTGGATTATCTGCCACCCTCCCCAGAACAGGCAATGAACAGGGTCATTCAGCTGTTTTCGGCAGCTGTCTCTTGATGGACAGTAGGTGGCGCTGTCTTTCAAGACAGGACACCATTTCGCTTCACCTCCGGAAGGTGGAGCATTGTTGCCAAGACTCTAGGGCACTGGCAACCGTCTTTTAAACGGTGGCTTAAAAACTGATAGCATAATTCCTCAGGGCAAGAAACATCTGGCTGTGGAAAGCTAGCCGTGAAATATGTAGACTGAAGATGGAAGGAAAGAGAAGGGAAGGGGAGCATAAAACTGTGTAAGAGGAAGAGGGGTGGCCCAGGAGAGAGACAGAGCCTGCAGGGCTGCAGAAGGCAGGTAACCAACAAGGAAAGTTTACCAGTGAGAAATGTCTTGGGCAGAAATAGTGAAGGAATGTTTAAGAACGGAAATGCCTAATACTGAAACTTAAGTTGTCTGCCCTGAGATTGTGTCCTCTGCTGAAACCTGTCCTTTAGACCAGCACTCAATACTTTTTATCCCTAGACTTCCAGGAATCAAGCAGTCAATCTGTCATGCACAGTGACCTGAATAAGAGGAAATTTAGAGAAATCTCAGGAAAGTTGCTATGCTCTATGTTTGATGAGGCAGTTCTCAGAAAAACAGGGTTGGGGAGGAGCAGGGGTTCAAGATCTCAGATTTAGGAGGCATGGGGGACTCAGCAGAGCCCTTGGGAGCTGCTGGTGAAAGAAATGAGTTATTGGTAGAAACCTCTGAATTCCACCCAGTCGCGTGGAGGAAACAACCTCCAATACAGCATGACCTCACTTATACTCAGAGTGTAAAAAAGTTAACTGGTAGAAGCAGACAGTATTAATACAATGGTGGTTACCAAAGTCTGGGCGTGGTGGGCATGGGGATGGGTTGGTCAAAGGATACAAAGTTTCAGTTACTTCAAGGAGGAATACTTCAAGAGATCTGTTGTACCTTCTGGTGATTTGTTAGTAATGGTACACTGTGTTCTTGAAAATTGCTGAGAGAGTAGATTTTAAGTGTTCTCACCACAAAACACGAAAACCAAATAAACAAAACTAAAACAGCCTGAAATGTATTGAGGCTATTAGGCATTCACCAGGTTGTTAAGGAATCCTTATTTCAAGTCCTACAAAACAGCTGCTCTTGAGAAGCACAGCCAGATGGACCAGTGTGGACATTACATATGGCGAGGTTGTAGAAAGCAATGAATCCACCCCCAGTGGAATGCGTATGAGGGGCTGGCTTACAGTAAATACTTAACTGGACACACCTATTTCAACAAAAGGATAGGGTTACACAATCAGCCACTTCCCTATAATAGGGGAATTTATGAGCTTCCAACTCCAAACTGAGGCACAGGGAAGAATCAAAAAGGGTAAGCAAATGCAGAGAGTGATGTTCGGTGACACAGACAGTACGTCAGCCTGAAGTGGGACCCCAGCGGAGAGACTTCAGGGACAAGCCTGTTGCAGTCGTGAAGTGTGCAGAGGAAGCTCTGCCATTAAGTTCATCCCTTGCACTGGTTCTTTCCAAGACCCTGGAATTCCAAGCAATGTGTTCAATATGGTCATGCTAAGTGTTTTGTAAAATTTGCAAAAGTAACATATTTTAACCACGGTTAGGATTACTGTCTCCTTCCACGTCAACTTCCCTCTGTCACAGTTTCTCTTGTATCAGGTAGCATGTGGGGGTTCTAGCTAAGGGGAAATTAAGTTGGGATTACATTGTTTGAGATTACTAGGATATGTGGTTCATAAGCACTTTCATGTATAGTCAAGTTATTGCTACCCGTCTCAGTGTAGAAGTGGCTTACAGGAACCACCACCCACTGAGATAACTCACCTGACATCAGAGACTAAAGTGAAAGGTCAGAGATCTGTCACAATAAGATTGTGTGCTGTGACATGAGGCACCAGAAGTCTGTGGACAGTGAAGCCAATAAATCCTTTTAACCCCTAGATGTAGAAAATTATAAGCGTATTACTCAGTCTCATCAAAGTCTAGTCAAAATGGAAGCTCTCTTCTTTAGGAATATACTTATTAAATATGCATATACAATTATACATACATCATGAAATAAAATGATCTCTTGCATATTTGCACATGAAATTAATAGAAGTTATTCTGACATCAGAAAAGGAATTGAAGAAGAAAAAAAGTTTGGTTCCAGCCAAAACCAGCAATTTATTGAAGGGAAGGGATACATTTTAAATAGAATAGATGCCTAGATTGTTTGACAATCACTTGATGAAGAATTAACCACATAAACACATTAAAACTTAAAAAAATTGTTGTTTTGGCATAAAATATTGACATCTACAAACAGTTTCATACTACACCTTCACAACAAGGACTTAACGAAAAACAGGCCAATGACTTTCAGCAACTTAAAAGAGTATTTAAGATTAGTCACTGCCCAAGAAAACTTGAAATGCCCTGAAATCTCAGGCTTACATAGGAAACTCTTCACAGAGGCTTCTCCAAAATTAATAGCACTAAAAATTTGCATATTATTACCAATAACGATTGTGAAATGGATATTAACTTTTCTAAACTTTCAATAAAAACTTTTTTTGCTTAACTATGCTAGACGAAATACCAAATTATTCATTCTCACCCAGGAAAATACATTACAAAAGTGTTGTCGAATGAAGAGGGAATCAAAAAATATAAATGGGAAAATATAGGGGTGGTTCAAGCAGTTATTAGAATTTTGGGGGGATTTTTTGATGTTTGTGATATGTCAGTTTTTAAACATTTATCATTTGCTGTCATTGTTTTTCCTCATTGTAAGTCATATTTGCTTTTATTCTTAATTTTGTCAAATTCTGTATCCTTTTTCTTTTCTTTCTTTCCTTTTTTTTTTAATTTTTTTATTTTGAGACGGAGTGTTGCTCTGTCGCCAGACCTGAGTGTAGTGGCAACGATCTTGGCTCACTGCCTCACTGCAACCTCCGCCTCCCTGGTTCAAGAGATTCTCCTGGCTCAGCCGCCCGAGTAGCTGGGATTACAGGCACATGCCACTCACTATGCCCAGCTAATTTTTTGTATTTTTAGTAGAGACGAGGTTTCACCATGTTGGCCAGGATGGTCTCGATCTCCTGACCTCGTGATCCACCCACCTCGGCCACCCAAAGTACCGGGATTACAGGCGTGAGCCACCGTGCCCGGCTGTATCCTTTTTCTTGAAAAGACACAACACTGTGTAAGCTTTCAAGCCCCACAAACCTGGGCCATCTCCCCGCCCCAGGAGAGTTCTCCGGCAATGGGAGTGGCCCAGACAGGCTCCCCAGATAGGGTCGGTTTCCAACAGGAGCCCTAAGGGGAGCTGAACCGGAAAACAAGTCTGTTAGTAGCGCTGGTCCTACGTGTCAGGGCTCAGTGGATAGAGAAGGAACAGGTGAGAAGCAGAGCCCCCGCCCAGTCCCCAGCGGTCCCCTTGGGAGCTCTGCTCGTGACCGTCCCGAGGGGCTGCGGCTCCGGGGCTCGGGTCGTTTTGAGTTCCTATCTTTGCGGCGGCTCTAGAATTCCAGGGGCAAGGCTTGCGCTCTGTCGTTTGCAGAAGACCGTCGCCAACGGACATCTGGGCCCTCTGGTGTTTCCAGCCCCACCTCCTCCCAGCCTTTCTTGTAACTAACCTGATCGAATGTGTGAATTGGGATTTCTTTTAAAAGCCCACCTCAACTGAAATTGGGACAGTGTAATCAGGATTCCGCTCCCCCGCCTTCACCCCAGTCGGTTGCTTTTCAAATACAGCTTTTCTAAAACGCCGCCAGGCACCCGGGCGTGAAGGCGCGCGTCCGGCGTTCCTGGGCGCTCACCCAGTGGTCCGCGCGCCAATCTCCCTAACGTTCCCCAACCGCCGTCCGAGCTGCCCCACTCTTCGCCCGGTCACTGATGCAGAGGCTGTCAGGCCTCTCTGCGCACGAAACCCATCACAGCACCTGGGCCAGCAGCCAGTGCCGGGCTGTCCTCTTCCCACCCCAAGGCGGTCCTCTTGAGTCTTCACACCGCCTCCTTCGGATCCCTCCCCATCCTGAGGACTTCAGGTTGCCGGCTCCTCACTTGGGTCCTGCGCACCTCGGGCTTCTCACAGAGTAGCCGTCTCCATTCTACGGATAGGGAAACAGAGGACCAGAGCCCCGAAAGTCGTACGCCCCAAAGCCCCTGAGAGTGGTCTCCAAATGCTAGTGCTGTGGCTCTGGAAAGATTCATTTTATTTCTTGCAACAAAGGCAGCCTCAGAGAACTGGCCTCCGAGCCTTTTCCGTGCAGAACCCCAATCTTTCAAGACACCACAGACCAATTCAGTTGGCAAAAGCCCTAAGAACAGTACACCCCAAACCAATGGAATAAAAAAGTTTTGTTTAGTTGAGACTGCAGAACTCTTAGCTGGCTTACAGATTTCTAAGGCAGCATTTGGCACCTCTGTTTGCTGTTTGGCTCCTCTTTCAGCCTCTAGAGCTGACTGCAGCTCCAATCTCCTTGTCACATCCTGGTCTGCAAACTGAGACCTCACAGGGGCCTTTACACCGTAGGGCAACTCCTTATGCCGTTGTCACACTGAAGCTAGAATTCTCAAAGCTGGAGCACTTAGGTGTCTGCATTTTAGAGGTCCCAGCCTGAATATATGCACAAGCAGGGTTTTTGTTTCTGAGCTCAGTGAAGAGGACTGCTGTGACTCCAGCTCTTCTGAAATATTAGATGTGTAAAATGCAAGATTCTCTTCCAGCCTTGACTGGAGGTGATGCGGCAATGTGTGTACGCAAGAAAAGTCCATGCAGACTTTATACAGACTTTACTACTACAGACAAGAGAATCTTTCTGAAAGCTAAGGCCCAGAGAAGAGCAAACTACTGAAAAACTAAGGCCTGCATCAGAAGGGCTTCTGCTTCCATTAATGGACTGAGTAATTCAGACCAAGCCTCCATTTGAAGACAACTAAAAATGCTGGGTAAAATATTTTTAAGTATCTTACTTAAATATTCAAAGGTTAGTGAGGAATTGCTGGGCCAAAATTTGGGAAAGGAAAGGAACATGGAGGTGAGCCTGCAACTGGGGTCGCTTCTGTTCTGGGAGCATTTGCTGAAGAGAGTTTAAGAATCCAAGCTGCATTTTTGGCAGCCTTTAAAGGCTTAAAGGGAGTAGAAATGGTGTCCCAGCCCAGAGAATCTCAAGTAACCATTGAACTTGTTCAAAGTGACTCTAAACTGCTAGTGTCAAAAACAATCATTCTGGGAAGAAGATAATAGCATCCTAGGCCTCAAATGCATCTAGCAAACAAGCAAAAATAATCAAGCCCCAGAGAGGCGAGATTGCCACAAGAAAAGCAGAAACAGGCCAGGTGCAGTGGCTCATGCTTGCCATACCAGCACTTTGGGAGGCTGAGGCTGGGGAATTACTTGAGCTCAAGAGTTCAAGACCAGCCTGCACAACATGGTGAAACTCCGTTTCTACAAAAAATGCAAAAGTCAGTTGGGTGTGGTGGTGCACACCTGTAGTCCCAGCTACTAGGGTGGCTGAAGTGGATGGACGGCTTGCGCTTGGGAAGCAGAGGTTGCAAAGAGCTGAGATCATGCCACTGTACTCCAGCCTGGGCCGTAGAGCCAGACCTTGTCTCAAAAAGAAAAGAAAAGAAAAAAAAACAAAAATAAAAACAGACAACAGAATCAGACCCATGGGGCTTCCAGACTCTGGGGTTATTGGGCATAGACTATATAACAATGTATATGCTATCTTCAAAAGGATAAAAGCTATGTGTGAAACATTTGGCAGAGAGCTAGAAATTATAGCAAGTGACGTAGCAGATTTTTTTTGGGGAAAAGGAAATCTAGATTGAGACAGTGATGGGCACTAGAATTATAAAGTCATGGAAACTCAAGTATGGTGGCTGTGTTGGTCAATCTGTGAGCTTAGAAAGAATTAAACGTGAGCGGCTATGTGACCACAGAGAGAAATGGAGAGAATAGCTTCCTATTTTTCAGTTGAGTTTTTTGCTACTACAAAATTATATAACCAAAAATAGATGATTTTAACTATGTAACTTAAAGGGTTATACATACACTTGGCTCAAAAAATAATATATTAAAAGGTATAGATTAAGTAGGACTGTGACCACCTTGCCCTTCTTCATTCATTCCACCTACCACTACCCCCGTCCCTGGCCCACCGGTACACACTTTTATTAGTTTTCTGCGTATCCTTTCAATGTTTCTTTATGTAAATAGAAGTTAAATACAACTATATATATTGGTATTTCTCCCCTTTATTAAGCAAAGTTTTGCATACTAAACACTGTTCTGTCACTTAACAATGTTGCCTAAAGATTGTTGTCATTGGAATATAGAGAGCCTGTATAAAATGGCTGTTCAGTATGGCAACTGAAAAATTAGCTGTTTTGTGCCAGGTACCATGGTAAGTGCTGAGGATGTCAAGATGAAAAACTATGGCCATGGGTAAGAGCTTTTACCATTTTTTAAATTTGGAAAATTAAATTTAAAATTTTTTCCATTTTCCATTTTTCCCTTTTCCATTTTTTAAATTTGGAAAATTTTTCTAGAATTTGGCTTTGGGAGGGATTAGACTGCTACCCCTGGGTACCGCATCCCACTGCTTCCCGTCCTTCTGTAATGTGGACTCACTGGCATGGTTGGCCTGCGTTAGCTGGCTTTGTGCATTGGAGCAGCTGGATGCCAGCCCAGAAGTTTCTGACAGCCTGGGCCCAGCAGTTCTGTGCCCACTCTGGGCCAGAGCACACAGCTGTCTTGCAGGAGAGAAGGGAGTATCAGCCTTTTACTCCACAGACTCAGCAGAGGCTTGATTTCAGATGTGAGCTGACCTTGAGACAGGCCCAGTCTGACTCAGGGATCAACTTTAAGGTTCTGTCAGGTCTCTGTGGAGCTAATAAATGGAGTAGGGGACCATGGGGGCAAAGGGTAGGTCAGACAAACGGAAGGAGAGGCATCCTCATTTGGAACAAAAGCTGTCTGTTTTTAAAGCCCCCGTAAATGGTTCAATATTTTAAAAGTTTTTTATTTTTTAAAAAGCAATGTTTAAAAACACTCGGGTTAAAAACATTGACTAGGATATTTTACATAAATTAAATAGTGGAAGATTTGAATAAATGTTCTGTATAACTAAAATAGAGTTTCTTTTCTGAAGAGAACTTTGGACTTTCACCTATACCTGACACCTGGGCCATTGTTCTCTGATTAAAGGTGCAATTTTTATCTATAGGAAAGTCATAATTCAAGATCAAAAAAGGAGCCCTTTTACGATGTTTTAACAATACCCCACCCTTGTTCCCCCGCCCTCCACCACCCATCTACTCCCCAGGAATATCTTTTTTTTTCTTTTTTTTTTTTTTTGGTGAGGAGTCTCACTCTGTCACCAGGCTGGAGTGCAGTGGTGCAATCTCGGCTCACTGCAACCTCTGCCTCCCAGGTTCAAGTGATTCTCCTGCCTCAGCTTCCCGAGTAACTGGGACTACAGGCATGCGCCACCACATCCAGCTAATTTTTGTATTTTAGTAGAGACAAGGTTTCACCATGTTGGCCAGGCTGGTCTTGAACCCCCTGACCTCAGGTGATCCACCCGCCTTGGCCTCCCAAAGTGCTGGGATTACAGGCATAAGCCACCACACCTGGCCCCCAGGAATATCCTATATTAAATACAGGAGTTGATAGGCAGGCTTATCTCTCATTCCCACCCACATCCATCCCTCCTCCCCACCCTCTGATTAGCTGGAAAAATTTGGAAAGATGGAAAAGAGATTATTCCAGCACAGGGGAAGGAAGATCACTTGTCACATTGTCAGGAAAAACATACGATGCTCAGTTAAACTTGAATTTCAGATGTACAACAAGTAGTTTTTTAGTATGTCTCAAATATTGCATTATTCATTGTTTATCTGACGTTCATATTTAACTGGGTGTCCTGTACTTTTATTTGCTAAATCTGACAACCCTGTTTGGCAAATCTGGGTCACAGGGTATCAGGCCAACTGGAAAAGACAGTTAAGGAATGAAAGATAAGTTTAGATGAAAGGGAAGAGGCCAATGGAGGACGAGTTGGACTTTATTCTGTAGAAAATGGGGAACAACTGAAGGTGTCAGTTTTTTTTTTTAAGTAACATTTATTGTGGGATTTTTTTAATTGTAAAAGCAAATATGTTAATTGTGCTGCATTTGGAAAGCACAGAAAAGTATAAAAGAATATAATTACCCATAATTTCACCAACCAGCAGTAACAACTATTGGCACCTTACTGTTAACTGCCTGCAAGTTGATGCCAGTTTTCACCTTCTCAAGCCTATTTTGACAGCTCTATTGAAAACTGGAACCATATCGACTGCTCTTCATACTCCCTTTCTGCTTTATTTTTTCCTCCATAATATTTATTTCCTCCTTAGAACCTTAATGTGAAAAAAAAAATTTCCTCCTAATGTATGATTCATTTGGTTAGCTGATTTACTGCCTGGCTCTCAGTGGGTGGGGCTTCTGTATACTTTATTCACTGTAATAAAAGTGCCTAGAATTATGCCTGTCACATAGTAATAAGTATCCATTGTAATGAACAAATAAGTTATCCTTCTGGTTTCTTTTCTCTGACTATATATGCTTTTGATTACTTCCTTATGTAACCATAACAGATTTGTTGCCCAACAGGCACAGAAAGTCAGTAAGCTGAAACCTGGTTGCAGCAGAGAAAGAGGTTTAATCGTAGGGCTGCCAAATGAGGACATGGAAGGGAACTTCAAATCCATCTCCCCAAATAATTTGGAGCTAGAGATTTTAAAGATTTTGGAGTTGGCCAAAGTGACTGGCTGAAGAGTGCAGGGTGAAGTCATGGGACAAGGAGATGAAGAAGCTGTATTATCAAGTTGAGAAAACAGTTCCTTTGTGGAGGTCTTAAACTAGTTGTCATCAGCTGTTCTACTAAAATTCAGGATCTGCTTAAGCAATTCTTTAAAAAAATTTTTTTAATTAATAATTTTTTTTGTAGAGATGGGATCTTGCTTTGTTGCCCAGGCTGGTCTCGAACTCCTGGCTTCAAGCAATCCTCCTGCCTTGGCTGATTCTTATGTCAGAAATCCTACCTAGAGCAACAATGGGGATATGACTGGTCAGTGTCTAGTGTTACATGACTTTTGGTTTCAAGGAAGTGAGTCAAAGTGCAGTCTGATTAAGGCTTAATTATAATTATATTTCTGTCCAGAATTATTGTTAACCCTGTGAGGATGGCTTCACTTAGGGAAAACTTTTAGACATGAAACTACTGGGCCAAACGGTCTTAGGTGCATTTTAAAATAATTTTGGTGTATATTGCCCACACACAGTCCAGAGGGGCTAAACTGGCTCACATTGCAGCTGCAGGATTGTGGAGTGCCTGCACTGAAGTTTGCAATAGAGAGAAGAGGAGATGAGCACTGCTCCATCCAGTAGGAGGTGTAAGGGTTGGGAGATCCCTTGCGAAGAGCTGGAAACTCAGAACTGGGGTTGTGGGGATGGAAGGTGGGCTCTGCGGTGATATGGGAGTTCATCTGTGTATTCTTTTGCCAGGACCTCCGTAACAAAGTACCACAGGCTGGGTGGCTCTAGCAACAGCAATTTATTTTCTCAAAGTTCTGGAGGCTGAAAGTCCAAGATCAAGGTTGTTGCCTGTGAGGCCGCTCTCCTTGGCTTACAGATGGCCGTCTACTCAGTGAGTCCTCACAAGGTCTTTCCTCATGTGGAGCATCCCTGGTGCCCTTCTGTGTGTCCAAATCTCGTCTTCTTATGAAGACACCAGTCAGATTAGACAAAGGTCCGCTCTGATGGGCTTATTTTACCTCTGAGGACTAAACTCTGACCTTTTTCCTTCTCTTGCCCAAATTTCTACCTAAGGGGCCTGGGGAGTCATGCCCTACAAACCGTAAAGTCTCATCAGAGGGGTTTTATTTAACCCTAATGTGGCCTACTTTCCAAACTGGCTCTGGCATAACATTACATAACAAATAAGGAAAGAAATCAAAATATTTTAACCCCAAATGTATTTCCTTGCCATATCTTGAAATTGCCCTGCAAAGTTGTCTCTTGTGGGGGAAAAATCTACATTCTATAGAGAATCCCCTTTTCCCTTTTTTTCAGGTCCAGGAGATAATCAAGAGTCTGGCACCCTTTTTGAGTCTAATAAAAAACATTTATAATCTATTCTCTCTGAAGCCTGCTACCTGAAGGCTTCCTCTGCACATTAAGAACTTTGTGCCGGGTGCGGTGGCTCACGCCTGTAATCCCAGCACTTTGGGAGGCCGAGGCAGACAGATCACCTGAGGTCGGGAGTTCGAGACCAGCCTGACCAACATGGAGAAATCCCATCTCTACTAAAAATACAAAAAATTAGCCAGGCGAGGTGGTGCATGCCTTAATGCCAGCTACTTGGGAGGCTGAGGCAGGAGAATGGCTGGAACCTGGGAGGCGGAGGTTGCAGTGAGTCGAGATCATGCCATTGCACTGCAGTCTGGGTGACAGAGTGAGACCTTGTCTCAAAAAAAAAAAAAAAAAAAAAGGAACTTTTCTCTTTTCTCTCCACAGTTCTTTATCTCAACCCAGACATTTCCTTTCCATTGATCCCAGGTCTTCAGATAAACTCAACCAACTGTCAACCAGAAAATGTTTAAATCTACTTATAACCTGGAAGCTCCCTACTTTGAGTCATCCTGCCTTTCTGAACCTAACCCATGTACATCTTAAATGTACTTGATTGAAGTATCATGTCTCCCAAAAATGTATGTATGAAACCAGGCTGTGCCCTAACCACCTCAGGCACATGTTCTCAGGATCTCCTGAGGGCTGTGTCATGGGCCATGGCCACCCATATTTGGCTCAAAATACATCTCTTTGAATATTTTATAGAGTTTGACTCTTTGTCGACAATTTAATCAACTTTCAAAGGCCCTATTTCCAAATATAGTCACATTTTGAGGTTCTTGGAGTTAGGGCTTCATCATACAAGTTTGGAGCAGTGGGTGAGAGGGACACAATTCAGCCCGCGGAAATCTGCATAGAAGTGTTGAGACCATGGGAGAGACAGACATCCACCACAAACCTCCCCGCATCTGGAAGGCAGCACTCTGTACTCCTGAGTCTCTCAGGGCCAACCAGATCCTCCTCATGCCTCCTGAAATGAGATTTCAAAACTGCTTGCCATCCAAGTGACCTCCTCTCAAGGCAGTCCAGTTTGCGGTTACCTTTATTAAAATGCGCTTCCCAGAGTGAGTTACCAAGAGCTCTGTGTTAGGCTCTGGACACGGTACTTCTGTGGTACAAGAATATTACATAGTCTGATGTGTTCTGATGGGGGCATTTAGATCCTCAAACCCAAGCATATTTTTATTTCTTCTTGCCACTTTTCTCTCAACCACTTTTCTCTGATGTCATTTATTGTAGAAGCAGCATAACCATAGCAAATAACTGGGTAGCGCGGCCTAGCCAAGTTGACATATAAAATTAACCATTCCACCGGCCAATCCAATAATTTAAATAATCTGGATAACTGAGTCAAGTGAAGGCCAGGCCTTTTCAGCTTCTTCCCCCTGCCCTTGCTCCTAAGTTGGAGTCGCGGTGTTAGGAGACTGCAGTTTCTCCTGGCAGAGGGAGAGGAGTGAGACCACCATGAGGTTCTCCCATCTGCACAGGCACAGCAGCCCTTAAACTATCTCTGGATTTATGCTTCTATGTTTTAATGGGTTTCTCTAAGGAAGAAAGGGAGCTTTACATTTTGTTGGGGTTTTTAATCTCATGACTGATCCTTTGGTTGAGCAATTCAGCCCAATGTTATATTGACTGCTATATATAAACTGAACTTTGTTGCTCCATTTATTTTGATGGCCCTCCTATTTTTTTTTCTTTCTGTTTGCATGTATATATCTCTATAGAAAACTTTAAACTCATTTTTAATGGGATGATATACATGCAAACAGAAAGCAAACATTTTAATCATTCTGGTATTTTAAACAGAACTTTTTTATGGCTAAGTGCTGTGACTCATGCCTGTAATCCCAGCACTTTGGGAGGCCAAGGCGGGCTGATCACTGGAGGTCAGGAGTTCAACACCAGCCTGATCAACATGGTGAAACCCTGTCTCTACTAAAAATACAAGAATCAGCCAGGCATGGTGGCACAGCCCTGTAATCCCAGCTACTTGGGAGGCTGAGGCAGGAGAATCGCTTGAACCTGGGAGGCGGAGGTTGCAGTGAGCTGAGATTGCACCATTGCACCCCAGCCTGGGCAACCAAAGCAAAACTCTGTCTCGAAAAGAAAAGAAAAGAAAAAGAAAAAGAAAAAGAAAGAAAGAAAGAAAGAAAGAAAGGAAGGAAGAAAGAAAGGAAGGAAGGAAGGAAGGAAGGAAGGAGGAAAGAAAGAGAGAAAGAAAGAAAGAAAGAAAAAAAGAAAGAAAGGAAGAAAACCCTGTTTTTACTACCTCCTGTTTCTAATTTCTATTTTTAACTAAATAAAATCTAGCTCTCTTGTTGGGAGACTGGTTATAGGGTATCTCTGTGTAAGCTGTCCCTTGACTTCATTTCGACCCCACCGTCCCTGACTTATCTTGAAGCCTAAAAACCCTTTTGAAATCCTGTGTGCATTTTACTTTTCTTATAATATTCTTTGTAGTCACCGTTCAAATGCATTTTAAGTCATTTGCCTTGAGGCTTTTGAAAAAGATAGTGCCCATTCACACTGAAACCAGCCACATATGAAGAGTCCCATTTTTCCACATCCTCATCAGCTCTGGACATTTTTGAAAAATTTTGCCAATCTGATGAGTACAAAGTTTATCTCATTTTTGTATTTGTATCGCATTATTTGTATTTTCCTGAGTAGTAGGAAAGGAGTTGAACTTTTTCTTAATTTTAGAATTTATTTTAGAATTCCTCTGAATTTCTATTTTTATTTCTATCCATTGTTCATTTTCAACATTTTTCCTATTTTAACTAAAATATTTTACTTTGGAAAAACTTAATATAGAAAATAATAGAAAATCATATAACAAGCACCTTATAACCACAACCTAGAATTAACAAATACAAACATTTTGCTATGTTTGCCTCAGATTTTTAAAAATTAAATATTACAGATTTAATTTTTTAAATTTTAATCTCAAAAAAATTTGAGAATCCCTCTGTCCATTTAGTTCTCTTCTTAGTTCCATTCCTCTCTCGCTCTTTCTCTCTCTCCTCCCGGAAGCAAACACTGCCATAAATTTAGTATGTATCCTTTCAGGCCTTGTGTTTAAACTTCTATCACATATATGGAAACTGCAAACTATATGAAGTGTTGTGTGTTTCTAAGTGTATATAAATCACCACATACTCATTACTGTTTTGAGACCTAGCCATATGACTACATACAGATCACTGGTTTTCCATCAGAGGTTTTGTCCCCCAGGGACATTTGGTCATGCTTGGAGACATTTTTGTTTGTCACAACTGGGGGATAGGAGTGCTACTGGAATCTAGTGGTAGAGGCCAGGGATGCTGGTAAACATCCTACAGTGCACAGGGCCACCACACACCAAAGAATTATCCAGCCTAAAATGTCAACAGTGCTATCATTGAAAAACCCTGACATAGGATTTATTTATTTATTTATTTATTTTTTTGAGACGGAGCCTCACCCTGTCGCCCAGGCTGGAGGGCAGTGGCGCGATCTCGGCTCACTGGAAGCTCCGCCTCCCAGGTTCCCGCCATTCTCCTGCCTCAGCCTCCCGAGTAGCTGGGACTACAGGCGCCGGCCACCATGCCTGGCTAATTTTTTGTATTTTTAGTGGAGACAGGGTTTCACCGGGTTAGCCAGGATGGTCTTGATCTCCTGACCTCGTGATCCGCCCGCCTCAGCCTCCCAAAGTGCTGGGATTACAGGCGGGAGCCACCGCACCCAGCCAATATTAATACTGTTACATGCATCTCTGAGTGCACATGTGCAAGGTTTTCTCTAGAGAGGCAGAATCATACAGGGTGTAAGAAGGCTCTAGAGGCTACCTGGGTTCAAGTCCCCATTCCACTATTTACTTACTGAATGACCTTTGGGGCAAATTGCTTAATCTCTCTTGATCTCCGTTGACTTGTCCTCAAAATGGGAATAATAATACTTCTCTATATAAATGAGTTAATACGCAAAATGCTTGGGACTGTGCCTGGCACATGGTAAGCATTCAAGAAATGTTAGCTTTTATTTACTGGTAGCAGTATTTTCATCATCATCATTATCATTACAGAACCTTGAAATGAAAGTACACCGTTTAAATTCTACTAAATATTTTTAAATTATTGTAATTTATACTCTCACCAGTAGGGTATAGGAGTACCTATTTCTCCATGTCCTTGGCTATATTTGATATTCCAGACTTAAACTTAAGATATAAACTGATATCTTCTTTTATTTTAATTGGCATTTTCTTTTTTCTTTTTCTTTCTTTCTTTCTTTTTTTTTTTTTTTTAAGGAAACGTCTTGCTCTGTTACCCAAGCTGGAGTGCAGTAGGGCGGCTAAAGTGCAGTGGCATGATCACGGCTCACTGCAGCCTCGATCTCGCAGGTTCATGCAATCCTCCTGCATCAGCCTTCCAAGAAGCTGGGACTATAGGTGTGTGCCACCATGCCCAGCTAACTTTTGTATTTTTTGTAGAGACAGGGTTTCACCATGTTGTCCAGGCTGCTCTTGAACTCCTATGCTCAAGAAATCTGCCTGCCTTGGCCTCACAAAGTGCTGGAATTACAGGCATGAGCCAATGAGTTGAGCGTGCATTTTCAAGATTACTGTTTTCAAGTATTTATTGGTTAATTGGTTTTATTGCTCTGCAAATGTCCATTTCATTCTCTGTCCATTTTTTGATTTACTATTTAATGTTGTAAAACATAATGTAAAAAGTACTAAAAAAGAAAAAAACTTAATGTATTTATACAATTAAAAATTCACAAAATGTAATATGTCATACAAAGAAAAGCCTCTCTTCCACCCCTGTTCCCTGGCTAGTCAGTCCCTCTCCTTAGAGACAACCATTGTTAGTTATTAAATTCTTATCCTTCCAGAAAGAACTTATTTGGATATTCAAGAAAATAAGTATTTTTTTTCTACCCAAATGGTAGCATAGTACATGCATTTTTCTGCATTATTTGTTTTTTCCTTTCTTCACATAACAACATATCTTGGCCATATTTTCCATATGTAAATAAGGAACTCCCTGATTCTTTTTTATTTCTATTCTGTTATAAAGCTGGGCTATAATTTATTTAAACATTTCCATACTGATGTACATTTAGATTGTTTTCTAATATTTTGCTAATGCAAACATTACCACAAAGTCCAAAATAAATTTATATGTGTGAGTATATCTGTAGACTAAATTCCCAGAGGTGGAATTTCTGGGATAAAGGGAATGAGCATTTGTAGTTTTGAAACATATCACATTATTTTCCTCCATAGACATTCTACCAATTCACATAGGCCCGGAAATGTGAATCCTGAGGCAGGGGAAGCTTCTGTAGCTGGAATCGTGATGCAGGGAGGCTTATGTAACATTGTGGGGCTGTCTAGTCTGACAACTGAGCTGCCTCTAGCCTTCACTGGCCTCTGATAAGGTGTCTCATCCCATTAGTCTTGGCAGGTCCCCTCCAGATCTGTGCACTCGCTGCTGCATGGCTCTGTGTCTGCTTTCTTGTGTGTGACAGCTGTCTCATGTGCATGAGGCTCTGCATCATTTCCTGTTCTATGGCTAATTTTTATAAACTCTATGCCTCAGAATTGGCTTGGAAGTCCTTTGGAACTAACACAATACCAACTATCTCAAGACCCTAGCCCTTGCAAATTGGAGGCATTTGGTTTCAGACTACTGAGCCTACTAAGAGTTTAAGATATCCATTCAAGGGCTGGGCACAGTGGCTCACGCCTGTAATCCCAGCACTTTGGGAGGCTGAGGCAGGTGGGTCATCTGAGGTCAGGAGTTCAAGACCAGCCTGGCCAACGTGGTGAAACCCCGTCTCTATTAAAAATACAAAAAATTAGCTGGATGTGGTGGCAGGTGCCTGTAATCCCAGCTACTTGGGAGGCTGAGGCAGGAGAATCACTTGAACCGGGGATTCAGAGGTTGTAGTGAACCGAGATCACGCCATTGCACTCCAGTCTGGGCAATAATAGTGAAACTCTGTCTCAAAAAAAAAAAAAAAGAAAGAAGAAAGAAAAAAAATATATGTATATATATATCTCCATTCAGTCCAGTGGATGGATGACCCAGGATAACAATAATAATTCTGAGAGAGTAAAGCACCTTTGAAACACTGTAGATTCTCATTTTTTATGTCTAAATTTCCTTCCTCATGAAGCCATCAGTACCTGTTTGGTGACAGTTCTTTGAAACTCTCCAGTGGTGTTCATATGAGTATTTTCATTCTCTCTGCTGGGTTGCCCAGCTTCATTGAAATACCAATGTTCTTTTAAAATATTTGTTTATCATTTTTAAAGATTACTATTTGTTTTCATTAATGCTGAAACAAGAAAGAATAAAGAAGACTTAATGTGGAATAGGAAACCTGGAATTAAGTCTGAGATCTGTCATTTATTAGCTGGATGAGCTGGAACAATTAGTAGTGTCTCTAAACCAGGGGTTATCAATGTGTGAGCCTCCATCAGGAGCATCGACTTCTCCAGAGAATTTGCTTAAGATGTCAATCATCAGGCTCCACCAAGGACCTGTTGAAAGAGAAAGTCTCTACTGGAGTTCAGCAAATCTGAATTTTAACAAGTTTTCCAAGTGATTCTGAAGAATACTGAGTTCCTTTTTTGAGAAAGGATAAAGATAATTTCTTACAGGTGAGACTTAAATGAGGTAATATAAGCAAAATAAATCTATAAATCAGAGTCATAATGTCAAATGCCTTCAAGGGCCAAGGAGACGTGAGGTAGCAGAGCGGTGGGGAACATAGCCACCCTCTCTAAAGGCATCTACATTATCATTATTTTCTAAATCATCATGCCAGTCAAACAAAACCTGTCAAAAGTTAAATTCTGCTTCTAGGGGCCAGCAGTTTAGGAGTGTAAGTAAAACAATTTACAGATGTTAGACTGTTTTAATTTAACCCTAAAACAAACAAAAAGAAAGGTCTGGAGGTATAACATTTCTGAAAGTCTTTGGTTTACAGCAGTTGCTATAAGGGGAGCCACATAATTTATAGTCCAAACTGGACATTTCTGAAAGTGAAAGGAGGTGCTATTAATAATTACACCAGGACAAAGTGAAACCCAGGATGGTTCCAGGCAAAGCAGAGTGTATGATCACTCTGGCTATTATTATAATAATCATCCACAAGCCCTGTTTGACCTAAGATTAAGATCAGACAAAAATTAATGGTGTACTTCTTGCTGGGGACAGACGGCTGATAATGGAGAGTGAGGAGGTGAGGGTGGAAGCTATACCAAGAGAAGGGGTAGGGAGGAAGCACCCTTTTCCTTAAGACAAGAGGCAAGGAGGGAAGGTTAGGACATGAATGTACAGAAGGGAATGTATGTAACACTGGTTGATATATTCCTAGTCATAACAAAAGCCATAGAAGGCAAGTCAGGGATCAGAGAAGCACCAAGAAGGAAGAAGAAGAACATATAGACAGAATTGGCAAAGCAAAGAATGGGCACGGAGACACCAGCATACTGGAGACATACAGAGAAAAAATCAACAGAGGACAGACTACTACAGGTGTTGTGGGGAGACAGAAGATCACCAGGGGCAAGAGCAAAGTGCAAAAACAAAGAACAACTCTTTAGAAAGGAAGTTCCTTGCCTATCCTACTGAGCTAGGGAGTGGTTGGTTGACCCTGTGACTGGAAATTCCCCAAGGTAGGTGATGATAACCTCCACATTTTCACAAAATTCTGTGAGGAGCCAAAGCACCTGAGGTAGAGAATTGCCCTTCCCCTACTTTCCAGATGCTCTACCGAGGCTTGAACTTTGCATACAAGATGCCCAAAGCATTGCAGTGAACTGGCTGTGACCTTTCAGTAGGCATCACCACCCACCCCTCCACTCCCTACTCAGAGCTGATTGGGAAATGCCCCATAAGTGGTGTTTGGTGCCCCGGTCATTCTGATCTTAGTCAACCACCATACAAACATACCTTTAGTCCAAAGTTCAGGACAACTTATTTCACTTTATAAGCAGCCTATTACACATTCAAAGTATCCATTTGTTCTCAAGAGGTAGCAAGGTAGGACTGCCCATCTGTTTTCCTCTCTTTATAATATTTTCTAGATCCTAAATTTTACGCTTTTCTATCATTTCTTTATTTTTTTCTCCCTCTTCTTTTCCTCTCTCTCTGCTCTTCTAACTAATTGGCAGAATCTCTGACCTCCACTTTCTCTGACTCCCTTCTCCCTTCCTAGAAACAGTATCCACAGTGGACTCCGGGGCTCCTACAGACTTGGCACAGCTTCCTACAGTCTTGAAACAGCCCTGTTGTTCTGTCATGGCCAGTGGGCAGTTTGTGAACAAACTGCAAGAGGAAGTGATCTGCCCCATCTGCCTGGACATTCTGCAGAAACCTGTCACCATCGACTGTGGGCACAATTTCTGCCTCAAATGCATCACTCAGATTGGGGAAACATCATGTGGATTTTTCAAATGTCCCCTCTGCAAAACTTCCGTAAGGAAGAACGCAATCAGGTTCAACTCGCTGTTGCGGAATCTGGTGGAGAAAATCCAAGCTCTACAAGCCTCTGAGGTGCAGTCCAAAAGGAAAGAGGCTACATGCCCGAGGCACCAGGAGATGTTCCACTATTTCTGCGAGGATGATGGGAAGTTCCTCTGTTTTGTGTGTCGTGAATCCAAGGACCACAAATCCCATAATGTCAGCTTGATCGAAGAAGCTGCCCAGAATTATCAGGTAGGCATTTGAGGTTTCTTCCCTGTTCCCCCATCAGCCCAGGAGTTCAGTGAGGCCCTGGAAACTGCTACCTTCCCACTGAGGGTTTGCACCCCATTGCCCCCACCCCTTGGGCTTGAGTGGGCAGCTCGCAGTCAGGCACAGTGGGTTCAAAGAGCTGAGTCTGGGGAACTGCTGACTCTCTAAATCAAGGTGCAATGGAGAATGGAAAGGATGTGAAAATTTGACTCAGAAGGTTTGGGCTCAAGCCCAGTCTTGTGAGTTTACTGTACAACCTGCAAGGAATCACTTTACCTCTCTGAGCCTCAGGTACCTCACCTTTCAAATGGCAAAAACAAAACAACTCTCTTAAAGTTGTTGGTAGGACAGATGAAGGGAAGTTTGTAGTTCTTTGATAATTCCAAAGCACCATCCATAGTCCTAGTTAGTCATAAATAACTATGTTCTGGTCATTTAGGTCACTTAGGCTCCAGATTTCTCCCTTCTCAGCAACCCCTTTCCCCGCCAGCTTGAGAAAGGCGAGTCCTTAATAATTACACAAGGACTCACCTGGAGAGTGTCACCAGCTCTCCTAAGAGACCAGGAGGATTTTATGAGGCCAGAAATCTCCAGGCACAGCCTGTCCAAACGGCCCTCTTTCCGCAGGGGCAGATTCAAGAGCAGATCCAAGTCTTGCAGCAAAAGGAGAAGGAGACAGTACAAGTGAAGGCACAAGGTGTACACAGGGTCGATGTCTTCACGGTAAGAAAAACTCCATCCCACGATCTCTGGAAGCAGAAACATCTCTGCCAAAGCTCCTGGAATCCCCTATTACACTGACCCCTCAGAAAAAGATCCAGTGAGCCATGTCCTCTCCTCGGCGCCTCAGCACCTGACCGGCCAGGCGGCATCACCTCCCGCGTCGGCCTCGCTATTACAGCGGGCTGACTGCTCAGTCTCCACCGGCAGACAAGGTGGGGCACGGAAAACCCGCGCTGGTCTTAGAATCGCAAGTACAGGTTTTTAAGGCCGAGCTGCGCCCTCAACGGATTCCCCAATTAGAAAATGAAGACATTGGCCGGGCGCGGTGGCTCACGCCAGTAATCACAGCACTCTGGGAGGCTGAGGATCGCTTGAGCCCAGGAGTTTGAGACCAGCCTGGGCAACATAGAGAGACTCTCCTCTTAATTAAAAAAAAAAAGAAAGAAAACTAGCCGGGCGTGGTAGCACACGCCTGTAGTCCCAGCTACTAGAGAGGCTGGGAGGTGAAAGTATTGTTTGAGCCTGGGAGGATGAGGCTGCAGTGAGCCGTGATCGTGCACTGCACTCCAGCCTGAGTGACAGAGTGAGAGACTGTCTCAAAAAAAAAAAAAAAAAAGACAGAAGGAAAATGAAGACATTGTGACCCCACTTACCTATTTTCCTGTGTGCGTGAAAGGAATAAAATCTATATGAAAGATTATAAACTGAAAAGCCTTCTGGAATTGTATTAGACAGTTCCTTGAAGGCAAGTGGTAAACCATAAATTAATAATTTCGCTTAAAGCTGAGCACGTAGTAGGTGCTTTTAGAAGTTTGTTCTCCTCTCCTTTCCTTTCTTCCAGGTCTGCCCTGGCACATTGCTCTGGTTGGGAATTCCACACAAACTTAATAAAATTAATGGCTGAATAAAGTGGGCTAGAAGGACCTTCGAGGCCATCCTCTCACCCTCTGCCTGTCCCTGTTTCTTAGGACCAGGTAGAACATGAGAAGCAAAGGATCCTCACAGAATTTGAACTCCTGCATCAAGTCCTAGAGGAGGAGAAGAATTTCCTGCTATCACGGATTTACTGGCTGGGTCATGAGGGAACGGAAGCGGGGAAACACTATGTTGCCTCCACTGAGCCACAGTTGAACGATCTCAAGAAGCTCGTTGATTCCCTGAAGACCAAGCAGAACATGCCACCCAGGCAGCTGCTGGAGGTGAGTCCCTTGGGGGCAGAATTGCAGAGAGGTAGCAGCCCATCCCTAGTCTCAGGTCAGAGCATGGACCACTGGCAGAATACCTGAGATTGCCCCAACCATCCTACCTCTAGCCCAGTGCTGTCCAATAGCAATATGTGAGCCGCATGTATTAGAATGAAAATGTGAGCCACATATGTAATTCATAAATATAATTCTGGCCACATGTGTGATTTAGAAATGTAGTTTCAGCCACATATGGAATTACAAATTTTTCTGGTTAGTCACATTAAAATGATAAAAGTGAAATTAATTTTAATAAAATATTTTAACTCAATATATCTGAAATATTATCCTTTCAGCCTGTAATGAATATTTTAAAAGTATTAATGAGATATTTCACATTCTGGGTTTTTGGTGGTTTTTTTTTTTTTTTTTTTTTTACACTGAGTCTTTGAAATTGTGTGTATATTTTTCACTTTGGCACATCTCAATTCAGATGCTAAATTGTCAATTGTTAAAGTAAAATATAGTCTTACCAAATCAATAAAGTTGTGTTTAATGGAAAAAGTACTTTACCCTTCTTCTATTTATTTTATTTTATTTTTTGAGATGGAATCTTGCTCTGTTGCCCAGGCTGGAGTACAGTGGCGCGATTTTGGCACACTACAACTTCCGCCTCCTAGGCCCAAGTCCCAAGTAGCTGGGATTACAGGTCCCCACCACCACGCCCAGCTAATTTTTGTATTCTTAGCAGACACGGGGTTTTACCATGTTGGCCAGGATGGTCTCGAACTCCTGACCTCAAGTGATCTGCCCACCTCAGCCTCCCAAAGTGCTGGGATTACAGGCGTGAACCACCGTGCCTGGCCTCTATTTTTAATTTAAATTTGAATTAGTAAAAATGAAATTAAAAATTCAGTTCTTTGTCACACTAGCCACAATTTCCAATGTTCAGTAGCCACATGTGGTTGGTGGCTACCATATTGGACAGTGCAAGTCTAGCTGGTGCTTAAAACAAGCTGAGATGATTCCTCCTCAAGTCATCTATTCTCCCACAGGTTCAAAAACCTATTTATTTATTTTAAGAAAGATCATGCAAAGCCATTCTAGCCTTTCTCCTGCCCTGGCTAGCAGGCTCCCTTGTTCAGTCTCAGAGCCAAATTCATCTTCTAAATCTCACTCTTCTCTTCTTCACTCAGTTCTTCTTGAGGTCAAAACACTTTTCTGCTTACTGGCAGAGCAGTGCTTCTTGGAGAAGCCCTTCGTGGTGGGGAGAGGGGAGGAGGATGGGGTAAGAGAGACTTGGAGGGGTTCTTACTCCTCCTGCTCTGCCCCACACCCAGCAGGCTCTGTATCTCCTCCTTGGCTCCTGGGAATCAGCCAAGTGCTGAGGCTGTGCTGTTTCTCTTTCTCTTCTAGGATATCAAAGTCGTCTTGTGCAGGTATGATGGGCCACCCCAAATGTATTTTGCCTACTGATTCATCCACACACAATTCTCAGCGTATATCCAAATGCAGTCAACATTCCTCTCTCAGAAATACCCACCCACCTCTAACTCTGCATTCATACATTTAGGCTGCAGCCGGGGAATGCCTATGCCGACCATATTAGCAAGTGGTTGGTTGTTAAAGAAACCAGCTGTTTTCTCAGCCTTCCTCCTTCTTCAGCACAGATTCTACTATTTCCTGAATGCCCCCTTGCTCAACTGAATAGCTCCTGGGTCCCCTACTCTGTCTCCCTGACCCTGTTTTTTTCCCTCCTCTCTGTCTCCATCTCCCATCTTCATTTCCATATCTCCCTATGCCCTACCTCACTCCTGCCCCATATCCCTAGCCCTGACTTTCTGACTCCCAGCTCACTATCCCTTAACCGCCAGGTCTTCTTTTTTTTTTTTTTTTTTGAGATGGAGCTTTGCTCTTGTTGCTCAGGCTGGAGTGCAGTGGTGCAATCTCAGCTCACTGCAACCTTTGTCTCCCAGGTTCAAGTGATTCTCCTGCCTCAGCCTCCCAAGTAGCTGAGACTACAGGCGCTTGCCACCAAGCCTGGCTAATTTTCATATTTTTAGTAGAGACCGGGTTTTACCATGTTGGCCAGGCTAGTCTTGAACTCCTGACCTCAGGTGATCCACCCGCCTCAGCCTCCCAAAGTGCTGGGATTACAGGTGTGATCCACCGCTCTCAGTTCTACCCCCAGGTCTTCATCCCCTCATTTCTCAACCCCATATCTCAGATCCTCCTTCTCCCACACCTCATCCCCTGATCTCACCAACCAGCTCAACCACATCTTCCTAGAAGTGAAGAGTTTCAGTTTCTCAACCCAACCCCTGTTCCTCTAGAACTGGAGAAAAAACTCAGTGAAGCAAAATCAAGACACGACTCCATCACAGGGAGCCTGAAAAAATTCAAAGGTAAGGAAGAGGCTGTATTTTCTCTATTCACCTACTTCCAGGAGATTCTCTCCCTGCTCACTCCACTGAAATGGAACTGTGACTCATACATGCCAACAATCCCTGGGCCCTTCTAGTGCCAGGCTTCTGGCTGAGTACTTTCCACGCATCAGTATGCCTCCTCCCAGGCATTTCTTATATTCTGTCTTCGTGATATGTTATTTATCTGCCTCCCTGACTCCTGCGAGAGCCATAGAGGGCCTGGACCTATTCCCCATGTGGACACCTGGCCTAGAGCAGTGGCTGTTGGGAAGTTGGTGATGAGTTGTCTGGTGGACCAGAGATGGCCTCAGGCAGGGACTGTCATCTCTGACTTCTCCTTCTCTGGTGCACACTGGTGTCTCCTCCTGCCTACAGAAGAAGAGAAAATAAATTCAAAATCAGTGACATTCTGGGGAGAAACCTCTTCCAGCCTTACAGGGAAACAGAAATCAGCAGAACAGTAGTGGATGACTTGGGTTTTAGATGTTCGGCCAGATATTTTTCATAAACCTTTCTGTGTTTGCAACTAGGAAGAAGGGTTAGTATTTGTAAGGACTCCCCTTAATGTGAAGACTGTGTTGGTCTAAGGTGGGCATAAAGACAGCTAGATGGAATCTTCTGAAATTATCACCTGGAGTTCCACACCCACCTCCCCCACCCCAACCCCCAGCCCCCCATACACAAACACTTCCCCTTGGGACTACAGAAAAGGAGGACCAGGGCAATGCCCCAAGATCTCCACCCATTCAGCCGGGAATCTCCACTCGGCAGACATAAACAGGAAAGCATGTTTTGTTTTATTCTTAATTTTGTTGTCTGAGCTTTTCTTTTGTCCACTAACTGCTCTGCTTTGTCTAGCTCCTCCCACCCCACTGGGCATGATCTCAGCCGATCTAGCAACTTTATTTATTTGTTTATTTATTTATTTATTTTTGACAGAGTTTTGCTCTTATTGCCCAGGATAGAGTGCAGTGGCGCAATCTCGGCTCACTGCAACCTCCGCCTTCTGGTTTCAAGCAATTCTACTGCCTCAGCTTCCCAAGTCGCTGGTGTTACAGGCGCACACCACCATGCCCAGCTAGTTTTTTGTATTTTTAGTAGAGACGGGGTTTCACCAGGTTGGTCAAGCTGGTCTCGAACTGCTGACTTGTGATCCACCCGCCTCAGCCTCCCAAAGTGCTGGGATTACAGGCGTGAGCCACCACGTCCAGCCCGATCCAGCACCTTTCTAGGCTCTTCAGGTCAAGAATAGTTTGGTTCTAGTTTGGAATTTCAATAAAGGAGCCCAGCCCTTTCCACTTCATCAGGTTTGGAGTTGGGGAGACTGGTGTGCTCTACTCTGTATCCCCCTTTTCTTTCCCTCTTTCACATACACAAACTCACACACACACAGTCCCCCAACTCCCACCTGGCCCTATTTCCTTCTTTTTTTTTCTCTTATTTTTATTTTATTTTTACCCCAAAGAAGAAGGCACAATGGCCACCTGGCCCTATTAAAGCCTAGGAAATACAGGAGGTGGTAGGGAGTCTACTTATACCACAGGTCCAATCTCCACAGTTCTTATTATGAGGGTTGGTTCTCCCTGCTCGGGGTGACTGGGTCTGGAACACGTACGTGGAGAAGGGTGTGGCTGGGCCCTGAAGCCGCTAAAGGCCCTTGTAGGTGAAGTGCTCCCAGGCAGTGTTTCCTATGCTCTAGGTTTGCAGACCCCTCCTAAGAGGGCCCCCGCGTCTCCCCTGAGCAGTCCCCATGACTGGGCTGGTGGCTCTCAGGGAAGCTGCCCACGCTTGTCCCACTACCTAGCCCCAGGCTGTCTTGTGCTGTCTTGGGGCTGCAAGACACTGGGGGAAGGGTGCTGGGGCCAGAAGTAGCTCCCCATCTAGGGGCTCCACCCTATAGTTCTCCACTCAGTCCAGCACCCCTACAGGAAATCTAGGCCAGGAATGGGCCATTGTCCCCAACTTCTGGGCTCATCCTCTACCTGCAAAAGGAGTCTCTTCTGGCAGGGGTGAACTGGGAGATGAAGGCACTCGGCCTCCCCTTGCAGGAGCTCTGTCTTCGTTCCCCCTCTCAAGCCCTCTTTCATGGGAAAGAGGGCAGGACTGCCATCCAGGCTTTAGGAGAGTGGGGCCCCCCCTTACCCCACCTGGCTCCTGGGTGGTTAGCCCTACAGTAGGCCTTCTGAAGCTAAAGGGTGAAGCCTCAAGGCACTCTTTGTCCTGAGCACCTACCTTTGTCAGGCAGTGAGAAAGGGGCTAGCTCTGCACTGTCCAATTTAGTAGCTGCTAGCCACATGTGCTGACAGGCACTTGAAATGTAGCTAGTCCAAATTTAAACATGCTATATGTGAAGAATCATTAATTTCACAAGATTGAGTGTAAAAAGAGACTGTAAAAGATAGCAATAATTTTTATAATACATGTTGAAATAACATTTTGAGAATATTGAGTTAAATAAAATATATAATTAAAGTTAATTTTACTAGTTTCTTTCTACTTTTTAAATGTGACTACTAGAAAATTTAAAAATATATAAGTGGCTCACATTCGTGACTCAGATTACATTCATCATTCATACTGGACAGTGCTGGGCTAGGCAGTCACCACAGGAAAGCAGAAAGGGCATCTCTCAAGGGTTGCATACCTTCCTGGTCCAATAAGAATATGAGAGTCAAATGCAGCTTCTACTTCTCCCAGGCATTTCAAATTAGTGCCTTGCTGTGTGATAGTGAGTTCTTTGCTCAACCCCTCTGGACTCTCACCATTTCATCCCATTCTTTATTCCCCAGACCAACTCCAGGCTGATAGGAAAAAAGATGAAAACAGATTCTTCAAAAGCATGAATAAAAATGACATGAAGAGCTGTAAGTGAGAAATGATGGTTGGTTGCTTCTGCCATTTGGGGAAAGTGAGAAAAGGGGAAGAATTGTGTCTCTATGATTACATGAAGGCCAGATATAAGTGAATGCCGATTCCTCAGCCAATTGAGAGAACAGGCATATGGTTGTTTTATTATTTTAAACTCAGGTAACTCACAAAACAGTCACTAATCCCAAACTTTGAAGTATTCAGAAGTAATAGAAAATTACAAATGTATTTCTTCACTCCTAGAGACAGGGAGGAAAAAGTGGGACAAGGAGGCAGCTCCACCTCTGTAGTATTTGCTGCCCCTACAGGGCACCAGGTTTCGAGGCAAACTCCTCTGGGTGTGAGGTCAGTACAGCTCAGGGGATGGAGACCCACTGTAATAACAGCCTGTGCTAAAGTCATTAGATATGGTTCTGCCACCTAAGACAATAACAGTAGAAGTACCATTTCTTAAAGGACCACTATGTGCGCATCTAATATTTCAAAACCCCACAACTATCCTCCAAGATAGGTGTTATTATCTGCAACTTACAGTGAGGTCCATGTAGCTTCCGGGAGGGGAGGTAAGTTACCCAGGTCATATGATCATTAAGTGAAAGAGAGAGAATTAGAACTCCTTTCTCCAAAGCCAGAAACTACAGAATGCATTCCAAAGCCAGAGAGCAGGATTTAGGGATCCTATTCCACCAGCATTTCTCCACAAAAGGAGCTACCGGTGTTTAGAAAGGCCATCTTTGTTATGCTCCATGACTTTTGCCCTGTTAAATGCTTAGTATCCCAGGCCCCAGAAAGCCCTATAAGCCAGTAGAGAACCACACTCTTGTTGTCACTGAGACAACCTGAAAGGTTTCCACACTTCCCCCTGGGTGGGGAATGGGTCCCACTGAGAACCATTGACTGTTCTGATTGATGATGGCAGGGTGCTTGTTTTTGTTTTTAATTTGCAGCTTCTGGTTATCAAGACCAAATAGGTTTTCTCTCCCCAATTTTTAGGGGGCTTGTTACAGAAAAATAATCATAAAATGAACAAAACCTCAGAGCCCGGGTCATCTTCTGCAGGTAAGAGTCCTGTCTCTGAATACTAAGGGACCTCTAAGTCTACAGGTGGTCAAAATGCTGTATCCACCCAATTCCACTAAATGGAATAAATGAATAAATGAATGAATTCATTTATTCCATTTCCTCAGTTCCTCCCCAAATTACACCTCTGCCAGGAAACAGAGGGCGCTCCGACTTGTTCAGGTGTACTTTCTTGAGTTTCACCTCCATCCCTCCTGCTGTATGTAGAGCTCAGCTGTGCTGTCTGGCAATGGAGGATTGCTGCCGAGGTGCTCCCGCTGACCTCTTTTCTCCTTTCCTTCTCCCGCAAAGGCGGCAGAACTACATCGGGGCCACCAAATCACCACTCTTCAGCCCCATCCCACTCCCTGTTTCGGGCCTCGTCTGCTGGGAAAGTCACTTTTCCAGTATGTCTCCTGGCCTCTTATGATGAGATTTCTGGTCAAGGAGCGAGCTCTCAGGATACGAAGACATTTGACGTTGCGCTGTCCGAGGAGCTCCATGCGGCACTGAGTGAGTGGCTGACAGCGATCCGGGCTTGGTTTTGTGAGGTTCCTTCAAGCTAAGCCAGCTCAGAGAACACGGGGAGCGGTGGTGCTACACGGACTTCGGAGCATAGAGTGGCGCTGAGTGAGTGGCTGAGACCGACCACGGTTCTTGACTTAGTGGAATTGGGTCGAAGGAGTGGAGAATGGGAGGGCTCGGGCTACTGAGAGTGGAGATGGGGGCGGGGGTGGTGGTGAAGAGAGTTGGAGAAGGAATGGACGAGTTCTTGAGCAAAAGGAGGGGAAGAGACAATCTCCAGCCACCCGCCCCACGCTTGACTTCTTATCACTTTGGCTGTGGTGCCGCCTAGTGGAAAAAGGAAGTCCCTGCAGCAGTCCCCGCACTCTTTAAGCAGCTGTTTACCGAAGGCACCAGTTCAGCCAGGAGTGAAATCCGGAGAGGAGCAACGCCAGCCTGGGTCACAGTCCATCAAACCCCATGAGCCCGACCACTCTCGCTCTTCCTTACATTCCCACGTCCCCCTTCTCTCCCAACCCCTCATATCAGCAAGGGAAATTAATTAATGAGATTTGATAAATCAGTAGATAGAATGAGGTCCCCATTCTGAAATATTTAGCAGACTGGAACCACCACGCAAGCCTCTGTAGGGGGTGGATGGAGACACTTCTAACTTTAATAAACTGCGACTGAACGTGGAATCCTAGTAAAAGTGTATGTGTGTGTGGCGGGGGATGACTATTCCTCCTTTTGTATTCCAACACTTTCACTCATCCCTGTGTTTGAGGAACTCCACTTTAGAAAATTACTGGCCCTCAGAAAGTCTGAGCCTTGACCCTCTTATACTAGACTCAATTCTTGTCTTAGACATGGGAATTAGGGGCCACGGGAAATGGACAAGGAAGAGATGGTCTCATCTTCGGGTGTTGAAATGATCTCACCACCACCACCAATGAAGAACTTCTCTCTGCGCCCACAGAACAACACATTGTGAAATTTAGGGATTAACTTTGAGGAGGAGGAGGCGGTGCCGGGCCTAAGACTTCTCTGGGGACCACAAAGGCTGTGACTGGGAAGAGAAAGCCTCTCTGGCGGCATCGAGCGGGGCGGGTGGTGGGACGGGGGTATCAGAGGAAGGTAGGGGGTTTGGACAACTTGACCCGGGGTTGGCCACCTCTTTCTCCTCATCTTCACACAGCCCCTGTGACACTGGACGCAGCCTCGGCCCACCCGGATCTCATCCTTTCCCAGGATGAGATAGTGACGCTGAACCTCGCATCCCAGGGCGGTTCGCAGAAGCGGGGCAACCCCCGACGCTTCTACAGGTTCCGCTGAGTGCTGGGCTCGCTGGGCCTTTGCTCCGGCCGCGGCGCCTGGGAGGCGGAGCTCCAAGGGCCCGGGGGCGGGGCCTGCGTGCCGGGCTTGGCCTTGGAGCTGGTTCCCAGGCGGGGCTTCCTGGAGGTGGAGCCCTTGACCGGCTTCGTGGAGCTGCACAGCAGCGGCTCCCAGTGCCAGGCGCTCATCGAGAGCGGTTCCCGGGAGGATCTCCCGATCTGTCCGAACAAAGTGGGCGTCCGCTTGGATTACTAGGGCGGAGAGGTAGTCTTCTACGACGCCACCTCGAGGACCCACATCTACACTTTCCATGCCTCCTTTCCGGGGCAGATCTCCTTTTTCCAGCTTCTGTTTTCCGGCACCCGGATCACCCTGGGTCGCTAGAGTTGTTCTTTGCCTTCCTCTGCATCTCCTCCTCACTCGCTTCTCGCCCCAGTTTGGGATGTGCTGCAGCTGGAAGGGTTGAAGCTAGGCTTCCAGCAGCCCTATGGGAAGGTTACACCCTTCGGGCTTCCTCCTGATCCAGTCCTGATTTCTCTGACCCTGCTTTAAATATTCCTTCTATCTCAGTTCCTCTCTCCTTACAATATGCCTGGGTCGAAAAGAAAGGCTCAAATACACTAAAAGGCTATACACAAGGCTGTTCATTGCAGCACAGTTGGTAACAGGATAAGACTGGAAACGAACGTCTATCAACAGGTGGTTGAAAAAGCTGCCACGTGCAAGCATCCAGCTGCATCTCGGTTAAGACAGACACAGGGGAGTGGACCACTGACCCCAGCTTGTCCGCCTGTCTCCTCCTCCATTTTACCTCCTGCAGCCCCCGTGGACCTGCACAGGGCTTTGACCCATCTGAACCCCATCCTGAAAACCGACATACGCAAAACTTTTCTAGTTCTTCATAATACTCAGAAACCAAAATTAATCCCACGACCAGATGCATCCTCCTCTCAAACCCACATCACCACTACCCGCAACAAAAGTCTTGATCATTCCTAGTGTTGCCATGTGAGGGACTGAAGTTAAACCCAGAGAAGGACTGCTCCAGTTTCCTGAGTGAGCCCAAAAAAAGTAAAAGGGCGAGGAGGTTGGAAACGCAGAGACGAAATGACCTCTGGACAGTAAAACCCACCATTTGCGCCAGTTTGGGATGATTATGGGTTCCTTCCTCTTCCTCCCTTCAGGCCGGCTGGGGACTGGGTAGGCGGATGGGACCAGGCGTCTCTAGGCTTTTCCTGCCTCCTCGCTCCGGTAGGGAGAGGGCGGTGTTGCAGGAGGCGTGGGGAGTCGCCCGCCAGCCCACGCTGCTGCCCGGCGCGTGGCTGCGCAGCGGGAGGGCGGGCCCAGGTGTCGGGGCGGGAGTGAGCCAACGCCCGGAGCACGGATTCCAGGGGCGCTCAGTCAGCCCTGGCCAGGCTCCCCCATCCAGTTCCCCCAGTCGCCCGCGAGGCGCCGCCGATTACATAAACAGCCTTCACCTTCCTGCGGAGGGGACAACAAAGGGCTGGGGACACACAGGCCGAGACCCGAAAGTAACGCCCCTCCGGACTTTTATTCAGAATCAGCCGGGACTGCCCAAATCCCTATTTACAGTTCTCACAGCCCTCGTCATGGTCATGGACTTCGCGCCTTTTACCTTGTTTCCTTTCATTGTGTACAGATTCAACTTCCTTACTACAAAGGGAGATCTTTCCCAAATGTCTTAAGTTGATTTTATACTTCCTGACTCTACCAACCCCAGACACTTAGCACGGACCCTAGAATGGGGTACTTGATTAATAAATATTTACTAAATTAAAACCATGCCCTAATTTCTCTTTTCCCGCGAAAGACTGATGTCTTGGAAATCCCACTCAATTTTCGTGGACCAGCTCCACCTCACCTCCTCCAGGAAGCCTTCCCCAGGCAGGGTTCCTGGTACTTTCTGTTGGAAAAGTGTGCACACTCCCAAAGCCACTACAGCCATCTCCCTGCAGCACTTACCGCAAGTTGACTGTGAAGTCCTCGAGAACAGAAGCAGCATCTCACTCCTTTTCGTTTCACTCTCCCACCCTCCTTGAGCACTACAGGGCCTGGTTCCTAAAGGGATGTAAATGAAGGAAGGGTTCAAAGTAAATGAAAGAATACTTTGTAGCAAGGTTTAAATTTGGGGAGGTCTTCCAACCTGGACCTTAACCTTAAACGATGATCACACTCTTCTCAGCCGTGAGGGATGGGGGTCGCCTCTTTAGGAGCCTCTCAGAAGCTCATTTACTCAAAGAGAGTCCTGGCCATTCATTCGATGTTATGGCCGGGAAGTCAAGTGAATACTGAACCCTGGCCAAGATTTCCATCCCCCAGTCCAAAGTGTTTTCTGCCTCTTCACACAGTTATGATACTACTAACAGCATGTTTACAATGTTGAACAGTTTATTAAATGGATTCAGATACATTATTCCATTTGCTTCTCACAACTGCTTAAATTAGGTATGGTTACATTCCCATATTCCAAATATGGTATGAATGTTCAAACTCAGGTCTTTCAACACAAAGCACATGCAAAGTTGACTTGAAAAGATAAAATCTCATAAAATATATGATAAAATGGCTATAACAAATAGTAACTTTCCACGGTATTTCCCTACACAGACGGACACACACACACGTATACATGCACACACACACACACAACTTATCTGCTATATTAGTTTCCTAGGGCTTCCATAACACATCACCATAGACTGTGTGGCTTGAAACAATGACACATTCTCTTACAGTTTTGGAAGCAAGAAGTCTGAAGTCAAGGTGTCAGCAGAGCCATGCTCTCTCCAAAGGCTCTAGGAAAAAATGCTTCATTGCCTCTTCTAGCTCCTGGTGTTTGCTGGCAATCCGTGGCATTCTTTGGCTTGTAGATGCCTCACTCCAATCTCTGACAGCATTTTCACATGGCCGTCTCCCATGTGTCTGTGTCAAAATTTCCCTCCTCTTATAATGGCCCACCCTGATCCAATATGACCTCATCTGAACTTGATGAAAAGACCCTATTTTCTTTTTCTCTCTCTCTTTCTTTCCTTCTTTCCTTCCCTCCCTCCCTCCCTCCTTCCTTCTTTCCTTGCTTCCTTCCTTCCTTCTTTCCCTCCCTTTCTTCTTTCTTTCTTTCTTTCTTTCTTTCTTTCTTTCTTTCTTTCTTTCTTTCTTTCTTTCTTTCTTTCTTTCTTTCTTTTTTGAGACAAGGTCTGGCTCTATCACCCAGGCTGCAGTGCAGTGGCATGATCTCGGCTTACTGCAACCTCCACCTCACTGGCTCAAGTGATCTTCCCACATCAGCCTCCCGAGTAGGTGGGACTACAGGCACACAGCATGTGGGACTACAGGCACACAGCACCATGCCTGGCTAATTTTTGTATTTTTTGTAGGGACAGGGTTTTGCTATGTTGATCAGTCTGGTCTCCAACTCTTGAGCTCAAGCAATCTGCCCACCTTGGTCTCCCAAAGTGCTGGGATTACAGGGGTGAGCCACCTCATCTGGCCAAGACCCTATTTTTGAATAAAGCCACATACGTAGGTACCTGGGGCTAGGACTTCAATATGTCCTTGGCAGACAAAATTCAACCCACAACTCCATAATCTGTCACCCACAGGAAAGCGAGAACATAAAAAAGAAACAATGGTATTGGAAAAGAGCCAAGGGCAACACTTGGGGGATGCTAAGATGAGCAGAAGGGAAAAGAGATAGTGAGCATAGAGGGTGTACTCTCCAGGGAGGGTCAAATTTGAGTATCTGGCTTGGAAAACCAGAGAAAGGAGAAAGATGGTTTTCAAAAGCTAAAAGAGGAAAAAGCATGGCAGGAGTGGAGAAGTCATTAGGAGGGTGGAAGAGCTGCTCCCTAGGGAGGGAGAGTAAGAGCCACTCCACTCCTGGGGAAATCCAGTGAAAACTGGGGCAAGTGTCAAGAGATGGAGATCCACGGTACTGAGCCCCTTCCCCCACCAGAGTGGCCCCCTTGAGGAGCCAGGGGTCTGCAAGCTCCCAAAGCATATTCCTATAGAAACTCTGGGGTCATGAAGTCATCTTGTCCCCCTTCCCAGACCTGATCCTGCTGCCTGTTTTATACTCATTGTTGCTACCAACCCCCACACAGTCACCCAACCTAGGTGTTATCTTCAACTCTTTCTTCTTCCTCATTCTTACAGTCCTTGAGGCCCCAACCTCCTTGATGTTAGCGCCTACCACAGGACTCCACCCATCTTCCTCCTAGCACTGTCTAGATCAGCCCTCACCTGGATTATGACAGCTGCCTTTCTCATTTCCCTGCCTCCAGACTTATTCTGCCCAATCCATCTTCCATTACCCAGGCCAAAGTCTATGCTTTTCTAAAATTTTATTTTGAAAATCTTCTGACAGAAGAGTTGAATGAATTTTACAGTGACCATCCAAATATTACCACCTACATTTTCTCATTAGCATTTTACTGTACTTGCTTTATCAAATATGTTTCCATCGACCCATTCCTTCATCCTTCTATCCATCTTATAATTTTATGCATTTTAAAGTAAGTTGCAGATATTCAAATGATTTCTAAAAATATAATCTGGTCATGTTAGAACTTGTTGGACTTTCAATAATGCCTCCCTTCTCTAAAGGATAAAGCCTGAACTGCACGTTGGCCTGCCTTCAGCCTAACCCCTGCCCCCACCTGCTTCCCATTTTTCACTCCAGAAAGGCCAAATTGCCTAAAATTCCCCACTCACCACATTGTTTACATCTCCCTGACCCGCTTTCATTGTTCCTTCTTCTTAGCTTGTCCTCAGCCTTCCAGGGCCTCAAACGCCTCCTTCCCTGAAAGCCTTTCTTGATCCCCCACTCCTCTCCGACACTGGTTTAGGCACCACATCTATAAGCACATAGCAGTCCCCAGGGCATACTTTGATCACTGCACTAATCTCCACAATCAAGACGATCTGTTTATGTGTGTTTCTCACCTCTACCCCAACTGAGAGCTTCCTAAAAATTCAGGGATCCTGCTTTATTTGTCTATTGTCCTTGGTACCTAGAACAGTCTGTGGCATGTGTGGGTGCTCCATAAATATTTGTTGAGTGAATGCATTACTGGTTTTGTCCTTTCTAAGAGCACCTCCTGCCTTTGTACCAGCTTCTCCCACACAACATGGGGCCAGGTCTTCAATGTAGATCCCAGAGAGTTAAGAAGGAAGCAAAGAACACTGTTACCCGTGTTTTCCAGCCAAAGACCCCCCAGGAACATAACTGTCATTAAACATGCTGGGTTTATTACTCCTTGCAGCAATGGAGAATGCACCCCATGGGGAGTGTGGGACATTTTAATAAGAGTGTTAGGAAAAAACCTATGATAGGGTTTGGGTTTTGGTTAGGTGATTTGGGGAAAGGTCTAAGGAAGTGGGGGTTTGCTCTGGATTAATGCTGTTAGAAAGCAGAGCAGATCCTGTGAATGAATACCCAAATAAATATTTTCTATAGGGAGGGGAGACTAGAACGAGGGGAAAGCTATAATTGGTAAAGAAGTAGCAAACATTTCTGTTAACCAAGAGAAGGGGTGTTTGGTATTTTGTGGGTGGCACAGTGTCTTTTTTTGGATCTGTGCTCAGAAAAACTTGTGAAGCAGCCTTGCATTGTCTCACTTTATCAAGGTCTAGGAGTAAACTTGTCTGAGATTGGTATTCTGTAATATAGTTTATGCCTACTAGGTGAATAACATGGTTTAGCTCTGTTAGGCCAACTTCTGAATGTCAGAGGCTGCTCTTTTTTTTTCTCTCAGTGTTTAGGTTGGGCATTGGGAAAAAAGATGAATTAGTGGGATTGGAGCATGTGTATAGATATGTGCAGAATCCAGTTCAATGCAAAAAACTTTTCTTTTTTTTCTTTCTTTTTTTTTTTTTTTTTTGAGACAGACTCTTGCTCTGTTGCCTAGGCTGGAGGGCAGTGGTGCGATCTCGGCTCACTGCAAGCTCTGCCTCCCGGGTTCATGCCATTCTCCTGCCTCAGCCTCCACAGTAGCTGGGACTACAGGTGCCTGCCACCATGCCCGGCTAATTTTTTGTATTTTGTTTAGTAGAGATGGGGTTTCACCATAGCCAGTTGGTCCGATCTCCTGACCTCGTGATCCACCTGCCTCGGCCTCCCAAAGTGCTGAGATTACAGGCTTGAGCCAACGCTTCCGGCCACAAAATTTTTCAAATAGAGGAAGTCTGGAGTTTATTTCCAAGGTGTCCACCTCCCCAATCCAGGCATATATTTCCAGGTCACAGTGCTGACACTTTCAGCCTCCCGCAGTCACACACCCCATGGTCATGGAAAGGGACACGTGGCCCAGGTCCCTGGTGGCTCTGAGTTGTGGGGAGGGAGGAGCCAGTGGCTTTGGCTCTACCCGGACATCCATTGTTCTCCCAGGGCAAACACTCTGAAGCTTGTTTTCTTGGCTGACTGTTTTTGTTTGTCATCCTGCCTGGTATCACAGCCTCCCAGTAACTCCCAAACCTACTCATCTGAGCCCTGAGGAAAACCTATTAGATATGAATTCTTTGTTGGTTTTGTGACAGTGGCCTCTGACCAGACGGGTTCAGCTGCCTGGACCCCAAGGGCCTTGTTGTCTCTGCTCCCTGCCTTCTGGGGTAATGATCTCACCCTTGCCCCCAGTTTCAAGGATCCAGTGACTCACTGCAGAGTAAATCAACAGCATGGCAGATGCCTGGCATCTGAGGTCTCTGATACTCTCTAAGGATATGGGGCTGTGATCTTTTTTCCTTCAGTCTGGTGCTTCTGTCTGACTGTTAGTGATTCCCCTTTCCTGATAAAGGCTTTAATATTTCCTTCAAATCAGACAGCCCTGAAGTTGCTGCCTCCTGCCTTCATTATTCCTTTCTGCACAAGGCTGAATTGATTCTGTTCTGAAATTTTCCTCATCCCTGCCCTCCACACACATACTCACCAATGCATGACTTGCTTTTTCACGGCCTCTTGTCTTGTGCTTCTCTACCTTTTGGTTCAAATCTTCTTCTTCTTCTTCTTTTTTTTTTTATGAAGTTTTTATGAAGCCTTGCTCTGTCACCCAGGCTGGAGTGCACTGGCACATCTCAGCTCACTGCAACCTCAGCCTCCCGGGTTCAAGGGCTTCTCTTGCCTCAGTCTCTTAGGTAGCTGGGATTACAGGTGCCCACCACCACACCCAGCTAATTTTTTGTACTTTTAGTAGAGATGGGGTTTTGCCATGTTGGTCTGGCTGGTCTCGAACTCCTGACCTTGGGTGATCCGCCCACCTTGGCCTCCCAAAATGCTAGGATTACAGGTGTGAGCCACCGTGCAAGCCGAAAGTCTTCTTTAGCTATGATCTTCCTGAATCCTAGTTTGATTTGATCCTTCAGGACATGTTTGTGTGTATTTACATATCTGTGTTTTATACACATAGAAATGTGTGTGTGTGTGTGTGTGTGTGTGTGTGTGTGTGTGTATTTGAAATAGCTATAAACCAGGGACAGTGGGAATAGTGAGGATATGTGTTTGTGGGATCAAGTGAGGTTGTGGTTACAAGAAAAAGCTATATCTTTGATAACAGCAAATCAATAATAGATAATGCCTAAAATTAGAAGAGCAAATAGTAATAATATAATCCTTGTATTTACAGATGTGAAGGTGAACACCAAAACAGCTAAAAGAGTTGAAAGTAGTGGAGATGGGGGTGAGGGCTGCCATTTTAAAAAATTAACTCATCAACTTGTTTAACTTTTTATTTGCATATATAACTGCGATGAAAATCCTGAAAATAATCTAATTGTGTTCTGTGTTCCTTTTTTTTCCCCCTACCAGCCATGTGAAGATCTGTCACCCACTCATTTCCTCAGCCCAGTTTCTCACCCTTGCTTCCTCTCCCCCGACTCTGTTTCCAGGGGCCAGGCTTGTCCACCCCTCGGGATCTCTCCTACCTGACTGCTCTCCTCCTGCCTCCAATCTATCCACCTGCAGACAGAACAATCTCTACAACCTGTGTCACCAGAGTGTGTTTCACTTCCACTTGAAAATTCTCTGAGACTTGCCTAGTGTAACAGGATTGAGTTATGCCCTCAGTATGACAAGCTCCATGTCCCTCTCAGTGCCAGCCCTAGGCACGCAGCCTGCACCAGGCTCAGACACACCTCCTTCTCTTGGCTGCCCTGGCTCTGTACTCCCTCTGACCAAAACCCTTCCCCTGTATGTGTTTCTTTACTATGGGTCATAATTTATAGTACATAATGTTCTGCACTGACTTTTTCTTTTAACCACGATCTTATAGATCTTCTCATGTCAACCCAAATAGGTCATCTTCACTATTTTTCACTGTTACATGAATTCAATTACATAATGTATATAAAAACATTTTGCATGCCATCTGGCATATAGGAAGACTCAAATATATCCTTATCTCATTTAAGTTTCCATCACCGCAACATAATGAAGAAACACCCTTTGTCTCCTTTAACACTGTAGTTGTAAGATTCCTCCTCAACTGTTATTACAGCTATGCATTGTGCCTTTTAAAAACATTTAGTATTTTTTTTCATTGGGACAAATCTTGCTATGTTGCCCAGGCTGGTCTCTCACTCCTGGGCTAAGTGATCCTCCTGCCTCACCCTCCCAAAGTGCTGGGATTATAGGCATGAGCCACTGTGCCTTGCCCTATGCAATGGTTTTAAACAGATCACGAATTTAATTAATATCACTATTCTCCCCATTATTTCTTTAGCTTTTCCATCCAGCTCCCTACACATCCCTCTTTTGTGGATCTCAACTCCTTGGAGCTCTCCCACACACTCTGCTTGCTTGCTTTTCCCTGAAATGCCCTCTGCTATCCCCTTCCACCACCCACTGGGGAAGTGGTTCCCTTCTTCCCAGACATCCGCTGTAAAAGCTTCCCTAAGCTGCCCTCTCCCAGAGGAGCCCTCAGCCTATGGGCAGCCCCGCCCCCCACCTGGTTTGCACCACTCATATCACTCCTTAACCAGAAGGTCAGTCTTTTGAAAGCAGGGCGTCTTAGTATCTTCAGTGCTTAGCATGTTGCCTGGCACATAAAAAGTGCCCCCATAAGTGTTTGCGGGATGAGAATCCTCAACTTCTAAATGTCTAATCTCATTTTTCTATGTAATATGCCACACACAGAAGAGGTGCTCTGTGGTATAGAGGAGAATGTACCTTCTTATTAGCTGTGTGATCTTGGACAACTCACATCACCTCTCTGAGCCTCAGTTTCTTGATCCGTAAAATGGGGGTAATGAGATCTATGAGGAATGAATGATGAAATAAAATATAAGAAGATGTTCTAAAAATGTAAAAAGTATTACCATCACTCCTTCTTCAACCTCATTTCAAACTTTCCATAGTTCTGACAAAATCCTCTCCCCAGGTCCAGCCCGTTCTGTAAGATCATGTCTCTCCCCCCGACTCCTGATCCTCATTCCTTTCTTTTTCTTTTTCTTTCTTTCTTTCTTCTTTTTTTTTTTTTTTGAGATGCAGTTTTGCTCTTGTTGCCCAGGCTGGAGTGCAATGGCGCATCGGCTCACCACAACCTCCGCCTCCCGGGTTCAAGCGATTCTCCTGCCTCAGCCTCACTGAGTAGCTGGGATTACAGACATGCACCACCATACCCAGCTAATTTTGTATTTTTAGTAGAGACAGGGTTTCTCCATGTTGGTCAGGCTGGTCTCGAACTCCCGACCTCAGGTGGTTCGCCTGCCTCGGCCTCCCAAAGTGCTGGGATTACAGGTATGAGCCACCGTGCCCGGCAACCTCATTCCTTTCTGGTGCTGTTGTTTCGCCCTCTCATTCCCTTCTTCTAACTTGGTAGGCTTTGTTCTTGCCTAATTCCTCTTCAGTGTTCACTTTTCTGTAGCCTTTGCCTTTCTCCTTTCAGCATAGCTCTGTCCTCACAGCTTCCTGGAAGCCATCCCAAGAACTCTTATAGGTTCCTTTCCCTCTGCTTCCTTGAAGCTCCTCCCTGCTCCTCCTGCCACATACACCACCCAGGGGTCAGGGGAGCCTCACATGGGCGTGGATAACTCTACCAAGCGCTGGTTTCAAGGACGCTTGCAAAGGTGGCCAGATATGGCAGATAAAAGGGCACGAGATGCCATGTTCTGCGCAGGGAGGGGCTGGATGAGGGGAACCAGAGAGTCCAAGGCAGGTCCCAGGGCAAGTTTTCCTTCCAGAGATTCAGGGCAGGCCGGACAGAGCTGGAGGGGTGTGTTTGGGAGACAGGGGAGGTAACATCTGAGGCTCAGGAGGCAGTCAGAGGGAGTGGCTCCTGAACTAATTGGCAGGCTGGATGCCAGCAGCGTGCCAGTGATGTTTTAGCTACTGGTCACCAGAGGAGAGGAAGGAAGGGAGGGAGGGAGAGTCTATCATGTGGACCAAGACACAGAGGCACATGGGGCCTGTTGTCGGCTGGCTCTCAGCTCATCAGGCTTTTCTAGGTCACTGTGCGTTGCCACCTCCCTTGCTGGGTTTCCCTGCTCTGCCTCGTGCTGCCTTGCATGCCCCTGGCTTGGTTTCTCTGACTCATAGTCCACGACCCGGACACTCTCTTCAAGTCTCTGTGCTCCTGGGAGTTGGTGTTCTAATACTGTTGGGGAGGAAGCACTTGAGTCCCAGCATGCAGGCTTTGACCTTTATCCTGCATGGCCCCCAGTTTCCTCCCTGTGACTGGAATGTGACACAGGCTCCTGGAGTAGTTAAGAAAGTAGTAAAATCTTTAATGATTTGAAAATTATAAAATTATAAAATTATTACTGTGTTAAAATGAACTATCCTTGTTCTTTTTGTTTCTCCACCACTCCTAATGTCAGATATGCTTACATCGGGCTGCACAGTTCACAGCACTGTTGGATGGCCCACAGGCCTCCTGGCTTCACATGTCCAACATGCCACCCCTGATATTCCTGCCCAGGCCAGCTCCTCACAGTTCTTCCCACTGCAGTCACTGGCAGCTCCATCCTCCCCATGGTGGGGCCAAATTCGTTAGAGCTTCCTGCCTCCTCCTTTGCTCTCACACTCCACAACCAATGCAGTAACTCACGTCCAGAAGTCAGCCCCTTCCCACCAACTCCAACCCCTGGTAGGCTCACCTCACCCAGTACTGAATGAAGTCCTGACAATGACAAAGCCCTGCACAGTCGGCCAGTCCCATCTCTGACTTCCTACTCCACACCCGCTGCTCCCTCTGCTCCAGCCACATGGCCTCATGTTAAATCTCAAACACATCAGCAGCTTCAGCATCACAGCCTTTGCCTCTGCCTTTCCTTTCATCTGGATGATCCTTCCTTCAGATAAGCACTTGACGACTTCTCTTACCACCTTCAAATCTTTGCTCAAATAGAATCTATTGAGATTGTAACTCTATCTACTCCATCCAGCACTCCATCCAGCATTGAGAAGGCCCATCTCTCTAGGTGATATTTAAGGGCAGACCTGAGAGATGAATAAGAGATCATCATGCTCAGAGAGGAGAGAAGGGCATCCCAGGCACAGGTAACAGCTTTGCATCAACCTAGAGGCAAGAACAATTTGGGCTAATTTAAGCAAAGTTGACGCATGATGAGTTGGGAGTAAAGATGGCACAAGATAATAATGAAGACTTAGAGATTAGAGCAAGCAAAAACTTAGGTTTTAGTAGTGGAATAGGCAAGAGTGCAATGGGGGAAGATCCGAGGCCACTACTTGCTAATGGCATTCCCCAGAGTTGTATAAGGCAGTCATCCCAAAGAGAGAAAACTATGCTAGCATTTGTGTCTTTCTTCCCAGCTTTATGTTGCTTCGTGGTACCTACCATACATTACACTTATTTATTTGTTAATGAGCTGTTCTCCCCGCTAGAGTTTAGAATTCCCATGAGGCCAGGTTCCTGTCTGTGTTGATCTCCACTGAGTCCCTAGCTTTCAACACTGTATCTGCACATAGTAGGTCCTTAATAAGTACTTTTGAACGAATAAGTATAAATTACTTTTATCATCCCTAAAACAAATTTTTTGATATAATTGTTTTCACTTTATAGTCACAAAACTAACAAGAGTCAAGTCAAATCTTGACACCCTACTGTTTCTAAGTGGTGTCAATGTTCCTTCATACTGTATAATTTCTTATCTGGTTTAGTCAAAATGGGCAAAGGCTTCAGTTTTTTCAATTTTAAAATGAGGAGTTTGGACTAATGGATTGCCCATTTGCTGGAGGATGATACCTGCTCCTTCCTCCAGGGCCTCCCCTGCTGCTCCAGTCCAAGTTCTTTTCCCTCTTCCAGCCTCCCCTCTTCCTGGGGTCTGGACAACAGAGGTTAAATGGTTTAAAGGCCCACTGGGAGACTGTGAATCACAGAAGCACAGGAATCCTTTCCATTTCTAGCTGCCTACACTCCATCTATCTCACTGGCTGAGGCTTCGATTCTGTCAAGGAAATAGGATGACTACAGAACAGAAAGAAAGGACAGAGAATAAAAAGGAGAAAATGATGAAGGGGAGGGCAGGGAGGAAGGAGAGAAGGACAGAGCAAACAGGTCTCGTGCATGTTAGTGAATATTCTGCAGAGAGGAGAAGCAGTTATTGTGGACTGTGGTCCAACTGAAACAAAATATCTCATCACTTTGTCTTTACCCCCTCTCTTGTGATCCCATCTCAACATCCAAAGCTCATTAAGTATGTAGCCCATTTCTGTAACAGCCTTGCAATTACACAGTCATCCATTCCAGAAATTAGAAATTCATGATTGATTTTCCCCTCCCTCATCACCCAAAGGCCACTTCAATGTTTTTGTCAATTCTATCTACAAAATACACTTCAAATTGGCCTGCTCATTTTCAGCTCCACTGGATCCCACTATCTCAAGCCATCATCCTTTCTCACCTAAATTACTGGCATAGTTTTCTCTCTTTGGGATGACTGCCGTATACAACTCTGGGAATGCCATTAGCAGGTAGTGACCCTGGGTCTCCCCCATTCCACTCTTGTTTATTCCACTACTAAAACTTAAGATTTCACTTGCTCTAGTCTCTGCCTACGTCTTCATTATTATCTTGTGCCATCTTTACTCCTAACTCATCATGTGTCAACTTTGCTTAAATTAGCCCAAATTGTTCTTGCCTCTAGGCTGTTGCAAAGCTGTTACCTGTGCCTGCAATGCCCTTCTCTCCTCTTTGAGCATGATGATCTCTTATTCATCTCTCAGGTCTCCCCTTAAATATCACCTTGGAAGATGGGCCTTCCTCAATGTCCCCCATCTAAATTAAGGACTTCTGCTCTCAGTCTCTGTGCTGGAGATTTGTCAAAATGTCAGATTTATCAAATAAAAGTACAGGATGTCCATTTAAATCTGAATTTTAGATAAATAATAAACAAGTATTTTGTGTAAGTATGCCCCATGCAGTATTTGGGAGATACTTATACTAAAAAATCATTGTTTATCTGAAATTCAAATTTAACTGGATGTTCTGCATTTTATCTGCCAAACCTACATATATGGAATGACCTCATTTCCTTTCTATTGAAGAGATTGAAAAGTAAAAAACTCTATTTCTCAGAATTTTTGGAGCTAGGATTCTGGACATGAATTAAGTCCTTCCAACTAAATGTATTTCTATGAGATTTGAAATGCAGAAGTGAGGTAGAGGCTATTTTCCTATAGAAGAGCATGGATGAGCCCCAATAAACATGAAATGTGCATGGGGGTAGGGCAGCTGGGCCCGTGGCTGCTATGCTAGCAGTAGCTGCAGCACTACTGACCTATGGTGATTGACCTTGAAGCCAATAAACCAGTTAGGACATCCTGACTTTTTTTTTTTTTTTTTTTTATTTTTTTTTTTGAGACGGAGTCTCGCTCTGTCGCCAGGCTGGAGTGCAGTGGAGTGATCTTGCTCACTGCAACCTCTGCCTCCTGAGTTCAAGCAATTCTCCTGCCTCAGCCTCCTAAAAGTAGCTGTGACTACATCATGTGCCACCATGCCCAGCTAACTTTTGTATTTTTAGTAGAGACGGGGTTTCACCATGTTGGCCAGGATGGTCTCGATCTCTTGACCTTGTGATCTGCCCAACTCAGCCTCCCAAAGTGTTGGGATTACAGGCATGAGCCACCGTGCCCAGCCAATATTTTTTTTTCTTAATTGAAACAGGCGCCTAAAAGACAGGAAGGAACCTGCTCCTGCATTCTTGACAGATGAGGATCCGAAAGTTTTCCCTACTTACACACCAGCAAGATCATCTCTCTGGGAATCAATTTTCTTATCCATATTGTAAGGGCTAGACTACACATTGTTAATGTTCCCTACAACTCTAGCATTCTACAAATCTATGATTCTTTGAAGTCTTTAATAGAGGTGGGAGCCAGAATCAAATTAGCTATATTTGGTGCACTTACTAGCGATCCTTGTACAGGTTAATAAATAACTTGTTTGGAAGACCTATTCTCCCCGATGGGGAAGTGGACATGGAAATGAGATGATCGTCTTGAATGTAAATAATGTGAAGGGGAATAGGAATTAGAAAAAGAAAACTGAGAGAAAAGACTACTAGGACAAAATGAGCTTCAAAATACATAAATCATGCTGAGTGTGGTAGCTTATGCCTATAATCTCAGCTCTTTGGGAGATGAGGCCAAAGTGGGAGGATTGATTGAAGCCAGGAGCTTGAGATCAGCCTGGGCAACACAGCCAGATCCCATCTCTACAATCAATCAATCAATCAATCAATCCATTAGACCACGTAAATATCACACTTACAGCTACTCAGTGGCATTCCACTGCTCTTAGAACAACGATCAACTCCTTATCCTGGTCCCTAAGGTCCTACACAGCTTGGCTCTTAGTACCTCTCCAATCTCACATCAAACCATTGTCATCCCACTTCATACGTTCAAGATCTTTCCCACTTCAGGGTCTTTGCATCTGCTGTTGTTGCTCTCTCCCAACTCTTCTCATTGCTGGCTCCCTCTCTTCACCTTCTCAGAGGAGCTTTTTCTAACATCCTATTAAAAGTAGTGCACACCTCCTCCAGTTAATTCCTCTTATATTACCCACTTTGTATTCTTCAAAGCACTGATCACAATCTATAATTATCTTGTTAATTTATTTGTTTACTTGCTTATTGTTGGCCTTTTTCAATGGAATCTAAATTACCAGAGGACAAGGGACTATGGCTGGCTTGCTCTCCACTCTTCCTAACTCCTAGAACAACGCATGGTACATAGTAGGTGCTTAGTAAATAGTTGTTGAATGATTAAATGAATGGATGAATGAATGCACAGCTCTTAAAAGGAAACTGCTGGCCAGGTGCGGTGGCTCACACCTGTAATCCTAGCACTTTGGTAGGCTGAAGCAGGCAGATCACCTGAGGTAAGGAGTTCAAGACCAGCCTGGCAAACATGACAAAACCCCATCTCTACTAAAAATACAAAAATTAGCTGGGTGTGGTGGCATGTGCCTGTAGTCCCAGCTACTTGGGAGGCTAAGCTAGGAGAATCGCTTGAACCCAGGAGGCAGAGGTTGTAGTGAACTGAGCTCATGCCACTGCACTCCAGCCTGGTGACAGAGCGAGACTCTGTCACAAACAAACAAACAAACAAAAAAAAAAAAAATGGAAACTGCTAAGGGCTTGGAGAACAAGAAGGCCTTGAGAAAACTGAGAAGATGGGGGGAGGAGCCAAGATGGCCAAATAGGAACAGCTCCGGTCTACAGCTCCCAGCGTGAGCAACGCAGAAGACAGGTGATTTCTGCATTTCCATCTGAGGTTCATCTCACTAGGGAGTGCCAGACAGTGGGCACAGGTCAGTGGGTGCGCGCACCGTGCGTGAGCCGAAGCAGGGCGAGGCATTGCCTCACTCAGGAAGCACAAGGGGTCAGGGAGTTCCCTTTCCTAGTCAAAGAAAGGGGTGACAGAGGGCACCTGGAAAATCGGGTCACTCTCACCCGAATACTGCGCTTTTCCGACGGGCTTAAAAAACGGCGCACCAGGAGATTATATCCCGCACTTGGCTCAGAGGGTCCTACGCCCACAGAGTCTCGCTGATTGCTAGCACAGCAGTCTGAGATCAAACTGCAAGGTGGCAGCGAGGCTGGAGGAGGGGCGCCCGCCATTGCCCAGGCTTGCTGAGGTAAACAAAACAGCCGGGAAGCTCGAACTGGGTGGAGCCCACCACAGCTCAAGGAGGCCTGCCTGCCTCTGTAGGCTCCACCTCTGGGGGCAGGGCACAGACAAACAAAAAGACAGCAGTAACCTCTGCAGACTGAAATGTCCCTGTCTGACAGCTTTGAAGAGAGCAGTGGTTCTCCCAGCACGCAGCTGGAGATCTGAGAACGGGCAGACTGCCTCCTCAAGTGGGTCCCTGACCCCTGACCCCCGAGCAGCCTAACTGGGAGGCACCCCCCAGCAGGGGCAGACTGACACTTCACACGGCCGGGTACTCTAACAGACCTGCAGCTGAGGGTCCTGTCTGTTAGAAGGAAAACTAACAAACAGAAAGGACATCCACACAAAAAACCCATCTGTACATCACCATCGTCAAAGACCAAAAGTAGATAAAACCACAAAGATGGGGAAAAAACAGAGCAGAAAAACTGGAAACTCTAAAAAGCAGAGCTCCTCTCCTCCTCCAAAGGAATGCAGTTCCTCACCAGGAATGGAACAAAGCTGGACGGAGAATGACTTTGACGAGCTGAGAGAAGAAGGCTTCAGACGATCAAATTACTCCGAACTATGGGAGGACATTCAAACCAAAGGCAAAGAAGTTGAAAACTTTGAAAAGAATTTAGAAGAATGAATAACTAGAATAACCAACACAGAGAAGTGCTTAAAGGAGCTGATGGAGCTGAAAACCAAGGCTCGAGAACTACGTGAAGAATGTAGAAGCCTCAGGAGCTGATGCGATCAACTAGAAGAAAGGGTATCAGCGATGGAAGATGAAATGAATGAAATGAAGCGAGAAGGGAAGTTTAGAGAAAAAGGAATAAAAAGAAACGAGCAAAGCCTCCAAGAAATATAGGACTATGTGAAAAGACCAAATCTACATCTGATTGGTGTACCTGAAAGTGACGGGGAGAATGGAACCAAGTTGGAAAACACTCTGCAGGATATTATCCAGGAGAACTTCCCCAATCTAGCAAGGCAGGCCAACGTTCAGATTCAGGAAATACAGAGAACGCCACAAAGATACTCCTCGAGAAGAGCAACTCCAAGACACGTAATTGTCAGATTCACCAAAGTTGAAATGAAGGAAAAAATGTTAAGAACAGCCAGAGAGAAAGGTCGGGTTACCCTCAAAGGGAAGCCCATCAGACTAACAGCGGATCTCTCGGCAGAAACTCTACAAGCCAGAAGAGAGTGGGGGTCAATATTCAACATTCTTAAAAAAAAGAATTTTCAACCCAGAATTTCATATCCAGCCAAACTAAGCTTCATAAGTGAAGGAGAAATAAAATCCTTTACAGACAAGCAAATGCTGAGAGATTTTGTCACCACCAGGCCTGCCCTAAAAGAGCTCCTGAAGGAAGCACTAAACATGGAAAGGAACAACCAGTACCAGCTGCTGCAAAATCATGCCAAAATGTAAAGACCATTGAGACTAGGAAGAAACTGCATCAACTAATGAGCAAAATAACCAGCTAACATCATAATGACAGGATCAAATTCACACATAACAATATTAACTTTAAATGTAAATGGACTAAATGCTCCAATTAAAAGACACAGACTGGCAAATTGGATAAAGAGTCAAGACCCATCAGTGTGCTGTATTCAGGAAACCCATTTCACGTGCAGAGACACACATAGGCTCAAAATAAAAGGATGGAGGAAGATCTACCAAGCAAATGGAAAACAAAAAAAGGCAGGGGTTGCAATCCTAGTCTCTGATAAAACAGACTTTAAACCAACAAAGATCAAAAGAGACAAAGAAGGCCATTACATAATGGTAAAGGGATCAATTCAACAAGAAGAGCTAACTATCCCAAATATATATGCACCCAATACAGGAGCACCCAGATTCATAAAGCAAGTCCTGAGTGACCTACAAAGAGACTTAGATTCCCATGCATTAATAATGGGAGACTTTAACACCCCACTGTCAACATTAGACAGATCAACAAGACAGAAAGTTAACAAGGATACCCAGGAATTGAACTCAGCTCTGCACCAAGCAGACCTAATAGACATCTACAGAACTCTCCACCCCAAATCAACAGAATATACATTTTTTTCAGCACCACACCACACCTATTCCAAAATTGACCACATACTTGAAAGTAAAGCTCTCCTCAGCAAATGTAAAAGAACAGAAATTATAACAAACTATCTCTCAGACCACAGTTCAATCAAACTAGAACTCAGGATTAAGAATCTCACTCAAAACCGCTCAACTACATGGAAACTGAACAACCTGCTCCTGAATGACTACTGGGTACATAACGAAATGAAGGCAGAAATAAAGATGTTCTTTGAAACCAACGAGAACAAAGACACAACATACTAGAATCTCTGGGACGCATTCAAAGCAGTGTGTAGAGGGAAATTTATAGCACTAAATGCCCACAAGAGAAAGCAGGAAAGATCTAAAATTGACACCCTATAATCACAATTAAAAGAACTAGAAAAGCAAGAGCAAACACATTCAAAAGCTAGCAGAAGGCAAGAAATAACTAAAATCAGAGCAGAATTGAAGGAAATAGAGACACAAAAAAACCCTCCAAAAAATTAATGAATCCAGGAGCTGGTTTTTTGAAAGGATCAACAAAATTGATAAACCGCTAGCAAGACTAATAAAGAAAAAAGAGAGAAGAATCAAATAGACACAATAAAAAATGATAAAGGGGATATCATCACCGATCCCACAGAAACAGAAACTACCATCAGAGAATACTACAAACACCTCTATGCAAATAAACTAGAAAATCTAGAAGAAATGGATAAATTCCTTGACACATACACTCTCCCAAGACTAAACCAGGAAGAAGCTGAATCTCTGAATAGACCAATAACAGGATCTGAAATTGTGGCAATAATCAATAGCTTACCAACCAAAAAGAGTCCAGGACCAGATGGATTCACAGCCGAATTCTACCAGAGGTACAAGGAGGAACTGGTACCATTCCTTCTGAAACTATTCCAATCAATAGAAAAAGAGGGAATCTTCCCTAACTCATTTTATGAGGCCAGCATCATCCTGATACCAAAGCTGGGCAGAGACACAACCAAAAAAGAGAATTTTAGACCAATATCCTTGATGAACATTGATGCAAAAATCCTCAATAAAATACTGGCAAACCAAATCCAGCAGCACATCAAAAAGCTTATCCACCATGATCAAGTGGGCTTCATCCCTGGGATGCAAGGCTGGTTCAATATACACAAATCAATAAATGTAATCCAGCATATAAACAGAATCAAAGACAAAAACCACATGATTATCTCAATAGATGCAGAAAAGGCCTTTGACAAAATTCAACAATGCTTCATGCTAAAAACTCTCAATAAATTAGGTATTGATGGGATGTATTTCAAAATAATAAGAGCTATCTATGACAAACCCACAGCCAATATCATACTGAATGGGCAAAAACTGGAAGCATTCCCTTTGAAAACTGGCACAAGACAGGGATGCCCTCTCTCACCACTCCTATTCAACATAGTGTTGGAAGGTCTGGCCAGGGCAATTAGTCAGGAGAAGGAAATAAAGGGTATTCAATTAGGAAAAGAGGAAGTCAAATTGTTCCTGTTTGCAGACGACATGATTGTATATCTAGAAAACCCCATTGTCTCAGCCCAAAATCTCCTTAAGCTGATAAGCAACTTCAGCAAAGTCTCAGGATACAAAATCAATGTACAAAAGTCACAAGCATTCTTATACACCAACAACAGACAAACACAGAGCCAAATCATGAGTGAACTCCCATTCACAATTGCTTCAAAGAGAATAAAATACCTAGGAATCCAACTTATAAGGGATGTGAAGGACCTCTTCAAGGAGAACTACAAACCACTGCTCAAGGAAATAAAAGAGGATACAAACAAATGGAAGAACATTCCATGCTCATGGGTAGGAAGAATCAATATCGTGAAAATGGCCATACTGCCCAAGCTAATTTACAGATTCAATGCTATCCCCATCAAGCTACCAATGACTTTCTTCACAGAATTGGAAAAAACTACTTTAAAGTTCATATGGGACCAAAAAAGAGCCCGCATCGTCAAGTCTATCCTAAGCCAAAAGAACAAAGCTGGAGGCATCACGTTACCTGACTTCAAACTATACTACAAGGCTACAGTAACCAAAACAGCATGGTACTGGTGCCAAAACAGAGATATAGATCAATGGAACAGAACAGAGCCCTCAGAAATAAGGCCGCATATCTACAAGTATCTGATCTTTGACAAACCTGAGAAAAACAAGCAATGGGGAAAGGATTCCCTATTTAATAAATGGTGCTGGGAAAACTGGCTAGCCATATGTAGAAAGCTGAAACTGGATCCCTTCCTTACACCTTATACAAAAATTAATTCAAGATGGATTAAAGACTTAAATGTTAGACCTAAAACCATAAAAACCCTAGAAGAAAACCTAGGCATTACCATTCAGGACATAGGCATGGGCAAGGACTTCATGTCTAAAACACCAAAAGCAATGGCAACAAAAGCCAAAATTGGCAAATGGGATCTAATTAAACTAAAGAGCTTCTGCACAGCAAAAGAAACTACCATCAGAGTGAATAGGCAACCTACAAAATGGGAGAAAATTTTCGCAACCTACTCATCTGACAAAGGGCTAATATCCAGAATCTACAATGAACTCAAACAAATTTACAAGAAAAAAACAAACAACCCCATCAAAAAATGGGCGAAGGACATGAACAGACACTTCTCAAAAGAAGACATTTATGCAGCCAAAAAACACATGAAAAAATGCTCACCATCACTGGCCATCAGAGAAATGCAAATCAAAACCACAATGAGATACCATCTCACACCAGTTAGAATGGCAATCATTAAAAAGTCAGGAAACAACAGGTGCTGGAGAGGATGTGGAGAAATAGGAACACTTTTACACTGTTGGTGGGACTGTAAACTAGTTCAACCATTGTGGAAGTCAGTGTGGCGATTCCTCAGGGATCTAGAACTAGAAATACCATTTGACCCAGCCATCCCATTACTGGTTATATACCCAGAGGACTATAAATCATGCTGCTATAAAGACACATGCACACGTATGTTTATTGTGGCATTATTCACAATAGCAAAGACTTGGAACCAACCCAAATGTCCAACAATGATAGACTGGATTAAGAAAATGTGGCACATATACACCATGGAATACTATGCAGTCATAAAAAATGATGAGTTCATGTCCTTTGTAGGGACATGAATGAAATTGGAAATCATCATTCTCAGTAAACTATCGCAAGAACAAAAAACCAAACACCGCATATTCTCACTCATAGGTGGGAATTGAACAATGAGAACACGTGGACACAGGAAGGGGAACATCACACTCTGGGGACTGTTGTGGGGTGAGGGCAGGGGGGAGGGATAGCATTGGGAGGTATACCTAATGCTAGATGACGAGTTGGTGGGTGCAGCGCACCAGCATGGCACGTGTATACATATGTAACTAACCTGCACATTGTGCACATGTACCCTAAAACTTAAAGTATAATAATAATAAATAAATAAATAAATAAGAAAACTGAGAAGACAAATAGTGAACATTTAGGGGAGAATTTAAATGATGGATAGAAATATTAGTGACATTGATAGGTGGGTTGTTGGAAGGAAAGAGAATAAGTGAGCACCTACATGAACTTGAAGGATGGGCAACATTTCAGAGAAACTGTTAGCCCTAAGCAGGGATTTAAAGGGAGAGAAAGGAAGGAGCCTTCCAGGAGGGACAGAAAAGAGAAAGTAAAGTCTCAAAAGAAAGAAATTAATATTTAAGGAAAAGAATATAGACTTTGGAGCCAGCAGGTTTGAATTTCAGTCCTGGCTCTGCCTCCTGCCGGCTGTTTGAGCCTAGTCAAATCCCTTACCATGCCAGAATCCCAGGGGCCTCAGTGTAACATGGCTGGACTTGGCCTCACGGCTGTTATAGGGTTAAATGAGAGAATGGACTATGAAGGTGACATTTCTATAACATAGTCATGTATTTGAGTATCAAGATTGATTGGATTAATCTGGCTGGATATTCTTCCTCTATCCCTGCCTCAAGCCACCCCTCCTAAAACTGCCTCCCCCATCAGGGCAAGTTTTACTCAGAGTCCTTGGAGTAGTTGCATAGGAAAACTGCTCTGGTCTAATAGAATTTCCAGCTATGTTAAAGCACAGTGTAAACATCCAAGTCCTTAAAAAAATGAGTCATTATAGAAACAATCAAGATTGAAGAAAATCTTTGGGAAGGGCATAGTGAGTGGGAATTGAGAAAGAATTATGGTCTCCTTCATTTTGATTTCTTACCTCCTAGCCCTTCTTTTCCCAATCCAGTTTTCTCCCCAGAGATGCTTCACATTCTTTGTTCAGGCCTTTTCACTTCTCTTCCAGTCAACACAACCTTCACTTCTTTTACAGGTCACCTCCTCCTGGAAGACTTCCTGAAATGATTCCCACTTGTCCTTCAATCTGTCAACAGAATCCTCCCTCACTCTTCCCCCGTCACTGCACCTTTAAAATTTGGTAATGACAGATTTAGGTTGATGATGGATACACTTTATCTGCCTTCTTACACACCCTAATTCAGTAATGCTAAATTTTGTTGATGATGGATACACTTTACCTGCCTTATCACACTTCCTAAGGGCAGGGACCATGACTGTCCTGTGATCAGTCTCCCAAACTCCTCTATCATACTTATCTCTCCCTCTGGAAAGCTTCTAAAGACTAGTGGGGCTTTTAAAAGCATGAGGATGTTGCTAATATGGAGGAGAGAGACTGAAGGATAAATGAAAGGATAGAAGAAAAAAATGAAGAGAAGGAAAAGAAGGGATGGGTCAAGGCCTGTCCCACCTCTGACATTCCCTAGTGCCATGCATGGGTATCAAGCTGTCACACTCCACAACACCACAAGTAGGAATCCTGGAAGGAGTTGGAAAGGGGTGGGAACAGTTATTTAGGAGACACCTACATTAAGGAAGGAAGATGTGGATCCTAGCAGAGAGACAGGATCCCGTCATGGTCAACTGGATCAAGCCAAGCCAAGCTGACACACGTAAAATCACATCCACCCTTCTGGCTCTCTGGAAATAGAATGAACTCAGTGGTGATTAGAGCATCAAGTATAGAGTTGTTAGGGATTCTGGAAAGGGAGGGAGAAGGTCTTGAGAAGTGAGATGTTTCCAGGCAGAGTCTGTCTCCAAATGCCTTTTCCCTTACTGGTGTCCTGGAACCATTAGGTATGAACTCATTGTAACCTGGACGTAAAGGTTGAGCTGATGCTTTGTTAGCAGGAATCCTCACCATCTGGTTATGGAAGGCAAATGACAACTAGTCATGAACTTCCTAGCCAGACTGAGCACCATATGTCTTATAACACCTGAGCGTTTCCCAGCACTATGCCTGGCATCTGCCAGTGAGGCATGACTATTGGTTGAGAAGGATAAGAAGGTCTAAGCAGAGTCAATCAAATGACCCTCTCAGGTTGTCCAATCAGTGTAATGAGCAATTCAACAACTGGACCTAAGTTTATTAAGGCTCACTGTGTGCCAGGTGCTATTCTAGGTGCAGGGAAAGCAGCAGCAAACATGAAGGTTAGGTCCCTGTTCACTCACCTTCTATTGGACAGAGACACATCAAAAGTCCATAAATAGATCACTGCAGACAGTAATAAATAGCATGAAGATAATAAATATGGGTAAAGAGATAGTGAATACCTTTGAGAAAGACCACTTGAGATACAAGTGGTAAAAGAAGTCCTCTCTGAATGTTACCTTTGGGTTGAGACATGAGTGAGAAAATGGAGAAAGCCATGTGAAGCTCTGGAGGAGCAGGGGCCCAGGCAGAGGGAACAGTGAGTGCAAAGGCGGTGCAGCCGCACCAGCAGTGGCTCGGGGAACGAGAAGTAGAAGGCACTGCAGCCAGAGCACAAGGAGCAAAATGGAGTGACCAGCCCACATGAACAGCCGTCATTCAAGACCATGGTTCTCCTGTTAGCTAAACACTGCAACCATCTGGAAAGCTTTTAAAAGTACTGACACCTGGGACCCACCCCCAAGGTGTCCGTTTAATTGGTCTGAGGTGTCACTTGGGCATCAGGAGTTTTAAAGTTTCCCAGATAATTCTAATGTGCAACTGAAGCTGTTAACCGCTGACAAGCCCATGAGGGCCATAGCAAGGCACTTGGATTGGTGACAATTGAGGTTCTTGAGGAGTCTCAGAGACATTTCTCCAGTACTTCAAGCCCAGATCCAAAAAGATCCTGAGAGGCCTTGGAGTTGGGGATAAGCCAGGACAATGAAGGAAAAGAGATAACATGAGACTGAAAAGAAGGTCAAGAGAGGCAGAGACATCCAGAAAATATGACAAACTGGAAGGTGCAACAACACAGAAGTGCAAACAGACTCAGAGAGTCAGAGACTGGAGGAGAAAAGGCAATCTTGTGTATTAGTTTCCTATTGATACTGTAACAAATTACCACAAACTTAGGAGCTTGAAACAATACACATTTGTTACTTTATTATTCTGTAGTTCAGAGTCTGAAATGGGTCTTACTGGGCAAAAATTAAGGTGTCAGCAGTGCTAGGTTCCTTCTGAATGGTCTGCTAGAGAATCCATTCCCTCGTCTTTTGCAGCTTCCAGAGGTTACCCACTTCCTTAGCTTGTGGCTTCCTGCCTCAGTCTCCAAAGCCAGCAATGTCAGGCTGATCACTTCTCATGCTGCTATCTCTCTATGCTACCTATCAGAGCATAGAAGTGCATCTTTTACAAAATAGATTTCAGTCACAACTGTAGTCTTATGCTTGGGTATCTGTGTGTTTTATGAGCACTGAGCCGGGAGGGTTGTTCCAAGATGAATGTACGTGTGTTTGTTTGTGTAGGTTTGTTTATCAGGGTGTCATATTTGAGTGTCTCCCCGATAAGTATGGGGGAGGCAGAAGAAGAGTGCCTGGAGGGGGTGCCTAATAAAGTCCTGCTGCTCCATAAAGACTTACTGCTGTTATACTGTTATTCTTATTAATAATAAAACTGATGATAGAGTATCTGTCTCTTTGCCTGTTTTCTTTGAGCATGTCCGTCTGTTCCTAAATAATACTGGACATTTATCCCAGTGATATTCAATGCATATGAGGCTATTCATACACATTATATTTAGCTGTGATGTTTGTATTACATGAATGCTTCTGTCTGCAAGTTTGTGCACATTTGGGCATTTGGACACTGATGGATGCAGACACATGTTATATAACAGTGTGGGTGATCATAGTTGTAGACATCTGGATGTTTACTTATGCACAAACCCCCATGAGTATCCAGTTAGCTAGGCCTGGCATTGGAAGGGTAGAGAAGCTAGGAAGAGGAGGGAGCAGGGAGGAAGAGGAGAGGTGGGGAGAGGAGCAGGTAAGGAGAAAAAGAGAGAATGGAGGTGAGGAATGAAGGCACAAAGGAACACCAGAAAAAAATCAGGAAGCAGGAGGGGGTCCCAGGGATCTGCAACTGAAAAAGGCAGGGTTGAGTCACAGCAAGAACACAAGTCAGAAGACCAGGGTAGGGCTCCACTTCTGGTCATTCCCTTGCTATGTGACCTTGGCTATTCCAGTTCTCTGGGCCTCTGTGAACTACCAGAGTTGAAATAGATAATACCGGGTACATTCCAAAGAAGGAAGGAAAGAGAAAACTGGTAATAAAATCACACACGGGGAAAAACAGAGAGAAAGAACCAGAAAGAGAGACTTACGAAGAAAGTAAGGAGAGGCCCTGGGAGCTGGCCAGAGGTAGAGCTGAAAGAGCTCTGCCCCGACTCCCTGAGGCCGAAGTGTGGGCGCCTGCTCCCCACCCCTTACCCCAGAGCTGCAGAATGCCCTTAAGCCCTTAATAGGTAAGGAAGGAAGATGGAAAGGCGAGAGGCACCAGGAATGAAAACCACACATCAACACTCAGAGGCTTGCCAAAGCCACACAAACCAGGATCTGTGCTTCCGGCCCCCAGCCCCCAGATGTAGGTGTGCCAGCCACCTGGAATGACTCGCACCTTGGCAATGTGGGCGCACATGCCAAGAGTGAGCCTGGGCACCCGGCCCATGCGCGTACCACAGGCGGAGGGGAAGGTAAAATTGGGGCTCTTCGGGGGGTCACAGGGGGCTACCCTCCCCACACAGGGCTACCCCGCCCCAGAGCGCCCTCTAGTGACCGCCTCCTAGGCTCTGGGAACCAGGTGTGCTATTCTCCCCTCCCTGCTCCCCCAAACCTTACCCGGGAAGCAGGAGAACCAGATGAGGCGTTACGCAAGGCCTGGTGTTTACCTCCCGTGGGAGCCTCCTCCCTCCCTATAAAGCCTGATGTGGTGGAGAGATTTGACGAGACTGAGACTCTGGTTGAAGAGAGAGGCAATCCCAGGAGAGGGGCGGAAAGCGGCAAAAGTTAATGCGGGAGTCGGAGAGAAGGGCATCTACACAGCAAGCAGCAGGGGCGGCCCGCCATCTGCGCGCTCGAAGGCGGTCACGGTGGTCGCGGAAGGGGCGGCGTCCAGATCCTGGCTTTCCATGGATGCGCCCGAGCTGGGCCCGGGGCTGGTGGAGCGTCTGGAGCAGCTGGCGACGTGTCCTCTGTGCGGGGGCTCCTTCGAGGACCCGGTGCTTCTGGCGTGCGAGCACAGCTTCTGCCGCGCGTGTCTGGCCCGCCGCTGGGGGACTCCGCCGGCGACCGGCACCGAGGCTTCCCCCACCGCCTGTCCCTGCTGCGGCCTGCCGTGTCCCCGCCGCAGCCTGAGGTCTAATGTGCGGCTGGCGGTGGAGGTGCGAATCAGCCGCGAGCTGCGAGAGAAGCTGGCTGAGCCTGGGGCCCGTGCGGGGAGACGCCGAGGGGGGCGCATCCCCACCATGGGCTGCCTGGACCTGCCCGGAGAGGTGAGGCTGGGCGCGCGTCGCGGAGTTGTTGGTGGAAGCGGGAGATTCCCGGGGAAGCCGGGAATGGCACGTCTGGAGCCGGAGGCCCTGTGGAAGTTTAGGCAAAGGATGGGGTGGGGAGAGAAAAGCAAAGGATGAGGGGGCGAGGACCCTGGGTCCTCAAGGTGAGAGGCGCCCGGAAGGACGATGGATGGAGTTGACACTTGGTCCACAGGGGAGGAGGCTGGACCGATGCCTGAGCCTTGTGAGAGGGGCTGGAGAGAAGAGACTGGGGAGGCAGAGAAGGGGTACCGGATAGAACGCGGAGAGCCCTGGAGTCGCCGCGAAGGGCATGGGAACTGCAGAAGTTTTGGCAGGGCAGCCGCAGGCGCCCGGGAGGAGGAGAGCTGGCGGAGGGGAGGGAGCGGCGGGCGGAAGGGAGAGCCGACCCAGCTGAGGGTGAGGAGGGGTCCTGGGAGGATGGTGGGCGAGGGCAGAACCTGCTTAGAGGAGCGGGAGCAGGAGGCTGGGCTGGTGGGTTGGGGGCGGAGAAAAAGCTGGGGAGGAGGGGACTGACAAGAGGATGGAGGAAGGGAGCAAGGGGTTGGGGCATATCCAAACCTCCCCGTAGCGTCGTGGGGGTTGGTCTCGGACTCTGGCTCAAGCTAAGCCCTGTGTTGTTTGTTATTGTTATTTCGGCTCCTCCCAAGGCCCCAGGCAGGAGCGGCCAGGGGTGGAGGCGAGGTGCGGGAGAACAGCCGCTGGGGCCTCTGGCTCCTCTCCACATCCCAGTCTTACCACCCATCTACCCCCCGCGCCTCTCCTGGGCCCCGGCTCCTTGGCCACTAACCAGCCCATTCCCTTGCCCGACCGACCCCTGGGCGTCTGGGACTCCTGACTGGCTTCTTCCCAGCAGCCAAGCTGGTCTTGGGTCTTGCTTCTGCCCTTTGAAGTCTTCATAGACCTAATTAGTCTGAAAGTAATTGGCACAATTATGCAAATTGTTTCTCTCTCCCCCGCTCCACCATATCGGCCTGCTCCAGCCATCAGCACTAGACAGTGAAGTGGAGGGGTCGGTATCCCAGTGTTTGGAGGGGAGCATCCAGTGCCCTCTCCTGGCTCCCATAGTACTCTGTGGATCTGCTGGGCCTTTTGGGACACATTCAAGTCTAGCTGCCTCCCTGGCCAGGGTCCAGAGACACAAAGCAAAGGGCCCAATAAATGCCACTGGGCTTTTATTGCAAGAGGGGAAGCAGCTTTATTGTAAGGCTTTTATATACCAACTCTTAGCCCGAGGGCTCTGGGTGTGTGTTTGGTCTGTGTGATGGAGGGAGGAAGGGACAGATGTTTTTCTGGGATGCACTGGGGAAGGTAGATAAGGATGGGGCCGCTGAAAGAGACAGAGAATGGGACTGAGGAGGCAGCAAGGAAGGCAAGGGCTCTGAGGACAAGAAACAGTCATGGACGAGCCTGGGAAAAGAGAATTGAGAACCCTTGGGGAGTGGAAAGGGGGAGGACAGTGGGGATGGAGTTAGGAGGATGAGGGAAAAGTGATGGGGTGAGAGGAAGGAGGGATCATGAAAGGTGAAGGAGGAGAATGAGAGGGAAAGGAGCACAGTGTGTAAAGAGGTGAGATCACTCTGAAAGGTGAGGAGGGACACTGCTAACTCAGACAGAACTCACCTGAGGAGGGGAGAGATAGGGAAGGATGCCCCAGGGAATGAAGCCCAGAGCTCACATCCATGTTTGTTTCTGCCCATCCTAGGATATGAGGAAGACATGGAGACGGTGAGTTCCACTTTTCTGTTCCCTCCTTTTCTCACCAGCTGCCATAGCCATCACGTTCTCACTGGGCCCACACCTTTGTTCCCATTAATAGGCAGGTTTTCTGGGGTATAGTCTCATCCCTTCTTCCTCCAGAGATGTGAGTGGGGTATGCGTGGGGGCATTAGGATCAGAGGGCTGATTTCCTGACCCTTCCCCTCATCTGTGTAGATTTGAAGTCCCAACATCCAAGTCATCTAATTCAGAGGATGATCTCCCTGAAGATTATCCAGTGGTCAAAAAAATGCTTCATAGACTGACAGGTAAGGAAAGAAGAAGGGAGGGAAGGGAATTGAATGAAAGTCTGTGTTAGATTTTCTTCCTTTTAGCCCTAAAAAGTGATCAGGTCCTTTTTGATGTCTGCATTAGTTTCCTAGTACTGCTCTAATGAAGCACCGCAAAGTAGGTGGCTGAAACAACAGACATTTATCTCAAAGTTCAGGAGGTAGAAGTCTGAAATCAAGGTGTCAGCAGTGTTGGTTCCTTCTGACGGCCATGAGACAGAATCTGTTCCATGCCTGTCTCCTAGCCTCTGGTAGCCTCACATGTTCTTTGGGTGATAGGTCTGCACATTTTCTTTTGTATGCATTTGTCTCTGTGTCCAAATTTCCTCTTTTTGTAAGTCAGCAATCTGGATTAGAGCCCACCCTAATGACCTTCATTTTAACTTGATTACCTATGTAAAGATCCTGTTTCAAAACAAGGTAACATTCTGAGGTTTGGAGGACTTCAACCTATCTTTGTGTGTGTGTGTGGAGTGGGGGAGGGCACAGTTCAGCCTATAACAATGTCTATCCTCGATTCCTCATATTCCAGCCATTTTCCCTCTTCCTTTTTCATACATTCAAACAACAGATCCCTGAAGGTTAGGTGCCTCTCAAAAATCTCTGCTTCCACCACCTCTCGTCACTCCTCCCTGGAAGGGGACCCCAGCATCTCCTTGACCCTTCTTTCCTCACTCACTCCCAAGAAGAAGGGTGCCTCTACCCTTCTTTAAACTGCCTAGAGAAGGTGGTCCACCATCTTGGTCATCCACCATCTTGCCCAGTCCAGATTGCTTCTGACACCCCTAATCCAGAAATTTTTCTTCAAAGCACCCCATACATATAAGGCCAATGGTTCTTTTTCTGGTCTCTGGCTATCACCACCTGCTCTCCTCCTCTGCCCCACAACCCCTACAGAAATAGGACTGTCCACCCCACCCCCCAATTCCTGTGGGTGGGTGGGCTGGTTTCTCAGGATACCTTGGATTCCTCCCTGTGCCCCTCCCATTACTTGAGGTTCCAGTATCAGTACGACTTTCTCTTTAGATGAACCTTCCCCATTTTGCTGACCCAGCTCCCATGCCCCACCCCAGATGATGCAGATTGAGGTATCAGTCCTTACTCCTCCCTCGAAGTCAGATCAGCCTCACTCTTCCTCCCCCAACCCCACAAACGAGACAACCTCTCATTTGATCTTCCTGCTGTGCTCCCTGCACTGGGCCAGTATGATCCTTCCCCAGGTCCAATTCTACAGAAGTGGTGCATCAGTACAAGGTCTGATATTGCCCAGGTCTGCTCTTCATATGCCTTCCTTCTTTTTGGTCCTGCAGTCGCCTTTTGAGCTGTTGTGTGGTCACTAGCTCTCAGTCTTTTACGTGATCTTCGTTGACTATTCTCCACCCTACCCCGCCTGTGATTTAGAAAACTCTCTCATGAGGTCCTCTCCCTGCCTCCCCGTCTCCAGCCGACCTGACCCTGGACCCTGGGACCGCACACCGCCGCCTGCTCATCTCCGCCGACCGCCGCAGCGTACAACTGGCCCCACCAGGGACGCCCGCGCCCCCTGACGGCCCCAAGCGCTTCGATCAGCTCCCAGCTGTGCTGGGTGCGCAGGGCTTCGGGGCCGGCCGCCACTGCTGGGAGGTGGAGACTGCGGACGCCGCCTCCTGCAGAGACTCTTCTGGGGAGGATGCGGACGACGAGGAGAGCCACTATGCAGTGGGCGCGGCCGGGGAATCAGTGCAACGCAAGGGCTGCGTAAGGCTGTGCCCTGCGGGGGCCGTGTGGGCCGTGGGGGGCCGCGGCGGCCGCCTGTGGGCCCTCACGGCACCCGAACCCACCCTGCTGGGCGGTGTTGAGCCCCCGCCGCGGCGCATTCGCGTGGACCTGGACTGGGAGCGGGGCCGCGTGGCCTTCTACGACGGCCGCTCACTCGACCTGCTTTACGCCTTCCAGGCGCCTGGCCCCCTGGGGGAGCGCATCTTCCCGCTGTTCTGCACCTGCGACCCTCGTGCTCCGCTCCGCATTGTACCAGCGGAAAGCTGAGTCTCGTCTCCAACTAGAAGTTTGGCCCGGCCACTGGCCCTGCAGCTGCTTTTTGGGGGTGGAATTCCCCACTCATTTCTGGGAACACATTCACACGCCCATTGCAGGAGTATTAATAGCAACCCACATTTTCGCCCCAAAATAATGAGACCTCACCTGGTCTCCACGTTTCCACGTCCCTGCTCAAAACCAAATCCATTCCTGCCTTCTGGCTCTCAGAATCTTCTCTCCCCTACAGCTACTACAGTACTTCCTGACTTCTCCCATTCAAACCATTCTAGGCCTGCAATGGGGAACAGGCCCTCCCCATCAGTATTGGTAAAGTGACCATGATTCCTACATAGAGGCTCTGCTGGTCAAATACTTGACTCCCACTCTTGCCACTCCTAGCTCCAGAAGGGCTCAGGGCCTTCCCCACAGATCTAAGGACTGGGCTACCCTGCCTGTCCACTGAGGTTTCTCCTAAAACAAGAGGCTTGACTCTGGTCTGGGCCCTGTGGCCCTCTGGGAAGCTTTGTACCTCTTTTGCAGGATCTGGGGGTGGGGAGGGACAAGCTAGTTCCCCAACCTCCTATGACTGCTTTCTATGCTCACAGCCTTTTTTCCATAAGAACCTTCTTGAAACTTCTCCCCGCACATACTCACGGAAAGGAACCAATGGTGCTATTTCCCCTCTCTCCTCCTCAACCTGGGAATACTTCAGACATCTCCAAACTCATCCTTGTGTATAGTCTCACACCCTTCCCCATAAGTATAAATGGGCCCATATTTAACACATTTTGTGATTTTGGGTTATTTATTTTGTGCATCTGTGGCAATAAATGAGATCTCAGTGGTGGTATGGATTTGACTGATCTCTGTAACTGTGTATGGCAAAAGGACCGGAAAATGAAAACCAGATCCCAGTAAGGGGTAGAGAGGGGCCAAGAGAACTGAACATCTGGGCTGCCGGAGAAATCAAAGTCTAGGAAGTAAGAGGTAAGAGTGTACTACAGGGGACATACCCCAATCTCTTTGCTCCCTCCCTCTTCCTTCCTCTCCCAGAGACCCAGGTCCCTGGGACTATATTGGATCTGTCTCTGAAGCTGAAAAACAAAAGGCAGAGGAGACAGTCGGCTCTAAGTGACCAATCTCAAGCCAGCTTTGTCAGAAATCCTAAATAACAGGAGAAGGGTGGGAAGAAAGGATATGATTATTTCTTATTCCATTTTCCATAAGAGGTGAGAATGACAAGGACCTCTTTTCTAACTCCTCTTGAGGGTGTGAGAAGGTTTAGCAGGAGGAGAAGGGCTGGGAGCTCTGAGGTCTCCTGTAAGACCTCATATCTCACAGGCAAGGACTAAGAATTAGGATTAAATATTTTAGTGGGATAGCTCTAAACCAGGATTAGCAAGCAAAGTTAGGGCGCAAATTCCTGGAATCTGACTGGGACCCTGGCAGTGAAAGCTGGGACTGTTGAAAACCCAATTTAAGTGTTCGCTACTCATGTTGAGAGTGCAGGGCCAAGATAACTAGATCCCAGGACAGGCAGTTTAGCAGTGAGAACAAAAGGAAGACACTGGGACCAAGGTGCCTAGATCCCTCGAGAGAGAAGGGTGGGTATTGGGAGGAAAAATGAGGACTGGGGAAACCCAGGAGGCTGGGTTCTGGAATAGCAGCAAGTCAGAATTTCAGGATCTCTGTTCGTCCTCCTCTTCCTCTTCCCTCTATCAGGCAGAAGAGAGGGAAGGAGGGGGCTGGAGAAGTAGCCACATGGATACATTTAGGGCCAGACAGACACAGGAATGCTGGAGGAGAGAGGGATTTAGTGCTGCATTGGCCCTGGAGGGGGCTGGGAAGGGTCAGGAGGCTGGGGAGGGGTGGTGGGGGTCGGTCCTAGGGTTGCACGACGCCGTCCTTTGCGGTGGCCACGTACACAGTGTGTATGACCACAGCCCTCTTCTTCCTCCTCATCACTTTCCGTGGAGCTCTCGCCAAAGGCCCGAGGTTTCTCATAAATACAGCAGCCTAGATTTAGAGGGAGGAGCCCAGTTAAAGAGGAGGAAGGGTAAGATATATAGTCAGTTCCATTCCCACTCAAACTCAGTGAAAATTCCTATTTTCTCCTACCTTCCAGGATCCAGCTTCCCCAGGCCCACCCTCTGGGACTCAGGCCCCACCCCTCTTGTCCTCTTAGAGAGCCACGAATTCAAAGCCCCACTTCTCCCACCTCTGACACTTCTTGCTGTCAGACCTAGGCAATTCCAGTTCTAGCCCTTCCCTACCTCTTTCCCTGATACCACAGCACCACCAAAAAAGTGACAGAACTATGAACATCTGGGGGCTTCTGGAAAGCCAGTGGATATGAGTAGATACAAGATATGCTGAAGGGAGCCAGAACTCCAGGGCTACTGCGGGCCAACAATTACTCACATTTGGATGAGCGGCGGCCCATGTGTTCATTGTCCACAGTGTCACTTGTCCATTCTACCTTTTTCTCTGGCTTCCGTTTCCGAAGTTTGATGGTAAGGCTCCGGTTCTCCTAGAAGGTTAAGGATGAGCATACCTATCTAGTCCCCTCTTACTAACCTTTCCCACTCCCTCCCAGGGAACCTCCTCTCTTTTCTTCTTTAGCTCAATCAGTACCATAGGCATAGCACCAGAGGAGCTGACAGAAGATAAAACAGAACAGGTCTTTTACCTCAGATAGTCCCTTGAGGAATAAGTATTATTTCCTGTTCTTATACCACCAGTATAAGAGAAGACACAATTCCTAACCTAGGAAAGGTCCCAGCAACTCTTCAAAGGAAAATATAATCCTTGCTGTTTCTCCGTCTTCCTCCCCAAATCATCCTTGGTAGTATTAATACATGAAAATTATTTTTCAGTCCCCAGCACCTAATCTTTGATCTCCCTTCCTTTTTCCAGATCCCCTATTCTTTTTCTCTTAAAAAAACAAACAAAACCTCTCTCATTCTCAAGCTCCAGCCCTCCCTACCTCTTATCCACCTATTCTCTGGCATCCTGGCATCTCTAGTAGCAAGTATTACTAATCTATTAATTACTAAACTTCCTTTAATCCAAGAGTATTAAGCCCAATGCAACCTTCTCCCTTTGAAGGCAACTTAACATGTTTTTGGATAAATACTTCTTGTTTCTCCATTTACATCTTTGCTCTCTGATTTCTCAAAATACCTCTTTTCATCTCCTTTTCTTGTTTCCTCATTCCTGCCACTTCCTTTTACATTCATCCATTCAATAAATATTTATTCGAATATCAATATTGATAATATTGATAAGTTGGCCTCCAACCATGCTTTCTTACACTACCTTTGATTTCCTCCCAACATCTTCCTGGCTCCTTAATCCTCAATTTCCCTTTCGTTTATTACTTACACACATAACCACCCCAAGCAGCAACACTTATATCCTAACTGTACCTCCCTATTACAAGTTCCTTGACCTGCCTCCTGCACCATCTCTGCCACTCCAAATAGCTCCAATACCTTCCGATTCTCCCAGCCCTAGATATTCAACCCCACACCTCCCATATCCCTAGGCCTAGCTTCTCCAACAACTCTTCTAATCCCTGTCCCCTCCCTCCCAGTATCTCCCAGACCCCTAAACAGCACCGCCCCCCCGCCTTTCTCACGGGCTCGGTTGTCACGGTAACCGTTGTCTCAGTGACGGTCTCGCTCAGCCCAGCCCCTGCCTCGGCCATGGCTAAGGCTCAGGACAGGGAGGAGAGGAGGAAGGGGGATGAGACACCCTTCCCTTTTTCTGTCGCTGAGGTCTAAGAGAAGCGGTATCGGATTCAGAGTGGTAGCCAGGATCCTCCACCTTCTTTATTCCCCCTCCTCCTGGGCCTCCGCTTCTCCACCCCTGGGGATAACCTGGCTAACCCCACTTCCGGCTCGCCGCTTCCGGGTGTGACGCATACTGCAGTCCCCCTTTTTCCCTTCCACGGCACCAAATGCGTCAAAGCGCAGGCGTCGCTGGATTAGTTCCGCCGTAACGTGACAGCGCGCAGGCGCTGAAAGAAAGAGAAACAAATTTGGCGGAAGGGGTGTCACTGCGGGTGTGGGTGGAGGAGGGAGAGTCTGGGGCAGCACGCGTACTCACAGCCTAGAGGAAGCAGGAGGGGCGCCCAGATGGGTATTGCCGGGCCAGACGCTGCAGAGTGGGTGTGGCGAGGGCGGAGTTGTGTGCACCAAGCTGAGTCCTGCTGCAGATTTCCGTTTGCCTTGTCTGGGTAGGTGGACCGGCGAGGAAGCTTAAGGAGCAATAGTAATGACCCTACCGTGGCCTATTTCCCTTTCCTTGTTTGGTCTGGGTTTCTCTAAAGAAAACGGGAAGTGGGAGCAGTTGGAAACACACTTAAGAGTCAAGCGATGTGGTTCTACCCCTCGCCCTGTGCCTGTAGGTGTTTGAGCAGTTCAGTTTAGTGCACGTTCAACGTCAGTTTTTTTCAGTCACTGTGCTACGCCTTGAAGATGGAGGCGCGTAAGACGCTCAGACCCTGCCTTTTAGCTCTAGTAGGAAAGACAGGCATGCTGAAAACTAACAAAAATATGAAACACTGGGGCATTAACAAATGCCATGTCTGATTTGTAAATCTGAATGTAGTTACATACTGCCAACATATTCGTTCTCTCTGGGGTGATGAGTAGGATGAAGCAGAGAAATGGTCGTAAATTACAGTATAGGCTATTTTATAAAAATATGTGCACGTTTCTTAGAGAGCAAAAGAAAGTGGTAAAACAAGAACCAGGAAGGCCGACAAGTAGGTTTTTTTAGAAGAGCAGCTTAAAAAGTTGTAGATGTGTGCACTACAGGAAATGGAGTTTTGTACCGCTTGGATCTGAGGGAGTGCCAGATGAAGCTTGACAGGTAGGCAGTGGTTATATGGAAGAACCTGTATGCTTTGCTAAGAAATTAAGCTTAATCCAATCACTGTTATGGGCCAGAGAAAGGCTTAAAGTAGGGTAGAAACATGAACAGGTTTGTTTCAGATTTCAGGAGTGGGTCAGGAAAGTCAACTGCCAGAACAGTTCAAACGTACAGTGGGGAAGACTGCCCTGCCCATTCTCCAGGTTGCTGTGGGGGTCAAACAAGATAGCTATGTTTGAGAGCTCTGAATATATATAAAGGGCCACACAATTATATGATAATTATTACAGTAACCCCTTGATCACTATTTGAGCCAAGGAATGCGGGACCTGAGTATGCATTTGTTCCCCTTGAAAGTTTTTAGTTCAAACAGAAAAAAGCAAGATATAGTTCAGCATGTCTAGTCCATTAAAAAAACCAAACACATATATAGCAACACACATATACAGAGCCACATACATATACACAAGCACAGATATACAGTATAATTTGGTTATCTCTGTGGAGTAGGATTCCTTGTGACTTTACTTTTTTCTTTCTTTCTATATAAGAATCTATTATAATAGATATACAATTCATCCTTGAACAACATGGGGGTAAGGGGTGCTGACCCTCTGAACAGCCAAAAATCCATATATAACTTTTGACTCCCCCAAAACTTTACTGTTGACCAGATGCCTTACCAATAACATAAACCGTTGATTAACACATATTTTGTATATGTATTATATACTTATAATACATATAATCTTACAATCAAGTAAGCTAGAGAAAACATTATTAAGAAAATCATAAGGAAAAGAAAATATATTTACTATTCATTAAGTAGAAGTGGATCACATTTTCATGTTGAGTAGGCTCAGGAGGAGGAAAAGGAGGGCTTAAATGTGCTGCTATCTTATGGGTCTCAGAAGTAGAAGAAAATCCACATATATGTAGACTCAAGCAGTTCAAACCTGTGTTGTTCAAGGGTCAACTGTGTATTGTATTTATCTCAATACTAATAAAATACTCACCTATAGTGATCACTTAGTGGCATTACTTAGTATCAGATTTTTTGTTGTCCAAATTTATATGCTAAAGAGATCTGGTTAAAATTTCTGTTAAATGTCTCACTATCCAAATTCCTAGTTTTTCTTAACCTAAACTCAGGAACCAAATAGATTTAAATAGTATGGCAATACTTACAATTGCTTTTTGTTTATATTAGCCTCATTCCTGACTCTACTTTTTTGTCCTAATTTTTCCCCCTTTTCTTTTTCATATAAATATATCTCTGGAAACTCATTTAAATTCCTTTTGGAATAAGACAGATTATAAGTAACATACATATGTCAGGGTCTTATAGAAAAATATAACTTTAATAAGGAAATTCAACTAAGGGTAGGAGTACTCCAGGAACAATGGTAATCCCCACATGATGATCTGATTCTCTTCTGGGAGCAAAACATTGCAACCAGACAGGATGGACAAGGCATCTAAAAACCCAGTATCCTTCACCTTCCGAAAGGAGGGAGGGACTGTAGAGTTGCCCAGGAAAAAGGTCAAGAGTCTTCCTTCTCCTGGAACCTATGAGGAAAGAAAGGACTTGTTATATTCACCAAAAGATGAGTTTCTAGTAGTATAAGATAAGATATGCAATCAAATAATCAAGGAAGGACTTTTATTTATGACATCATTGAGGACTGGCTCCCCTAAACAAACTTCCAATTCTAATTCCAAGACAACTAAAAATTCTGGGATTAAAAATATATCCAATGAGTTATAACCTCAAAGCAAAGATTTCTTAGGACACAGAAAGCACTAGCTGTAAAAGAAAAAAAAAAGGATAAGCTGAACCTTATAAAAACTTAAAACTTCTGCTCATTTAAAGAGGGTTAAGAAAATAGGCAAGCCACACGCTGGGAAAAAAAATCTTCTTTTTATTTAAAAAAAATTTTTTTTTTTTTTGGTAAAATGACAACCAGTGATAGGAAAAAAATACTTTTAAAAGATATATCTGACTATGAATATTTTTAATCCTTTGATGAGATGGCAAGAAAGTAAAGGCAATCTGCACACTGGTTAAAAGTTCTGTAAAACCAGAAATCCAGACAGGGAAGTTAAAACTAATGTCCCTATGAAACGTGACAGTGACACTATGGTGCCCTTTATACTGTTTTGACAGTCACTGGAAGCATAGGAAATGAGGGACAAAATGTATAAGGTCTGATAGGAGATCCCGTGCATAAATTTGGGAACTGCAAAAGGCTGCCCTTTCTTGTAAAAGTGAACAAGAAAAGAAAAAATTCAACTCTATAGAAGGGGAATTTGACTGTCTCAGTAGGTAGAAAGAGAGAAAACTCTCTCCTGAGAATTTCTAACTGTAAGCTAGCCCTTACATGGATTTGCAGCTCAAATTCATACTATCTGTCTGCTCCAAAAAACATGAAGCCAAGAATTTATTTAAAGTAATTCCAGCTTGATAGTGCTTCAAGGCACCTAGAAAAGAAACACAAATGCTGAGAATACAGCACTCGCCCAAGGCCTCAAAGAATTCCTACAGTTCAAGTTCTAAAAAACTCGAATTTATAGTCAAAAATCACAAAACAAAGAAAAAAAGCACTATGAGAGAGACAGCAGAAACAAAAGACAGCAGCATCAGACACACAAAATCCGCAGATATCAGAATTATGAGACATAGAATATAATAACCATATTTAATATTTTAAATATATATTTAAAGAATAATAAAAGGAACAATTTAAAATATGATTAAAGAACTGATAATTATTTAAAAATTAAGGAGATTTGAAAAGTAATTAAATAGAACTCAAAATAATAACAATAGTAAAAAATAATAATACTTGAAATAAACTGAAGACAGAATTAGTGACATGGAAGAGGGACCTGAAGAAATTACTCAGAAGGTGGCATAAAGAGAACAGCAATTGAAAATATGAAAAGAAGGTGAGAGAAATGGAGGACAGAAGAGAGAAACCTCTTTCTAGTAACTAATTCGAGGTCCAGAATGTGAGGACTGAGAACATGGGGGAAAGAGAATATTAAAAGAGATGATGGCTGATAATTTTCCAAGGTTGATGAAAAAAAAGTCCACTCTCAGTTTCAGAAAGTCCAACAAATCCCAAACAGAATAAAAGAAAATCGTATTTTGATATACTATAGTGACTGCAGAACACCAAAGACAAAAATGAGGTCTTAAAAGCATTCAGAAAGCCCATGTTCTCTAAGTCATGTGTGACTAATTCTCTCCAAAGAAAGCTACCTTGACTGCGGTTGAAGACTGCAGTATAAGATGCTGACCACTAAACAATACCTGCTTCTTATGTTGTTTTTTTTTTCTTCATTTCCTTTTAAATATCCTAAAAGTAGGTCAGGCGGGGTGGCTCATGCCTGTAATCCCAGCACTTTGGGATGCTGAGGTGGGTGGATCACTTGAGCTCAGAAGTTCAAGACCAGCCTGGGAAACATAGAGAAACCCCATCTCTACTAAAAATACAAAAAAAAAAAAAAAAAAAAAAAAAGCCAGGCGTGGTGGCATGTGTCTGTGGTCCCAGCTACTTTGGAGGCTGAGGTGGGAGGATTACCTGAGCCCAGGAGGCGGAGGTTGCAGTGAGCCAAGATTGCCTCGCTGCACTCCAGGCTAGGTGACAGAGCGACACCCTGTCAAAAAAAAAAAAAAAAAAAAAAAAAAATCCTAAAAGGTTTATTTCACTGGTTATAAAAAGGTTTAAAAAAGTGTAACTTAAAAAAATAAAAAACAACTACAAATCTCCCTATTACCAGAACTGCACAGAAATAAGGGATGGGACCAAGGGAAACGGCCATTTCGTACAAAAAAATAAATCACTGGATTTGTTTAGTTAGCAAACAGACTGAGCAGAGGGAGGGGAAAGAATACCCACTTGCAGTTGGTACAGGTGTAGAAGACAGTTTGCCCTTCATCGGCTGAACGCATCTGTCTGGTGTGGTATGCCATTCCTTCATGACCACATCGAGGGCAGCGCCTGTCAACCTGGGAAGAAACTGGTGGGTTAGGGAGGCCTGGTCATATCCCCTTACTTCCCACAGGAATCAGGCGATCACGCCTCTCAAACGTCGATGGTTTACATCTCTTTTCCCTCTTGGAATTGGGCACAAAACTCTCCAGAGCTTTGCAATCACTCCTCCATTTCTTTCCTACCCACCTTATGGAGCCAGTTCTTGATCTCATTAGCTTACCACAGGTCCCTGGCACTCAGGCCCTTCCTCCACCGACATAGGCATGGCTGTCCCCAGTTGGTGGAACACAACCGAAGTCTTCACAACCTTCCCCTCAAAGTCTGCACAGGCAAGTAAGAACTGGTTATGGAGACAACCAGAGAGAGCTGACACCGGAAACCTCCCCTTTCCCCTGGCTGGTTAGGCCAGGAGGCCCTACATCCTTTCCCTCAGTTTTCATCGCTAGACCAAATGTACAACCGCCTGATGTCCTGCTCTAGGATCCCCTCCTCAACCCAACCGATCTTGAGTTCCCCAAGCTTCCGACCCTGCGCCCTCCGCCAGGACCCCTGCGTACAAGCCTCTCACCCCGAACGTTGATGTTGAAGCCACAGCGAATACAGGTGACCGTATCCTGAGCCCCGGGCAGAGGCAGGACCGAGCCGCAATCTGAACAGAAATCCAGGTCCGACTGAAAGCTGGAGCAAGTATTGGCGAGGTCCATGACAGACATGCGGTCGGGTCTGAGGAGGGAGTTGGAAGTTTATTAACAAAAGAGAGAAGAGTTCCTGTCCCAGAGGTCGTAACTATTCTGTCCCAGGACCTAGGAGTATATAACCCGAACCCTCCTGCCACGCACGCCTCCTGCCTCTGCGACCAAGGAGCCGAAACGCCCGGAATTCCCAGACAGCGTCGGGTACTAAAGGACTTGGAACCCTTTCCAGGGGCCGGTGAGAGGAGTTAACCAACTCCGTGGGCTAGAGCGCCAGCTCTGCGCCCGCGGCGGGGCAGCGAGATAGAGCCGGCTAGAGCGTCAGGCTTTCGCGTTGACGATTGGCTGTGACGTCATAATTAATTGCGAACCGTGTCTCGGGAGCGTTAGAGATGGAGACTAACGTCTTCCAAGGGAGATTGCGTCTCTACTTTCACCCTGGTACTGAGAGGTTGAGCACAAAATTGGTAACCAATGCTGCGCTTCCAGCAAATTTTCCCACCAGCACCCAATCCTGGGATATTTATTCTCTTTGTCTCACATCCTACAGGAACGCAGTCGCGGGGTATATCCCCCTGAAAACCGTACGTTGCCAAATAATGATTTCTTTGGATTAGAGAACTACAACTCCCCTGGGTCCTGAGCCGGTATTTCCCTTTTGCGGCTGCACCGTAGTTAAAAACAAAGCTAAGTGTTCTGGGACGTATAGTTCTAGCGTTCCTTGGGTCCCGCTGGCGAGCGTGGGCTTTCTGCAGCTCGCAACCGGCCTCATGCTTTGCGGACGGTTCACTGCGCTTGGAAAGGGGTGAGTCGGCTTTTTGAGGGACAGCAAGTGGTGAGAGTGAAGGCCCGAGGAATGCTTAGTCCCACGGGACGAAAGGAAGCAGGGATGAAGTGGTACACTTGAGAAGGGGTTCAGGACTTTGGAGGTGGTGGAACAGAGGAGCTTGGGGCTTCCTCTCCTTCGACTCCTGCCAGATAAGTGAGGCTAGCAGTAGTCAAGAAAGCTCATTAAGTAGGATTTCATAAGACTTAGGTCGAGTTTGGCTTTTAGTTGTGCCTGCCGCCTATCGAACTCTTAATTCATTATGTCATCCGTTAAGTGGACAGCTGACATTTCCCTGATCTTTTATAAAACATGAGAATAAGTATCTTTGGGAAATCTTTCTATTTTCATTAATCTGTAACTTATATTCCAAGTAGAAACTTTCCCTGAAGGGGCAGCTTGTAGTTGTTTACTAGTTTCCTGCTAGCCCTCCCACCACCATCCACTCTGATAGCTGTGCTAAGTTCATTCATATAAAAGTTCTGGAGCCATCACTGTTTTCTCCTATGAAGGACACAAGCTGTAGTCTTTTCGCTGGGAGAGGCTCCCATCTGCCTTTCTCTGTAATAATGGAGAGAACGCCATAGTGAAAGGGTTAAAACTCAGCAAACTGCTGAAGAGTGACAAGCCCTATCACTTAACTGTGAAATTGCTTGTTATTCTGTCTTACAAAGGGAGACGTGTTGTTGAGCTGATTGTCGTAGACAGTTTTTATTCTCACTTATCTGTGTGTCTCCTTTGAAAATGGAACTTGAAATTCTACCCTCCTCAGTTTTCTGTTTTTAATTTGAAAAACAGCCAACATCCCCTGTGAATTGCAGTAAAGGAACAAAGCATTAAAAGGCATATCCTTTTCCCAACAAAAGCTCACAGTCTAATCAGTAAAGATTTATTGAGCAACTATGCCAGGTTTTGAGCTGAGGCTGAGCCTGCAAAGTTGAAATCTGTGTTCTCTGACCTCAAGGAACATGAATGAATAATTAGAATATAATAAAACTGTGCTAGTAGGTACAAAATGTGAGAGCCCAGAACATGCATATAAAGCAAACATATCTGTAAACTTCAAGGAAGACTGGGAAATGGCTTAATAAAAATAGATACAATGTTATGGCAGATATTTAAAAAAGATGCTCAGATATTATGTGTCAAGGATCATCAGCAATCAGCAAATCATTAATTTTGAGAACTTGGGATCACAGACTCTAATGTTAAGTATTGTGCTAGAAGCCATGTACAGAGAAGTAAAAGTAAGATGATCATACGTTTACAATCTCAAAATAAGCTTACGTAGACAAATAAGAATGTTCCTAAGAGGTCAGTGAGACCAAATATTTGATATCAGATCCTTTCCAACAATATAGAGGCATCATATTTGTAGATATAAATTACAGTTTTCATTCCTTATGAGCCTAAATTTCAGCATCAAAATGTTAAAAGTGATATGTGAATACAGATATCACAGTGTAAACCACGATTAATTTTCAAATGAGTTGTAGAATTAAAATATGTCAAGTATTTAGAGGAAGGGAAGATCACTGACAGAGTAGACTGGAAAGACTTTATAATCAGGAGCTTGACCTGTGAAGGACAGATAGATAGAATTTATTGAGAACTTACCAAGCTCTTTACATCTAATTCATATTTGTTCTTTATAACCCTGAGAGGCAGATTTTTGTCTTACATCTCCATTTTATAGATGAGAAAGCTGACAGAAGTTACTTGCCCTGAGTCACACACCTAGGAAGTGGTAGAATTAGATTTCAGATCTAGCTCTGTCAGACTGTAAAGACCATCCTTTGAACTCTAAATGGTATAAAAGACATACAGAGGAAATGCCAGGCATCCTCAGTGGCTTAAATACGACATCACAGTAAACTCAGGCTAGACCAGGGATGACACATAAAAGATGATAGTTTTCATTTGTGTTGCCATCAGCCTCCTCTATAAATAAACCCAGAGTAACCACAAATTGCCATCCTGAGGGGTTCAACAGGGAATAGTCTCATAATGGATTTAGAGTGAAGGATGATTGGCATTGTTAGTCAGGCAAGCAGAGGGCTGAGCAGTCAAATAACAGAATTTCAGAACAAAAGATTAGAGGGCAGAAATGCTGTATGTGCTGATAGAGTCAGAGAGGGCCCGGATCAAGAAACTGCAGGAAGAGAAAACTAGAAACCTAGAATCGTCTAGAAAACTAGAACCTACAATCGTCTCAGAACACAAAGGAGGCTTGAGGACTGAGCAGACTGACATAGATGTACTTGGACAACACCTCACCAAGGAGCATGTCTCTTCCCACTCACAATCCCCAATACGAGATTCACAGTGGTTCACGCTGAGTCCACAGGAAAAGTATGCTTGTTCATATGAAAGGAAAGATCCTCTTATTAAAAGAGCATTCATTATTTTCTACCATAGGAATGCAGTGGTTTCCCATGGGGGAAATGGCCCTGCTGTAGTCCTCCCTATTAGCAGATTTGTTCTGACACCTCCTACATTTGAATCTACCTTGCCTTTTTTATCTTCCAGATTGGCCTGGGGTACATCATCTAAAGATCCTAGGATTGCTGCAGGTCAGCAGTCTCCACTGGAAAAAAAGATCTTGGTAAGTAAATTATCTTCACATCATACAGTTTGGAACTACACAGAGAAGGAATCTTAGGTTTAAAATCCTTCTGCCCAAGTGACACATTCAGGTAGTATGTCTACACTGGCAAATGTTACCCAGCTATATCCACAGTTGCAAAACAAAGTATCATTTTTGGAAACTTCCAACACCATACATTTTTAAACCTAGTTACTGATTTGTGGTGGTGAGTACTTAATACTTTCAGAGCTCCCAGGCTCACCTGGGAGTGATGGGAATAAAATAACAACTAAGCTAAAGTAAAGAGCATGTAGCTTTTCCTGGTGTCATTAGGGAGGGTGGGCTTGGCTCCTGTTTAAATGTGTTCAAAGGAAAAAGATGATCACATTATAAATTTCTGACTTCACTTTGACAGAATCTAGGTGGTGTGCATACAACAGCAGCAAGACAGTTGATAATGCAGAAATATCAGGAGGAGTGTGAAATACTCTGTAGGGAGCAAGCTGTTTCTCTTGACTACTGGCTTGCCAAAGCAGAGTCTTATTATAATAAAATAATAGTGGAAATGATGAAAGAAGAGACAGGCAATGAAATCTAGAAAAAAATGGAGGAGAAAACAACCCAGAGCGTAGAAGGACTAAAACAGTACTGTTTGGTACCTGAGAGAGAGATGAAACACATAGAAAGGCACATACATCAAACAGGAAAGGCTGGAGAATTTAAGAACAAACCATTTAGACAAGTACTACAACCCCCCAATGAAACAAAATTACCAAAAATTATGCCAGAAGGGCATGGCATCCAGAACGCACAGAGAAGAAAGCAGGTAAATGAGAGGGAACAGATGCAGACTAAGGATCACCAGGAACGCATGATTCGAGGGAGAGAACTTGCAGAACAAAGACTCAAGGAGAGAATCTTGAGAAGAAGCCAGAGCCAGCTACTTACATATGAGAAGCATGAGAGAGTAAAAGAGATAAAGGAGTTTGAAAGAGTTATTGCGTATCTTCTTTTCCAACCATGCAGTAGAAGTCGGATTAAAGTGAGTATTCTTATGGATAAGTCTCAGAATGGAGAGAAGGTGAATACAATTGTGAAACCATATCAAAGAAAATTCTTGGCAATGCCACCCTTTTTAAGAAGTCAAATAGGAAAAATAAGAGATTAAAGTTTCAATGCTGTTATGATAAAATCATATCTCTTAAGTGAACCCTTTTTTTTTTCAAATGCTCGTTCTCTCCAGGGTTCAGTGAATATTCCCATTTGTATCAGATACAGATAGATAGTTCTGCACTTGAAAATTAGCTTAACTTTTTTAGTTGACTTGCATTTGTTCAAGTTGCATATCCTTTCTAGTGTTCAGTGTCCTCATCTTTAAAATGGCAATAATATTTGATGGCATTTATGGAAGGACTGTTTTTTTTGTGAAGTGTAGGTATGTATTAGTTGTTTCATAAATGTTAGTTTCCCCACTTGGAAAGACCGGGGTTGGGCAATGGTGGTGAATAAAGAATTGTTCTAATCTACTTCTCTTATTCTCCCTGTTCCCAGCCCTCCAAGGTTATTTTGATGAGATTGCTATAGTTTAGTATATGGTCTTTAATATCATACCTTCATCAGATAACTACTAGCCAGCCCCTAAAAGTGTAACTTGCTCTGTACAATTTATTTGAATGAGAAACTTAATTTTGAGAGCCTCCTACATGCTAGGCATTATGTTAGTTACTGAAGGTGAATAAAGAGAAGTCTCTGCCCTTGAATAATTTTCAACTAATGGCATAGATCACTCTATAAACAGATAATGTAGTAAATAAAGGTTACAATAGAAAGGTACAGGGTGCTTTACAAAGGACGGATTCTAACCTGGCCCAGGTGAGCAGGGTGAAAAGGAGGAAGGTTAGGGAAGGGAGTATTATAGTCTGTCATGTTTCTTCCAGCTTTTTTTGTCACTTCCTATCACCCACTTAAGCAAGACCTTCCTAATGCTTGGATCCACTCAGGGATAATCAAACTCAGCCTTTCTCAAACTCATGTTTTTGGCACTCATTGATAAATCAGAAAGCAAATTTATAAATTTAGTGAGAATTACAGTTGTCAAGCAGAATGAAATTTGTGTTTTCTAGTCAGTTTATTTTCTTCCCAGATACCAGAAAGTTGGGAAAGCAGGGGTTCAGAGTTGGTAAGCAGAGAAGCAAATAAATGGAAATAGATGCCCTCAGGAATATTATGCTTAAGTTGTGATAATTCTGATGCCCACCTTGCTTTACTAGCAGAACACCCTTTACCCTGGATACTGCTAGGTCAGCCACTGATACAAATGTTCTGTGTCTGTGCTCCTCAGTACAGTAGCCCTTGCTACACGTGGCTGTTGAGGCATTTAAAATGTGGCTGGTGCAGCTGTGGAATGGAATGTTTAATTGAATTTCATTTAAATTTAAATTGCCACATGTGGCAAGTGACTACCCTGTTGCACAGTGTAGCACTGGATAAACATAACTTCTGTGTTCTAGATTCCAGTCCCACCATTAGCTTTCTGTTTTTGACAGTGTTTGCTGGTCTGATAGGTCACTGTTCATTTTACATTACTATCAGTTTAGTTTCCTTTGCATTTCAGAGGCTCCCTAATCCCTTAAAGAGATTTAAAAATCAATGTAGACCACTTCTGTGTGAAAATAAGATGACTGAATTTGCTTTGATTGGAATTAGGAACTGACCTCTCTTTGCTAGTTCTGGAATTTGGCCAGGATGCACATCAAAATCTCATTCCTACCCTCCTGATTTGCCTCATGGAAACTTCGTTGCTGTGTCTGTTCTCTGGTCCTCTATTGCTATGTCTCAGCTTTAGATTCTATGTTTTGCATAGAAATGGATCATCAGAATGCAACAGGCAGAAGACTTAGAAGTGCAAATCAGTAGGGTAATGACAAGCCCTTTGAGCTGAGTGGGACTGAAAAGTAACCTAACATATAACCTATTAGTAATTGTTTACCATGAAGGTTTTCAGTGCTGGACACATAAATTGCTGAGTTCAACTGCCCTCTTTCCCCTCCAAATCTAGCATAAAAGCAACTGGTGCTCTCAGGGCAATTTCACACCTAATACGGCTAAGAATAAAAGTCTATGTTTCAGGAACTCAGTTTGTCCAAACCTGCATCCATCATCTACCTCAAATTATATCCACCTTTTCATTTCTTTGCACTGTGTCTGCTTAAATCTTGAGTCACACTTAATGTTTTTTTTTTGGTCTTTTTTCTTTTTAATGTGAAATAGAATATACAATACACAAATGAAAATGTATATTTAGAAGAACAATAATAAATGTCCAGGTGCCCGTTGCTCAGACTGAGAAATGGAACATTACTACATCCCAGGAGCCTCGTATGCTCTCATTCATATCTCTCTCCCCTGCAGCCAGAGGCAACCACTATCCTGAATTTTGTATAACTGTCACCTAGCTTTTATAGATTTTACTGTCTGTGTATCCCTAACAGTTGCTTATTTATAGCCTTTATATAAATAGAATTATACTGTATATGACTGACTACTTTTGCTCATTATTATTTTTGGATTCATCCATGTTGATGTGTGACACTGTAGTTCATTTCCATGACATGAATATGCCACAACTTAATTATATATTCTGTTGATGTCATTTAGTTGTTTCCAGTTTTTGTTTTATTTTTCTTTTAAAAATGATACTTAGATAAACATTAACATGTTTAATCTTATGTTCTGGTGACTGTGTACTAGATATATGTATGATATATAAATTGTGGTACATTTATTTGACAGGCCTGATCTTGAAGCCTGTTAGATTTCTGTTCCTTTGTGGCATTATGCCTGTAAGCCTGTTCTGTAGAGTCTGGCACATGTTAGCCTCTTAATAGATATTTGTTGAAAGAAAGGACATTTGTTAACTGCTGGAGACAGGCCCAAAATACATAAATAGCTGATAACAGACCACTTTAGCTTTTTACTCATCTTGTCCAGGTACAATCATAGTCAACCTCTGTTTATGCTTATATTTCAGTTGAGGTACTAAAATATTTGTTTACTTAGTTGGTTTTCAGTGAGCTTCCAGTACAGGATTTGTTTCTCTTTCTGTCACTTTTCCCAAAACTTTCACTCCACTGCCTTCTAGAAAAGATCACCCACATGTCGTCTCCTCAAGGCACCTGCAGCACGAAAGTTTTATTTCTGAACAAAAGGGTCCCCAGAGAAGGAGACAAGGAGTCTCCTTTCAGTACGAGGTTGCTGGAGTCCCTAGAGGGTCAAAGGCTGTGTAATAACAGTTCCTTCTTGTCTGCTGGACAAAAGCTTCTGAGCCCTCAAGCACCCTGTGACTTAGTTCTGATAGAGTACTGAGTTTGGAAATGGCAGAGTGGGGACCCAAAACAAATCTTCCAATTCCAAATTCAGTTTTATCCACCTTTTCAAATAAGATTAAAAAATGTTAATGTCTGTTGATTTGTGTGTGTTGAACCACTCTTGTATCCCTGGGATGAATCCCAATTAATTGTGGTATATTTTTGATATGTTGTTGGATTCAGTTTGCTAAAATTTTGTTCAGGATTTTTGTGTATATTTTCACTAGGAAGATTGGCCTGTAATTTTCTTTTTTTTTGTATTCTTCTCTGCTTTTGGTATCAGGGCAATGCAGGCTTCATAAAATGAGTTAAGAATAATTCCTTCCTCTTCAGTTTTTTTTAAATATTTTGAGAAGTATTGGTATTAATTTTTCTTTGTATGTATGGTAGAATTTGACAGGAAAGCCATCTGGTCCTGGGCTTTTCTTTATTGAGACACTTTTAATTACTGATTCAGTCTTATTACTCATTGTTGGTCTGTTCAAGTTTTCTATTTGTTCCTGGTGAAATGTCTACAAAAATTACAAAAATTAGCTGGGTGTGGTGGCATGTGCATGTAGTCCCAGCTACTTAGGGGGCTGAGGCAGGAGGATCGCTTGAACCTCAGGAGGTTAAGGCTGCAGTGAGCTGGTATTGCGCCACTGTGTTGCAGCCTGGGTGACAAAGTGAGACCCTATCTCAAAAATAAAAAAAATTCATATGGAACCACAAAAGAGCCCCATCCAATAGTTAAGCTATAGTAATAGCTTTGTAACTGTTATAGTAGAAACCAAATCATCATGGTACCGGCCTAAAACAGACACATAGACCAATGGAAAGAATAGAGAACCCAGAAATAATTTCATATACTTACAGCCAACTGACTTTCAACAAAGGCACCAAGAAAGGACACCCTTTTCAATAAATGGTGCTGGGAAAACTGGATATCCATATGCAGAAGATTGCAGCTAGGCTCATATCTCTTACCATATTAAAAAATCAACCAAAAATGGATTAAAGGCTTAAATGATAGATCCGAAACTATGAAACTACTAAAAGAGAATATAGGGGAAATGCTCAAGAACATTGGTCTAGGCAAAGATTTTATGGTTAAGACATCAAAAGCATAGGCAACAACAACAAAAAATAGGCAGGTGGGACTATATTAAACTAAAAATCTGCACAGCAAAGAAAACAACAGAGTGAAGAGACCAACTGTAGATGGGAACAATATTTTCAAATTATCCAACAGGGGACTAATATCCAGAGTGTACAAGGAACACAATTCAACAGTAAAAAAAAAAAAAAAAAAAAATCCCCTTAAAAATGGTCAAGGGATCTGAATAGAAATTTCTTAAGAAATACAAATGGCCAACATGTATGTGAAAAAGATGCTCAACATCACTAATTATCAGGGAAATTTAAAGCAAACCACAATAATATATCATCTTACCCTAGCTAGAATAGCTATTATTAAAAAGACAAAAATGGTAGCTAGGATATAAAGACAAACTCTTACACACGGTTGGTGGGAAGGTGAATTAGTACAGCCACTATGGAAAACAGTATGGAGATTTCTTAGAAAACTGAAAATAGATCTGTGTGATCCAGCAATACCACCACTGGGTATTTATCCAAAGGTAAGGAAATCGATACATCAAAGGGATACTGGCACCCCCATGTTTACTGTGGTACTATTTACAATAGCAAAGACAGGGAATCAACCTAACTGTCCATCAATGGATGAATGGATTAAAAAGATACGGCATATATACACAATGGAATACTATTTAGCTATAAAAAGAATGGAATCTTGTCATTTCCACTAACATGGACAGAACTGGAGGTTCTGATATTAAATGAAATAAGCCAGGCACAGAAAGACAAATATTGCATGTTCTCACTCATGTGCGAGCTTTAAAATGTTGATCTAATCGAGGTAAACAGCAGAAAGATAGTATCCAGAGGCTGGGAAGGGTGTGTGTGTGTGTGTGTGTGTGTGTGTGTGTTTGTGGGTGTGTGAGGGGGGTGATGAAGAGAGGTAGGTTAATGGGTACGAACGTACAGTCAGATAGAAGGAATAAGTTCTAGTGTTTGATAGCACAGTAGGGTGACTATAATTAACAACAATATATTGTGTATTTCAAAATAGCTAGAAGACTTGTAATGTTCCCAACACAGAGAAATAAATGCTTGAGGTGACGGATATCCTATGTACCCTAACTTCATTATTAGATACTATGTGTGTATCAAAATATCACATGTACCCCATAAATATGTGCAAATATTATGTACAAATAAAAAGTCACACTGTACAATTTTTATTTGTCAATTATACTTCAATAAATCTGGAAAAAAATAAAGTATGTATGCAATCAAAGTTTTAAAGTATATTCCCAAATATGTGCAACCATCACTGCATTCAATTTTAGAATATTATCATCGCCTGAAAAAGAAACCCCATGCCCTATAGCTATTACTCTCTTATTCCCCCTTCCCCATCACCCCAAACCCTAAGCAAGAGTTAATCTATGTCCTACCTGTATGGATTTGCCTATTTTGGAAAATTCATATGTAAATATAATCATATATGGTCTTTTGTGACTAGTTTCTTTCACTTAATGTTTCCAAGTGTCATTTATATTATAGCATGTATCAGTATTTCATTGCTTTTTATGGCCAAATAATACTGTATTCCATAGATGTATCACATTTGTTTATTTATCGGTTTATAGACATCTGGATTGTTTCTGTCTTTTGGCTAATACAAATAATGCATCTATGAATGTTCATTTACAAATTTTTGTGTGACACATTTTTATTTCTCTTGGACATATACCTAAGAATGGGTGAGTCGTATGGTATCTTCATTTTTAATCAGTTGAGCCACAGCCTGACTCCTTCCAAAGTGACTACATAATTACACATTCCTGCCAGCAGTGTCTGAGGGTTCTCATTCCTGCATATCCTTAACAATACTTATTATCTGATGTTTTGATTCTAGCCATTCTTTGGCTGGGAAGTGGTATCTCGTGTGTGTGTGTGTGTGTGTGTGTGCGCGCGTGCGTGTGTGTGTTTTAGACAGAGTCTCGCTCTGTTGCCCAGGCTGGAGTGCAGTGGTGTGGTCTCGGCTCACTGCAACCTCTGCCTCCCAGGTTCAAGCAATTCTCCTGCCTCAGCCTCCCAAGTAGCTGGGATTACAGGTACCTGCCACCATGCCCAGCTAATTTTTTCTATTTTTAGTAGAGATGGGGTTTCACCATGTTGGCCAGGCTGGTCTGGAACTCCTGACCTTGCGATCCACCCACCTTGGCCTCCCAAAGTGCTGGAATTACAGGTGTGAGCCACCATGCCCAGCCTTCACTGTGGTTTTAAATTGCATTTCCCTAATAATGTCGATCATCTTTTTTATGAACTTATTGGCTATTTGTATATCTTCTTTAGGGAAATGACTGTTCATATCTTTTGCTCATTCTATTTTTATTTATTTATTTAGAGACGGAGTCTTGCTCTGTCATCCAGGCTGGAGTGGAGTGGTGCGATCTTGGCTTACTGCAACCTCCGTCTCTTGGGTTCAAGCGATTCTTGTGTCCCAGCCTCCCAAGTAGCTGGGACTACAGGTGTGTGCCACCACACCCAGCTAATTTTTGTATTTTTAGTGGAGGCAGGGTTTTACCATGTTGGTGAGGCTGATCTCGAACTCCTGACCTCAAGTGATCCACCCACTTCAGCCTCCCAAAGTGCTGAGATTACAGGCGTGAGCCACTGCGCTCGGACTCCTTTGCTCATTTTAAAATTGGGATTATGTGTGTTTTGCAATTAAGTTGTAGGAGATTGTTATATATTCTAGAAACATCTCTTGTTAAATGTATGATTTGCAAATCTTTTCTCCTTTCCTGTGGGTTTTTTTCACTTTTAAAAAAATTCTTAATTTTTAAAACTATTTTAATTTTTTGATCTAAATGTTTACTGTTAATTAGTAAATAATACACATATGGGGTACAATGTGATGTTTTGATATATGTATATATTGTGGATCACTTTCTTGATAGTGTCCTTTGAAGCATAAACATTTTAATTTTGATGACATCTAATTTTTCTCAATATTATCTAATATCTTTTGTTTGTGCTTTGGCATAATATCTAAGAATCCATTGTCCAACCTGAGTTCATAAATATATATATATATATATATATATATTTGAGACGGAGTCTCACTCTGTTGCCCAGGCTGGAGTGGAGTGGTGTGATCTCGGCTCACTGCAACCTCTGCCTCCTGGGTTCAAGCCATTCTCCTGCCTCAGCCTTCTGAGTAGCTGGGATTATAGGTGTGCACCACCACACCCGGCTAATTTTTATATTTTTAGTAGAGACGGAGTTTCACCATGTTGGTCAGGCTGGTCTCAAACTCCTGACCTTGTGATCCACCTGCCTCGGCCTCCCAAAGTGCTGGGATTACAGGCATGAGCCACCGCACCCGGCCAGTTCATAAAGATTTATCACCTAGGTTTTCCTCCAAGAATTTTGTAATTTCACCACTAACATTTAGATCTTTCTTCCATTTTGAGCTTATTTTTGTATATAGTGTGAAGTAAAGGCCTGTATTAGTTTCTTAGACCTTGTGTAACACATTGCCAAGATTTGATGGCTTAAAACAGCAAACATGTATTCTGTCACAGTTCTGGAGGCCAGAAGTTTGAAATCCAGGTGTTGGCAGGATTAGTTTCTTCTGGAGGCTCTGGGGGAAAGTTCATTCCATGATTCTTTCCTAACTTCTGGTAGCTGTTGGTAGTTGTTGCTCCATTGGCTTGGAGATACATCACTGAAATCTTTGCCTTCATCTTCACATGGCATTCTTGCCTGTGTCTCTTCTCTGTTTATGTCATATCTCCTTCTCTTTTATTAAGACACCAGTCACTAGATTTAGGTCCCACCCTAAATCCAGGATGATCTTTTCTTGGGAACCTGAACTTAATTTCATATACAAAGACACCATTTCTAAATAAGTTCACGTTCACAGGTACTGGTGGTCAGGTCTTAGACAAACCTTTCGGAGTACACACTTCAACCACCATAAGGTCCACTCCATCATTTTGTATGTGGCTATCAAGTTTCCCCAGTACCATTTGTTGAAAAGACTGTGCTTTCCCCCGTTGAATGTGCTCAGCACCCTTGCTGAAAATCAGTTGACAGTAGACACATGGTTTTATTTCTGAATTTCAGTTCTATTCTATTGATCTATGTCTATCTTATGCAAGTACCACACTGTCTTGATTACCATTACTTTATGCGATGTTTTGAAACTGGAAAGAATGAGTTCTACTTTGTTCTTTTCTTCTTTTTATTTTTTAGAGACAGTTTCTTACCCTGTAACCCACACTGTAGTGCAGTGGCATAATCATGGCTCACTGCAGCCTCAACCTTCTAGGCTAAAGCAATCCCCCTGCCTCAGCCTCCCAAGTAGCTGGGATGACAGGTGTGTACCACCATGCCCCGCTAATTTTTATTTTTTGTAGAGACAGGATCTTGCTGTGTTGCCCAGGCTGGTCTTGAACTTCTGGCCTCAAGCAATCCTCCTGCCTCGGCCTCCCAAAGTGCTGCGATTGATTACAGGCATGAGCCACTGTGCCTGGCCCTTTGTTCTTTTTTTCAAGATTGTTTGCGTAGTCTGCGTCCCTTTAATTTCTTTATAAATTTACAATTAGTTTGCAAATTTCTACGAAGTAGTCATTTAGGAATCTGATAGGGATTGTGCTGAATCTATCAGTTTGGAAATATAATCATTGAGTTATATTAAATCTAATCCATGAACTTTACCCCATTTATTTAGATTTTTAATTTATTTCATTGATGTTTGAGTTGCACTTCTTTTGTTAAATTTGCTTCTAAGTATTTTGTTCCTTTAAAGCTATTACAAATGGAATTGTTTTCTTAATTTCATTTCTGGATTTGTCATTGCAAGGGTTTAGAAATACAATTGATTTTTGTATACTGGTGTTATATCCTTTATCCTTGCTGAAGTTAGTAGTTCTAATAGCTCTTTAATGGATCATTTAGCATTTTTTTATATAAAAGATCATGTCATCTGTGAATATAGTTTTACTTCTTTCTTTCCAATCTGAATATACTTTATTGCTTTTTTCTTGTCTAATTATCTTAGCTAGAACCTTTGGTAATGTTGAATAGACATAGTGGGAGTGGATATTCTTGTTTTAATTGCTGATCTTAGGAGGAAAGCAACCAGTCTTTCACCATTAAATATTGATGTGGTTTGGATTTGTGTACCCGCCCAAATCTTATGTCAAACTGTAGTCCCCAGTGTTGGAGGAAGGGTGTGGTGGGAGGTGATTGGGTCATGGGGGTGGACTTCCCCCTTGCTGTTCTCATGATAGTGAATTTTCGTTGAGATTTTGTAGTGAGATTTGGCTTTTTAAACATGTGTGCCACCTCCCCCTTCTCTCTTCTTCCTGCTTCAGCCATGTAAGATGTACTAACTTCCCATTCACCTTCCACCATTATTGTGTTTCCTGAGGCCTCCCCAGGAGCAGAAACCTGTATAGCCTGCAGAACCTTTAGCCAATTAAACCTCTTTTCTTTATAAATTATCCAGTTTCATGTATTTCTTTAAAGCAATGCATAAATGGACTAATACGAGTATGATGTTAGCTGTAGCTTTTTTATAGATGCCCTTTATCCGGCTGAGAAAGTTCCTTTCAATTCCCAGTTTGTTGACTCTTTTTTTTTTAAAGTAACATGGTCTCAACACATCGCCCAAGATGCCCTCGAACTTCTGGCCTCAAGTGATTCTCTTTCCTCAGTCTCCTTGAGTAGCTGGGACTATAGACACATGCCAATGTGCCCACCTGTTGACTGTTTCTATTATGAAAGAGTATCGAATTTGATCAAAACCTTTTTCTGCATCTATTGAGATAATTGTGGGTTTTTATTCTATTGATATAATATATTACATTAATTGATTTTTGGATATTAAACCCATCTTGCATTCCTAGGATAAATCTCACTTTGTCATGGTGTATAATTATTTTTGTACATTGCTGGGTTGTTTGCTAGTATTTTCTTGAAGATTTTCACATCTATATTCATGAATAGCGATCTGTAGTTTTTTTGTGATTGTTTTGTCTGCTTTTGGTACCAGCCTTATAGAACATACCTTATAGAATATGTTGGGCAGTGTTCCTTTCTCCTTTTTGGGAGAGTTTGTGAAGAAATGGTTTGATATCAGCTATTCATAGATCAGAGTTTGAGTAGCATGGTGACAAACCTAGGATAATTTTTTAGACTTTTATGGATGCTCTAGACTGAATGTTTGTGTCTCCAATCCCCCACCCAAATTCCTATGTTTAAAACTTAATCCCCAGTGTGATGATACTTAGAGGTGGGGCCTTTTGGAGGTGATTAGGTTATGAATGCAGAGCCCCCATGAATGGGATCACTGCCTTTATCAGAAAGACCCCAGGCAGTTCTCTTCACCTTTCTGCCATGTGAGGCCACTTGGAGAAGATATACGTTTATGAAACAGGAAAGGGGCCTTCATCAGACATGAAATTAACCAACACCTTGCTCTTGGACTTACCAGCCTCCATAACTGTGAGAAATACTTTTATGTTGTTTATAAGCCACCCAGTCTAAGGTATTCTGTTATAGCAGCCTGAGTGGACTAAGACAGTGGGGGTGTGTGGTGTTATAGATTGGTTTTTGGCCACAGTTCCTGGTTCCTAGCTCCTATATTCCCTTGTTTCGGTCTTTTGTAATAATATTGGGTGTGTTCGGCCTCGGCAGGCCTCAGGAATCAGAATCTCTCTTCTGGCCTCATTTCACCTGCCCCAAGGCAGGACTCTAATCTTCTGCCTTTCTGATTATGGGTCTTAAGACCCTCTCTGGAGAGGGTCCCACACTATACATTGGGAGAAGGAATGCTGGTGTCACGAAGCTTCCATAAAAACCCAGGAGAACTGGGTTCAGGGAGCTTCCAGGTAGCTGAACAAGTGGAGGTTTTTGGAGGTTGGTGTGCCCAGGAAGGGCATGGAAGCTCCATGCTCCTTCCCTGATACCTCACCCTACACGTATTTTCATCTGTATCCTTTGTAATATCCTTTATAATAAACTAGTAAACATAAATGTTTCCCTGAATTCTGTGAGCTACTCCAGCAAATTAGTGAAGCCCAGAGTGGGTGGTGGGAACTTCTGCGATTGGTGTCTGATGTGGAGTAGTCTTGGGGACTAAGCCCCCAATCTGTGGGATATGATGCTATCTCCAGGTAGACAGTGTTGACATTGAACTGGAGGATACCCAGCTGGTGTCCACTGCTTGGTGTGTGGGGAAAAACCCCCACATCTTTGGTCACAGAAGTCTTCTGTGTTGATGATTGTTGTGGTATGAGAGCAGAGGGAAAATGTGGTTTGAGAGAGGGTTTCCTAAAATAGGGTTACAAAAACATAAATGTCACAGATATTCTTTCCAGAAAATATGTGCATATACAAAGAAATATAAATATTAGTATAAAATCTTAGTGTATACACAGGTCCTCTGAAGTCTTAGACATCTAGATTTTAAAAAATCCTAACAAGAGATAAGTTTTGAGCAATCATTTCACCATCCCACAGTGCCACTCTACTTATCTGAGTATAAACTGATCAGGAAAAAGTTGTACTTCATAACAGACTATCAAGGAAATAAATTGAAAGTTGTAATTAATTAGTCACTGATTCATTCAGCAAAACCCAAGTGTCTATGATATACCAGATAAGGTTCTAGTCTCAGATTACTGCTCTAGGAATTGACTTTTTTTTTCATTCTTTTTCCACTCTATCTTCCTGTGTCCCAGCACCTGAACCCTCTCCATGTTAGGGAGAATTTCATACTTAAAGAGTATGATTTCATACTTAAAGAATTTCATACTTAAAGAGTCATTGTAGGAAGCAGACACCAACTTCTTCCACGAAAGAAAAACTCACTTTTCCAAATATTCTGGCAGCTGGATATGGGATGAGGCTTAGGTTCCACCAGGCAGATAACCACTTGCTGGATTCTGACTCAGCCTGGTGACATAAGCTGGTACTGTGCACACATTTTAGTAAGTGTGGTGTGAGTTGCAGCAGCAATGTCCAGTTGCCAGGAGCAGTCGTGATAGCAGTTCTATCTGCAAGGTCCAGTGTCTAGCTTTAGAGTGTCATTGGTATGAACAGTGACATCTGTGCCCAGCATCAGGGGCAGTGATTCCTATGTGAGACTCCACCTAGGATGGGATTATAGATGCTGCTTCTAGCTATGTAGCTTTAAGCCTATTCTCACAGACCTTCCCAAAATAAAATAAACACCAGCCTAATGAAGATAGATGATAGATAGATAGACAGATAGAAGTCCTTTATGTTTAAATTAGAAAAAATAGCATTTAAATGTGGACTTAAGACCCTTTCCCACCCTAGGCACTGTTGATCACTGACCTCAGTGGTTCCCAATCTGGCTGATCACCAGGATTCCTTGTAGATTTTTTACAAAAATACTCAGGCCTTTCCCCATACCCACCATCTCAGAAGTGGAACATGGATCCCAGGAATAACAAGCCACAGGTGAGGCTGATGCACAGCCACCTGGGAATCCTGGTCTACATTCTTGCTACTAAAAGTGTGATCTGAAGACCATCAGTGTCTGCCTCAACTTTTTTATAAACACAGAATCTCATTCTCAACTCCAGACCACCTGAATCTTAGAAAGTTGTCCAGGTGATTCCTACGCACACTAAAATTTGAGATTCTCAGATTTACTTACTTTCTAGATGTGGTGTTAGAACTGTGCAGTCTGCTGTCAGAGTGTGTTCTGATGAAATCCCTTAGCACTGAAGGTCCAGGGTTCAGTCCATGTCCTTTTTCTCTTCTATAGCCATCTTTCCCTTGGCGACTCATGCATGCTCTATGCTTTAAATATCATTAATATGGCATTAACTCCTAAATCTATTTTCCCAGCCCAGACATTTCTCCTGCATTTCCAACTTGCATATCCATCTGCCAACACAACAACCTCACTTGAATGTCTGACATCTGAGATTCAACATTTCCTAAATTGAATGCCTATAGTGCCCCCTCCTCAAATATGCCCCTTTCAGAATTTTCCCCATCTGTGCTGACAACAACTTCATTTTTCTACTTGCACAGTCTGAAATTTTGGGGTTCCTCTTTGACTCCTCTTTTTCATACCCCAGACTTAATCTATTAGGAAGTACTGTGAAGTCCATATTGAGAATGTGTCTGAAATCCAATCACTTCCCACTCTTTTCTCTGCTCACACCCCAGGCAAAGCAACCAGAGTTGCTAATCTGAAATACTGCACTAGTTTCCTACAGTTTTCCCACTTTCTCACTCACCCCTCATCTCTCAATTCTGTTCTCAGCATAGCAGCCAGGATGATCCTTTTAAAAGATGTGCCAAGTCTCTACTCTGCTGACAGCTGTTTGTGTCTCCCCCATCTCACTCAGAGCAAAGTCAGAACCCTTCCAGTATCCTCAAGCCTACATGATCTCCCCAAATCTCTGACCTTATATCAATGACTGCTGCAGCTATCTGAGCCCCCTCAACTCCTCCCACAACCCAGATGTGCTCCTGTTCTGGTGCCTTTGCACTGGGGGTTCCCCTGCCTGGAAAGAACCTGCCCCAGACGTCCTCATAGATAATTCATCTTTTCTCTTAAGGTCACATTCCCAGTGAGACCATAGACCACCCTAGTAAAACAGCCATCTTCCCTGTCCCCACACACCCACAATCTGGATCACCTGCCTCACACCCCTCAGCACCTTTTGACAGAAACACTTTCCTTATTTACTCTGCTTATAGTACATAGTCTGTGTTTTCCCACTAAAACATGTGCCCCTCAAGGCCAGCAATTTTTGCCTGTTTTTAGTTTCCAGATGTAAAACTAGCATTTCATACAGCCAGCACTCAACAAATATTGGCTAAATGAATGACCAGTGTACAGCACCTCCCTATTCTAGAAACAGTATCTTTATTAATGTAGCTGCAGACCACATGCTGTTTTGTGGCAGCTACAGTGAAACAACCACTCATGTTGACATCAATGCTGCCTGTACTTTTCTCACAAATGCTGTTCTCGCCTCCCTCCCACACCAATCCTCATATACCACAGCAGACAATTATAGTTCCCTTTTCAGAAAAAAAAAAATGATCCTAGGCTTATGGACCCTATTTTCCAACCAACTGTGAATTAAATTAGAGTCTAGACATCCATGAGTTTGGATTTGAGCCAGCACTAGGATTATTACAGCCAAAGGCAGGGAGAGAGGGTAGGTGAGCCAAAAATAAATTCCTGTTAGAAACCTAACAGGAGTTTATCTAAGGTGAGAAACCGAGATATGATCTCTAATTCCAGAATTTGATTTCCTGAAAAAGATTGGGGAAAAGATGCGAAGAATAGTCCAGGAAACAGCCCTGGAAGGACAAGAGCTGGGTGGGTCTAAAAATTGGTCTCTTGATACCACAGAGACTCCTGTGTGCAGGGGCCACCCCAGGGCTTGTGAGGACAATGACAGAAAAAGTAACTCCTACGGCTGTCCTAGAGGAGATTGGAGACTTGGAGACCAGAACTCAGATACAAGAAGAAGAACAGGCATAGTCTTCTGTCAAAACAAAACAATGAACAAGATGGGGGCTGAGGGCCAGACCTAAGCCTGAGCCTAGGCTGACCTGGTCACACAAAGCCCTTGCCACAGTCCTAGAGACAGGATAAGGCCTGGCCCTTCTCCTCCTATACCAAATGCTCTTTGTCACACATGCTCCCTTAATCCAGAGCTAGGAGTTACGTCATCGTTTCTCAAACGTTTTGGTTTCAGGATCTCTGCATGCTCTTAGGAATTAGTGAGGACTCTGAAGATAATTTTATGTGAGTTATATACGTTAATATTTACCATATTAGAAACTAAAATCACTTAAATTATTTTATTCATTTAGAATATTAATAATGCATTGCATGTTAGAAATATTTTTATGCAAAGTCAGTATTTCCCAAAGTAAACAGTATAGTGAGAAGAGTGCATCTTTTTACATTTTGTATGTTTGTAAATCCTTTTCTTATGTGTCTCATTAGAAGATTAATGAATTTTCTTCTCCTTCATTTAATCTGTTATTTTGGTTAATCTGTTATGTTTGGTTGAAGTGTATGAAAAAAAATCCATCCTCACACAATGATATTTTTGTTGCTGTTCTTGTTTTGGGTTTTGTTGGGGGGTTTTGTTTGTTTGTTTGTTTCTTTTGGTCTCATGCTATCACCCAGGCTTGAGTGTAGTGGTGTGATCATAGCACACGGCAGCCTCGAATTCCTGGGCTCAAGTGATCCTCCCAATTCAGCCTCATGAGCAGCTGTGACCACAGGCACGAAACACCACCGCAGCTAATTTTGTTTATTTTTTGTAGAGATGGGGGTCTCATTCGAACTCCTGGGTGGAACTCCTAGGCTCAAATGATTCTCCTGCCTTGGCCTCCCAAAATGCTGGGATTACAGGTATAAGTCACCTCGCTAGGCCAGGAATGTTTTTAATAACATTTTTAGAAAACTGGATATTCATCCTTGATACTACACTAAAATGATAGAAGTGTTAGCTTCTTAAAGGTTATTTGTAATGTGGAACATGAAACTATCAATAACTATTTCACATGCTGTTACATTAAAATATATAGGTCCGACTTCCACATTGAATGCTTCTTGTATAATACATGACTTTTAAAAAAAGAAACACAATTTCACCACATTATGTCTTCCAGTGTTGACACATTTAACTACAAGTTATCAAAAAATCACATTTTTTAATATTACCACAGATATTACCAGAAAAGATTGTTAAGTATTGGGAAGCCATCAGGCTTATGATGGTGGATACAAGTTCCCCAGGATTCTAATTTTCTCTTGAGAGCTTGCCTTTTATCATTGGGAATAATACCATCAGTTGATTATGTGGAAGGGACAGGGTTATGTTCGTTTTTGAGAAAGTGTCAGCCAAATATTCAAGTCTAAATGATAATCATTTCTGTCATTCATTCTTTCAAGTAAAAAGGATATTCCATAAAAAATAGACTAGTACAACTCACAAAATGATTTTGTGGACACAAACATTTTAATTTGTTTTTGTTTTCGTTTTAAGACAGGGTCTCGCTCTGTTACCCAGGCTGGAGTGCAGTGGCATGATTTTGGCTCACTGAAACCTCCACCTCCCGGGTTCAAGTGATTGTTGTGACTCAGTTTCCCTAGTAGCTGGGACTACAGGTGCGCACCACCATGCCTGGCTAATTTTGTATTTTTAGTAGAGACAGGGTTTCACCATGTTGGCCAAGCTGGTCTTGAACTCCTGACCTCAAATGATCCACCTGCCTAGGCCTCCCACAGTGCTAGAATTAATTGCAGGTGGGAGCCACTGCGCCTGGCCTCAAACATCCTAATTTGGAATGTAGTAGAAATACCTTATGCGTACTTCCCACTTACTCATTTAAGATATATTAAACTGTGGATTCTGGGATAGAGATTTAATAAAGTTAATAATTCTTTGATACTTCAACCACGACATATTTAAGTGAAACCTGTTTTTTCTTCTATAATTAAGAAGTGGTTAAGAATATAATAACTACTATTTCAGTTTGGTACCATAGCCTCCCTTCTTGTCAAGTTTTACTTTAGTACAAATAATGTCTTCATTGTATTATAAAAATACTTTTAACCTTGTGGATCTATGAAGGGGTTTCAGCAGCCCACAAGGGTTCCACAGATTGCACTTTGAGAAATCCTGTTCTGGGTAAGCTGTGGAGAGTTCTTGACTGGCCCCTTTGCCTCTTCATTTTCCCAAATTTTTCTCCCCGAGCAGGACTCCCTGCATCCCAAAACTTAGCTAGCGCTAAGTTTGCCTTGCCCTGGGCTCTTATAGAAGAGAACCTATCACCTGTAAATTGGATGCAGAGAGTGTCCTTAGTCTGGGAACAGAGGTGGCAAATGTGTTTCCATTTTGGAGCTGGGAATGGTTTGCGCCTAAAAGCACAAAATAGAGATTTCACTCCTGACCCACTTTGAATTTGCAATCTCTATGAGAAATAATATTGGCCCTTTCATTTCTGTTTTTTCCAAGATGGGGTCTCACAGTGTCACCCAAGCTAGAGTGCAGTGGCATGATAATGGCTCACTGTAGTGGCGAACTCTCGGGGGGCTCAAGCCATCCTCCCACCTCAGACTCTTAAGCTGTTGGAACTACAGGCACTTGCCAGCATGTCCAGCTAATTTTAAAAATTATATATTTTGTAGAGCTAATTTTAAAAAATATTTTGTAGAGATGGGATCTTGCTATGTTCCCCAGGCTGGTTTCAAACTTCTGAGCTCAAGCGATCCTCCTGCTTTGGCCTCCCAAAGTGCTGGGATTACAGGCGTAAGTCACCACAACCAGTCACCCTTTCATTTTAGATGTGTCTAATGCACTTGACTTGAGGCCCACATAGCACCAAGAGCAGTTATCTTAATCCATCAGGTTGCTATAACAAAAATACCCTAGATTAGGTGGCTTATAAACAAAAGAAAGATATTTCTCACAGTGCTGGAGGCTGGGAGGTCCAATATCAAGGTGTCAGCTAACTCTGTGTCTGGTGAGGGCCTGCTTCTTCATAGCTGTCCTCTCACTGCATCCTCCCATGGCAGAAGGGCCAAGACAGCTTTCTAGAATCTCTTTTATAAGGGTACAAGTTCAATTCATGGGAGTTCTGACCTCATGACATAATCACTTCCTCTAAAACAAACCCACTTCCAAATATCATCTCACTGGGGATTAGGTTTTATTTTGGGAGGAGCATAAAAATCTCTATAGCAGTAGTGCTGTTCAATAGAACATTCTGTGATGATGAAATTGATCTATATCTGCACTGTCCAATATGGGAGCCACTAGTTACATGTGGTTATTGAGCACTTGGAATGTGGCTAGTGTGATAAAGAGTTGATTTTTTAAAAGTTTTATTCAATTAATTGAAATATAAATAGCCATGTGTAGCTAGTAGTTACCATTTTTGATAGTGCTTATCTAGAGTGCTCTTAGTTTTCAATCTCCCCCACAAAAAAAGATACCTTGTGACTCCCAGATTGAAATACATTAAAATTACCTTCACATAGAACCCATGGATTTGGCTATGTGGGTCTTAGACATATCCCTAAAATACAGCAGGCCCAAGAAAGTTCAATATGTATTTTAACAATTAGAGTGTACGTATAGATTACCAAAACATGATTTATCAACTCAAGGTCATACATTTTCAAAAATGCTTATCACCAGAGCTAATCCTTGTCAATATTTCATTGAGACTCTTGGTGTTACTGTTTTCTATAACCTGGTGAACACAAGGAGGTATATAAGTCATTACTTAGCCCAAGAGAAAGTATTTATTGAAGTTGCCATATAAAATATCTTATAGGCTTTGTAGACATATTTTAAAATTATAAGCAAATGATTTAAACTTTTTCATTTTTGAGATAGAGTCTTATTCTGCCACCCAGGCTGGATTGCAGTTGGGCAATCATGGCTCACTGCAACCTCCGCCTCCCAGGTTCAGGTGATTCTTCCACCTCAGCCTCCCAAGTAGCTGGGCCTACAGGCACACACCACCACACCTGGCTAGTTTTTGTATTTTTTGGTGAATACACCATGTTGGCCAGGCTGGTCTTGAACTCCTGACCTCGAGTGATCTGCCTACCTTGCCCTCCAAAAGTGCTAGGATTACAGGCGTGAGCCACCACACCTGACCAGGTTTTAAATGTTAAAACTCCACCTTAGAACTCTTTGCTTCTTGCTCATTCCCCCCAGCTTTCTCCCCAAATCAAACATATCTGTGTGTTTCTCTTCACTCTGGGACTTCCCTCTCTTCATATCATCTGTACCTAGATGAAAATAGATGTTAAGTTTTACAATTGTGAGGTAGAAAAGGATTCTGTAAGCATGACCCAAATATGAAAAGCCATAAATAAAAAAATAAAACTTCTCTATGTCAACCACAGACTCACAAATATACAAACATATGCCTGTGATCAAATTCAAAGACACATAAATAATTGGAAAGACAAAAGGTAGCATATTTCAATGTCTTTCAGCCAAAGACCACCAGGAACATCTATAGCTGAACAACTGGGGTTTATTACTCATTGTCACAAGAGAGAATGCACACCATCTTAGCGTGAGGATATTAGAAAAAATGCAATATAGGATTTGGTCTTTTAGTGGATGTTTTTGGGGAGAGCTAATGAGGTAGGGGTTGACTGTAGATGGGGTGTTGTCAAAAAGCAGGAACATTTCTACGACTGTCTCAATAAATCTTACCCATAATAAATGCAGAGCAGAGCAAGGATAAAGTTGTGGCTGGTAAAGAAACAGCCGTCACTCATATTAGCCAGCAGGGGGAGAGGTTTGGTATTTTGTGAGGTACACAGTGCCTTGGTTTTTGTCTGTGCTTATACTAAATTATGTAGTGCCCCTGTTTTGTCTTGTTTTATCATGTTCCCAGAGTGTCCTTGTCTGATGTTGTGTAATATGGTTTATGTCCAAGAAAAGAATAATATGGCCTAGTGTTGAGCAGTAGGACAGCTTCTAACAGTACTGAAACCTACTGTCAGTGTCAGAAGTCAAGAGCTGCTTTTTTTCTTAGTCAAATTCAACATTTTTAAGTCATCCCAATAGAAAAATAATAATATTAGAAAGCAATATGGGAAAGAATAAATCAAATATCAGACAATATACTCTGATTAATGAATATGAGGAAAAATGAGAACATGACATTAGAAATGCGAATGAAAATTAAAATCTGTCAGTTTGGCATATGTGAAAGTAAATGATAAGCATATTATCCAGAGGTAGGGAAAATACACTGTCATGAAGGCTGATGAAAAACGGGTATACTTTGGGAGGCCGAGGCAGGTGGATCACGAGGTCAGGAGATCAAGACCATCCTGGCTAACACGGTGAAACCCGTCTCTACTAAAAATATTAAAAAAAAATTAGCTGGGCGTGGTGGCAGGCGCCTGTAGTCCCAGCTACTTGGGAGGCTGAGGCAGGAGAATGGTGTGAACCCAGGAGGCGGAGCTTACAGTGAGCCGAGATCGTGCCACCGCACTCCAGCCTGGGAAACAGAGCAAGACTCTGTCTCAAAAACAAAACAAAACAAAACAACAACAAAAAACACTGGGGTATAAATTTCTAGAGGGGACTTTTGCGAAACATGTTAACAATATAAATGGACTTACATTTCAATGCATATATTTCTCTTTCAAGAATTTTTCCTAAGAAGATAACTGCACACATTCTAAAAAATATATGTTCAAGGATGTTTCTTGAATTTTGGTTTATAAAAGCAAAATGATTGAAACAATCCAAATGCTGTAATCAATATAGGGATAGTAGCTATGAGTAGCAGAACACTTAATATACCTCAAGGTATAATACCATGTGTTTTACTGAGAGAGTCAAATTTGATCTTCAATGCAAACCCATGAGAAGCCCGATATGTGATATCTTTGTATAGACAGGGAAAGGGAGACTCAGAGAGGTTAAGCAGGTGGTGGGGGTGGAGTGGACCCAGGGAATTTTCTCTTAATGGAATCATCTTTCACTGATTCCCTGTCCATCTGGTGGTGGATATGACGCTGTATCCCATGCCAGTGAACTCTTTCAATGTCCCTGAATGTTCTATGACAGGAGGTCATGAGATACAGTGCTCAGGAGAACATCAAGGGGCAATTGATCAAGGAAGTCTGATTTCCCTGCCTAACCACACTTATATTTCCTCATTCAGCATGTATTTCAAGTCCTCTGATGAATCATGTGATCTACTAGACCCTGAAGATACAGTGAAGAGCAAAAGTAAGATGCTGGCAATTTGATGTTTGCACTGTCATGAAGGAGATGCACATTTAGCAGAACTTACAAAGAGAAATATAAAATTACTGCTGAGCTAAGTGTGGTGAAGAAAAGTTCATGGTACCATGAAAGCAGATAACCAGGAGATCTAACAGGTCCACTACCACTATTCTCAATAATACCTAAAAGAAATAATAAGATATGGCATTTATAAATGATGAATAGGATTTTATAAAATTATATACAATCAGAGAACCAAAAAGCACTCTTGGAAATCAAAAAGTGATCATTTAAATAAGTATTTCAATAGATCACTTGGAAGAGTAAATTTGTACTACCACTAAATATTAAAAATGGAAAAACAATGTCAAGAAAGACAGAAAAACTATACGAATACTAGGCTATCAGTCAAGGATTTCCTGCAACTTAATAATACAAATTCTAAAAGAATGGAAAGATAGAAATTATTTAAAATAAAAAAATTTCTCCAAGTTTACAGACAAAAATTTAACTTGTAATGGCCCCAACCAAGTTCTTACTATAGTAGATGAAAACAGACCCACACCAAGACACATCACAATGAAATTTTAGAAGGTGGGTGGAAAAGAAGAAATCCCAAAAACATCAAAAGGCAAGAAAAACAACATTAGAAGCTAAAAAATGTTGATGGAATGTCATGGAAATTCCTAGGAAAAATGTTTTCAATACAGAATTCCATACCAAGTCCAGGTTGGAATAAGTGCTAGGGTAGCCCGAAGACATTTTCAGAAGCTTAGGCTTTCAGATTTTACTTTCCATGTTCCCTTAGGAACACGGATGAAATGAGAAACAAAAACGATGGAGAAAACCAAAAAAGGGGACACATGGGATCCAGGCAATAGGAGAGCCAGCATAAGAGAGAGGCAGAGGGATGCCCAGGATGAGGTGAAGACGATCTTGGAAATCAGCCCAGATGTGCATGCACCAGTCCACGTGTGGCAGGACCAAGGGAAGTGTCTTCACAAAGATGAGGTTGGTAGAACACGGGGCATGGTTGAATATATTCATGGAGACTGTCTTAGTTCATTTATGCTGCTATAACAGAATGCCATAGTCTGGGTCAGTTATGAAGAACAGAAATTTGTTTTCTCAGTTGTGAGGCTAGGAATCCAAGATCAAGCCACCAGCATTTGGCAAGAGCCTTCTTGCTGTGTCTTCACATGGCAAGTGGGTCAAGGGCAAGAGAGAGGACAATATTATTATTATGGGCTCACTCCCATAATAATGATATTAATTTGTTCATGAGGGCTCTGCGCTCATGACTCAGACAGCTTCTATTAGGCCTTACTTTCCAATATCACTGCATTGGAGATCAAGTTTCCAACACATGAACTTTGGGGAACACATTCAAACTATAGCAGAGGCCTTGGAGGGAAATTTGGAAGAGATTTTATAATGAGTACAACAGAAATTAAGCACATGAAGGGATAAAACATTTATTAATTCCAGGGAAATTAAAAAGTCAATTCCAGGAAGGAAAATAATCCTTGTGAATAGCATTTCCTAATCTAATTGTGAACAGCATTTCCTAATCTAATTGTGAATAGCATTTCCTAGTCTAGCTGTGAATAGCATTTCTGTGGTCATAATAATATAAATAGTGAACACCCAGCTAACCAAAATTATAAAATAACTATATTGAGAGGAGAGGGGTATATGAAAGGGAGCTATACACTAAGGATGATACATAAGAGTGAAAAACAAAACGGCACTATAACACACTATTTGGAGGCACAGATGTAACGATCAAAAAATTAGGCAGAATAAAGTAGATTGCCTCTAGGATTCAGGAAATGGTGTACATGAAAGATTGGGGACATCTGTGTTCATAACAAGCCTTGTAGAAGTATTTGGCTTTTGAAACACTGTCCATAAATCCATTTGATATATTAAAAACATCATGAGACAATTGACTAAGGAATTATTCTATAAGGAGTGTCAGAGAAATGGGGCGGTAATTGGAGGGAGACATGGAATCAGGCAATGGATTTATTTATTTTATTTTTAATTGTTTTGCTTCCACTTAAATTGCATGTTTTATTTCTCCCAATCCCAGCAATAGCACAGAAGCCCCATCATATCCATCCCAAACTGGTTTCGAGTAGGTTAAGGTTATTGGGACCCTTGTCGGAACATTGATACAAAGAGCTCCCAAACACCGGGCACAAATGTGTCTGCAAACAGATGGAAGTAAACAGTGCACTGGCCCAAATGCTTCATGAGTCAGTTTGATTTTGCAATGCAATTTTCATCCTTGAAACGGCCAGTCTGGAGGGGGAAGGGGTAGCGTGAGGGAGTGAAGTTGAAATTGCCTCCTATTAGCTCACTCTTTCATCATTAAACAGAGACCAAGAGAGAAATGGTTCCAACATTTCACCACATATATTTCTTCTTATGCAGTCTAAGCTGAGAATGCCATGTAAATGGGTCACTGCAAAATGTAGCAATTTAATTTCTCTCCAATCAAAATAAGAAAGCAGTACGATCTCACTTCTATTAACTTTTGAAGGTTTACAGCAGTTAAAGTATTTTTGCTTATTTGTATAAAGGTTAAAAAAATCATTTTTTAAATAAAATACAAGAGCAGCCAATTTCACCATCGAGTAAAAGTAAAAACTGGGATTCTTTTTTAAATTAGTCCAAAGTGGCATTTAGGAACTTAGTTGTAGGCTGCTACGCTGACACCGTGACAAACCAAAGTGTAGGGTTGGGTCTGGTTTTGTTTCTGTTTTCTTTTCAATATCCAGTGCTCATGGATTAAGTTCTGGAAATGTTCCAATTGTAAGGCAGGGATCTGTTTGGATTCCATCATGAGTATGCTCCTTGGGTTGGATGCTGGAGAGTGAGGCATGTTTTGCCGGACCCATGTCGACTACCTAGTAGTCATCAAGGTAAAAAAATTCATCGTCTCCTCCTTGGTATTCCATTCTTTGGAAATCCACCTGGTACCACAAGAGACCTCCAATTCTACCAAATCCTTTCACAAACTGAGACCCTTCTTGTGATTTATATGTGACAATTTCCAATGTAGCTCCGACTTTTTTATAGTTGTTAGCAAACCATTTCAACAGGGGCATGCTCTTGATAAGCGCATGTTCCTGCCTGGTCTCTTTGTCTGTGAAATGAGATTTATCCTTTTCTTGCTCTGGAGTTAGAGAATTTTCTCCTCTTTTGTGCCTTGGCAATGAAGAACATATCTCATTATATTCAGATTTTCATAGGCTATTAGAATTTCTACAGCTCCCATTTCCAAAGCCTTTAGTGTATCTTCAACACCAAAACAGTACCTGCCTGTGTCCTGGCTGATTTCATCAATGTATCCCTACTAATTTCTTCTTTTGAATAAATTTCACTTTGGAGAGGACTTCAGTAGATAGCCCAACAGCTTGGTTGAATCCATTTTCACCACCATAGGATATATCAACTAATTTCTTTTTTTTGAGACTGAGTCTTGCCGTGTTGCCCAGGCGGGAGTGCAGTGGTGTGATCTGGGCTCGCTGCAAGCTCCGCCTCCCAGGTTCACGCCATTCTCCTGCCTCAGCCTCCCAAGTAGCTGGGACCACAGGCACCCGCCACCACGCCCAGCTAATTTTGTTTTTGTATTTTTAGTAGACACAGGGTTTCACCGTGTTAGCCAGGATGGTCTCGATCTCCTGACCTCGTGATCCGCCCGCCTTGGCCTCCCAAAGTGCTGGGATTACAGGCATGAGCCACCACGCCCGGCCTATCAACTAATTTTAAAACTTTCGATTGTAACCGCTGATCAAACGTATCAGATTGACTTAGTTCAGTTTTAAAGTCAGCGGATCCAGCTAAAACTAGACCAGCCACCTTCCCTTTGTCCCCAGAAATAAACAGCTGCACAGCAGTCTCTGCTACTTTCTGAACATTGTTAGGTCACTTTTCCATTCTTAAACAGGCAAAACGCAAGGCTGACTGACCTTTACCGTGTTTCTTTGGGAGATCCACAGTGAGTTTTTGCAGGACTTCTCTTGTGTTTCCTTGGAGGGTGCCAAAAAGTGCACCACTACCATCTATTACGATGAATCCAGACTTGCTTTCATCTGAAAGTAGTGCTGTAAGAGCTTCTGTATGGAATTTGTTGTCACACAAATACAATGATGTATTAATTGGTTTGAAATGTTCAAAATCAATGTTAACTTTCTTGTGCACATTTATAAGTAGATAGGCAAAATGAAGGAAAATTCAGAACTGAAATGGTCATTATTTTTAAAAACCAGCAATTATAGAGTTAACATGTAGAAGTTCTCTCTCTCTCTCTCTTTTTTTTTCTGCCTACTTTGAACATGATGACATTTCTACAGGTGTTGAGATAAAACTCACTGCTTATGGCATTTCAGTCAAGGAAAGAAAACAGCCTTAAAGGCTTTGAAATTAATGGCTTTACAGATTACAATAGCTCCATGGTAATCAACCACCTAGACACCTTTTTTTTTTTTTTTTGAGATGGGGTCTCACTCTGTCCCCCAGGCTAGAGTACAGTGGCCTGATCTGGGCTCACTGCAAGCGCCGCCTCCCGGGTTCACGCCATTCTCCTGCCTCAGCTTCCTGAGTAGCTGGGACTACAGGTGCCCGCCACCACACCCGGCTAATTTTTTGTATTTTTGATAGAGACGGGGTTTCACCGTGTTAGCCAGGATGGTCTCAATCTCCTGACCTTGTGATCTGCCTGCCTCGGCCTCCCAAAGTGCTGGGATTACAGGCGTGAACCACCGCACCTGGCTGACACCTTTTATAAATATAAATTTAGGTTTCCCTAACAATTGTGTACAATAATGAAACACTTAATTGAAAAATTAGTAACATAAAAGAAAAAAAAATAAATGTTTATAAAAGTTAGGCTCTCAGACCAAATAGGTCAAAATCTTGATCTCAGAGCAATAATAGAAGGTATCCCTGTTCAACAGAAAAATTTTGTTTTTTGTGCCATGCAAAAGCCAAAAAGAAAAAGGTGAAGAAAAAAAAACAGCTAAAATTCTTCCCTCCCCACATTTGCTAATTAAGCAAACAAGACTGGTAAACAAAAGATTGATTTGTTACTAATTCAAGGCTACTTGGAGATATTTTGCTTATACAATTCAGTTAAAAAGAAACCCATAACTCACTTGAAACAACAACAACAAAAAAGGTGGGGGCAATGAAAGAAGTTTTTTTTTTTTTTTTTTTTTTTTTTTTTTTTGAGACGGAGTCTCGCTCTGTCGCCCAGGCCGTACTGCGGACTGCAGTGGCGCAATCTCGGCTCACTGCAAGCTCCGCTTCCCGGGTTCACGCCATTCTCCTGCCTCAGCCTCCCGAGTAGCTGGGACTACAGGCGCCCGCCACCGCGCCCGGCTAATTTTTTGTATTTTTAGTAGAGACGGGGTTTCACCTTGTTAGCCAGGATGGTCTCGATCTCCTGACCTTGTGATCTGCCTGCCTCGGCCTCCCAAAGTGCTGGGATTACAGGCGTGAACCACCGCACCTGGCTGACACCTTTTATAAATATAAATTTAGGTTTCCCTAACAATTGTGTACAGTAATGAAACACTTAATTGAAAAATTAGTAACATAAAAGAAAAAAAAAATAAATGTTTATAAAAGTTAGGCTCTCAGACCAAATAGGTCAAAATCTTGATCTCAGAGCAATAATAGAAGGTATCCCTGTTCAACAGAAAAATTTTGTTTTTTGTGCCATGCAAAAGCCAAAAAGAAAAAGGTGAAGAAAAAAAAACAGCTAAAATTCTTCCCTCCCCACATTTGCTAATTAAGCAAACAAGACTGGTAAACAAAAGATTGATTTGTTACTAATTCAAGGCTACTTGGAGATATTTTGCTTATACAATTCAGTTAAAAAGAAACCCATAACTCACTTGAAACAACAACAACAAAAAAGGTGGGGGCAATGAAAGAAGTTTTTTTTTTTTTTTTTTTTTTTTTTTTTTTGAGACGGAGTCTCGCTCTGTCGCCCAGGCCGTACTGCGGACTGCAGTGGCGCAATCTCGGCTCACTGCAAGCTCCGCTTCCCGGGTTCACGCCATTCTCCTGCCTCAGCCTCCCGAGTAGCTGGGACTACAGGCGCCCGCCACCGCGCCCGGCTAATTTTTTGTATTTTTAGTAGAGACGGGGTTTCATCTTGTTAGCCAGGATGGTCTCGATCTCCTGACCTGATGATCCACCCGCCTCGGCCTCCCAAAGTGCTGGGATTACAGGCGTGAGCCACCGCGCCCGGCCCGAAAGAAGTTTTTTTAAAAAATCTAACTGCCACGGAAAGTGCTTTACCCAAAATTTTGGTCCATAGCTCTCATTAGATTATAAAGGCAACTGAAGTTTAACCTGGACACATAAAATATACCAAGAATGAACCAAGAAGAAATTAAAAACCTGAGCATACCAATAATGAGTAATGAGCTTGAATCAGGAATAAAAAGTCTCCCAACAAAGAAAAGCCCAGTACTGGATGCCTTCATTGTTCAGTTCCACCAAACATTTAAAGAGAGACTGACACCAATTCATCTGAAACTATTCCAAAAAATTGAAGGGGGAAGGAGTTCTTTCAAATTTATTCTAGGAAGCAAGCATTACCTTGTTATCAAAACCAGGGAAGGATACAACAACAAAAAACTACACGCTGATAAACACAGATGCAAAAATTAACAAAATAGTAGCAAACTAAATCCACAACACATCAAAAAGATTATATGCCATGATCAAATGGGATTTGTTCCAGGGATGCAAGAATGGTTACATATCTGCAAATCAATAAACGTGATAGATCATATCAACAGAATGAAGGACAAAAATAAAATGATCATCTCTAGATGCAGAAAAAGCATTTGGTAAAATTCAACATCACTTCATGATTAAAAACTCTCAACCAACTAGGTATAGATGAAATGTACCTAAATACAATAAAGGCTGCATATGACAATTCGATAGTTGACAACATACATAATGGAAAAAAAGTTGAAAGATTTCCCTCTAAGAATTGGAACAAGATAAGGATGCCTGCTTTTACCAAATTTAACATAGTACTAGACTGATTCCTATGGAAATGGATAGAAAATTTTAAAAGATTACAGCAATGACAACAACAAAAACACATAGTACTGGTCCGACCCAGAGCAATTAGGCAAGAGAAGGAAATAAAAGGCATCCAAATTGGAAAAGAGGAAGTCAAATTGTTGCTGTTTGCAGATGACATAATCTTATTTATACACAAACCTAAAGACTCCATCAAAAAACTCTCAGAACTGATAAACAAATTTAGTAAATTTACAGAATATAAAATCAACATAAAAAAACTGTAGACTTTCCATACAAATCAATAAACATGATAGAGCATATTAGTGGAATGAAAGACAAAACTAATATTATCATCTCTATAGCTGCAGAAAAAGCATTTGATAAAATTCAATATCACTTCATGATAAAAACTTCCAACCAATTAGGTATAGATGGAATGTACCTAAACACAATAAAGGCCATAGAGGCAAACTCAAAATGATGAAAAATCAAGAAAGAAATCTCATTCACAGTAACTATAAAAAAGCATGGGAATAAATTTAACCAAGTATGTAATGAAAACTATAAAATACTAATGAAACAAATAGAAAAGGACACAAAAAATTGAAAGATATTCCATTATCATGGATTGGGAGAATTAATATTGTTAAAGTGACCATACTACCCAAACCAATCTACAGATTCAATGCAATACCTATCAAAATACCAATGTCATTCTTTATAGAAATAGAAAAAGAAATCTTAAAATTTGTATGGAACCACAAAAGACCCTGAATAGCTAAAACAATCTTGAGCAAAAAGAACAAAGCTGGAAGTATCACAGTACCTGACTTCAAAATATACAGCTATAGTAACCAAAATGGCAAGCAAGGTATTGGCATAAAAACGGACACATAAACCAATGAGACAGAATAGAGAACCCCGAAATAAATCCATATATTTACAGTTAATTTCTTTTTTCTTTTTTTTTTATTTGAGACGGAGTCTCGCTCTGTCACCCAGGCTGGAGTGCAGTGGTGCGATCTCGGCTCACTGCAACCTCCACCTACTGAGTTCAGGCGATTCTCCTGCCTCAGCCTGGAATGACAGTCGTGTGCCATCACGCCTGGCTAATTTTTGTATTTTAGTAGAGACGGGGTTTCACCATGTTGGTCAGGCTGGTCTCAAACTCCTGACCTCGTGATCCGTCTGCCTCAGCCTCCCAAAGTGCTGGGATTACAGGCGTGAGCCACCGTGCCCAGCCACTCAATTTATTTTTAACAAAATCACCAAGAACATATACTGAGGAAAGGGCAGTTTCTTCAATAAATGATGCTGGGGAAACTGGATATCCATATTAGGAAGTATGAAACTAGACTGCTATCTCTCACCATTCACAAAAATCAACTGAAAATGAGTTAAGGACTTAAATGCAAGACCCAAAACTATGAACCTACTGGGAGAAAACATACAGAAAACACTTTAGAGTGTTGGACGCAGGAAAGATTTTGTGATTAAGACCTTGAAAGCACAGGCAAGAGAAGCAAAAATGTATGAATGGGACTACATCAAACTAAAAATTTCCTGTACAGCAATGAAAACAATCAACAGAGATAAAACAGCAACTTAGAGAATGAAAGTATTTGCAAAGTATTCATCTGATAAGGGATTAATAGCTAGAATTTACAAGAAACTCAAACAACAGCAAAATAATAATAGTATCATTTTAAAAGGAGCAAATGTGCACCCATCACCCACGCAGTACACACTGCACCCAAATTGTAGCTTTTTGTCCCTCACCTTCTTCCCTCCCTTTCCCCGAGTCCCCAGAGTCCATTGTGTCATTCTTATGCCTTTGTATCCTCATAGTTTTGCTCCCACTTAAGAGTGAGAACATACGATGTTTGGTTTTCCATTCCTGAGTTACTTCACTTGGAATAATAATCTTCAATCGCATCCAGGTTGCTGTGAATGCCATTAATTCATTCCTTTTTGTGGCTGAGTAGTTTCTTTATCCACTCATTGATTGATGGGCATTTGGGTTGGTTCCACATTTTTGCAATTGTGAATTGTGCTGCTATAAACGTGTGTGCAAGTATCTTTTTCATATAATGACTTATTTTCCTCTGGGCAGATACCCATTGTGGGATTGTGGGATTGCTGGATCAAATGGTAGTTCAACTTTTAGTTCTCTAAAAAAATCTCCACCTTGTTTTCCATAGTGGTTGTACTAGTTTACATTCCTATCAGCAGTGTAGAAGTGTTCTCTGTTCAGGCCAGGCACGGTGGCTCCAGCCTGTAATCCCAGCACTTTGGGAGGCCGAGGAGGCTGGATCACGAGGTCAGGAGATCGAGACCATCCTGGCTAACACAGTGACGCCTGTAGTCCCAGCTACTCGGGAGGCTGAGGCAGGAGAATGGTGTGAACCTGGGAGGCGGAGCTTGCAGTGAGCCGAGATTGCGCCACTGCACTCCAGCCTGGGCTACAGAGCCAGACTCCGTCTCAAAAAAAAAAAAAAAAAAAAAAAAAAAGAAGTGTTCCCTGTTCACCACATCCATGCCAACATCTATTATTTTTTGATTTTTTGATTATGGCCATTCTTGCAGATATAAGGTGGTATCACATTGGCGTTTTGATTTACGTTTCCCTGATCATTAGTGATGTTGAGCATTTTTTCATATGTTTGTTGGCCAGCTGTATATCTTCTTTTGAGAATTGTCTACTCATGTCCTTAGCCCGCTTTTTGATGAGATTGTTTGTTCTTTTTCTTGCTAATTTGTATGAGTTTGTTGTAGATTCTGGATATTAGTCCTTTGTCAGATGCATAGATTGTGAAGATTTTCTCCCACTCTGTGGGTTGTCTGTTTACTCTGCTGACTGTTCTTTTGCCGTGCAAACACTCTTTAGTTTCATTGGGTCCCAGCTATTTATCTTTGTTTTTGTTGCATTTTGCTTTTGGGTTCTTGGTCATGAAATCCTTGCCTAAGCCAATGTCTAGGAGGTTTTTTTCAATATTATCTTCTAGAATTTGTATAGTTTCAGGTCTTAGTTTTAAGTGCTTGATCCATCTTGGTTGATTTTTGTATAAGGTGAGAGTTGAGGATCCAGTTTCATTCTCCTACATGTGGCTAGCCAATTATCCCAGCACCATTTGTTCAATAAGGTGTCCTTTCCCCACTTGATGTTTTTGTTTGCTTTGTCGAAGAACAATTGGCTGTAAGTATTTGGGTTCATTTCTGGGTTCTCTATTTTGTTCCATTGGTCTATGGGCCCATTTTCATACCAGTACCATGCTGTTTTGGTGACTTTGGCCTTATAGTATAGTTTGAAATCAGGTAATGTGATGCCTCAAGATTTGTTCTTTTTGCTTAGTCTCGCTTTTGCTATGCAGGCTTTTTTTGGGTTTTATATGAATTTTAAGATTTTTTTTCTAGTTCTGTGAAGAATGTTCGTGGTATTTTGATGAGAATTGCATTGAATTTATAGATTTCTTTTGGTAGTATGGTAATTTTCACAATATTGATTCTACCCATCCGTGAGCATGGGATGTGTTTCCATTTGCTTGTGTCATCTGTGATTTCTTTCAGCAGAGTTTTGTAGTTTTCCTTGTAGAGGTCTTTCACCTCCTTAGGCTAGGTATATTTCTAAGTTTGTTTTTTTTTTTTTTTTTTTTACAGCTGTCGTAAAAGGGATTGAGTTCTTGATTTGATTCTCAGCCTGGTCACTGTTGGAGTATAGGAGAGCTACTGATTTGTGTACATTAATTTTGTATCCAGAAATATTGCAGAATTTTTGTATCAGTTTTAGGAGCTTTTTGGAGGAGTCTTTAGAGTTTCCTAGGTATACAATCATATCAGCAAACAGTGACAGTTTGGCTTCCTCTTTACCGATTTGGATGACCTTTATTTCTTTCCCTTGTCTGACTGCTCTGGCTAGGACTTTCAGGACTGTGTTGAAGAGAAGTGGTGAGAGTGGGCATCATTGTCTTGTTCCAGTTCTCAGAGGGAATGCTTTCAGCTTTTCCCCACTCAGTATTATGTTGGCTGTGGGTTTCTCATAGATGGCTTTGATTACATTGAGGTATGTTCCTTGTATGCCGATTTTGCTGAGAGCTTTAATCATAAAGGATGCCAGATTTTGTTGAATGTTTTTTTTGCATCTATTGAGATGATCATGTGATTTTTGTTTTTAATTCTGTTTATGTGGTGTGTCACATTTATTGACTTGAGTGTGTTCAACCATCCCTTCTTCCCTGGTATGAAACCCACTTGATTGTGGTGGATTATCTTTTTGATATGATTTTGAATGTTTCCATCACAAAGAAATGGTAAACGTTTGATGTGATGCATAGGCTAAATACCCTTATTTGCTTATTACACATTGTATACATGTATCAAAATATCACACTGTACTATATCAATATGTATAATTATGTCAATTAAAATAAATAAAAATAGTAGCCATGACTTTAAATAACTTAAGAAATAATATAATGGACCAGGGGATGAGGAAATAACATGACCCAGCCCTGACCAATCAGAGTTTCCCACACTGTACCACATCTCCATAACAACAGGTATTGGTCCAAAGGTCATCTTCTCTGGTTCTTTATTTATGAACATTGTGAGAAAGATGTCTATTTTTCTGCTGAAGCTGTTAAGGTAGAATAATATGAGAGGAGTTGGAGCTGATAAGCTGATATTGGCTATCTTCTTTAGAAGTACAGAGAGATCTGATGACAAATGTATCTCCGAATCTAATCATGTCTCTAGGCAGCCTCACCCCTGGCCTTTCCAGATAAATTTACATGTTGAATCTTTTCTTTAAAATTATTAACTTGTGACTAAAAAGGTCTTGCTTCTATAACACAAATATTATTTGTTTTTAAGTGAAGGCCAAACAGATTTTAATGTTCTCTCCATCAGTGAGCTATAATTACTAGAAGTATAGTCCTGGACATATCACTTATATTAACCTTTCTCATTCCCAGTGTTACATCTGAATCTTGAAGACATAAAATGAGCTTTGACCTAGTATAAGGATTAGGAGGTAGAATAAATGTAAAGTACCAGGACCTGACACTTGGAAAGTTTTTTTAAACGTCTCAGCTCTTTTCATCATTTGTAAGCTGCACTATTAATTTATTAACAGTTTTTGAGGGAAAACTTAAATCTGCATTAAACATTTGCAGTGTTTTTGGCTGATTGGCATACTTATATTTATCCTTTCAATTATGTAATATTTTCCCATCCATAGCCAAATTTTAAGACTTACATTTTTGAGAAATATAGAGTCAAAAGCATTTTCTGACTTGACTTAGGCCACAGGTTACTCTGCACAGCATCACTGAGACACACCTATCTGTAAAGCTTTTCATATACATAATCTCCAAGACATATAATGCTGTATGGAGACACTTGAATTTCCACAAAGATGCTGGACATTTCATCAGGACCTTATGGCGCTGGAGGCAGATAAGATCTTTCAGAATCAAATTAGCACCCCTTGGCCTGAAGCCTCACATGCTGAGATACAGAGTTCCTAGGGTCCCTCCTGAATATGGTCTTCAAGATGAAGAGAAAATGTCAGGCTATGAGATTCAAAAGAGAGGAGTCAGAGAAACACCTCCCCTGGAATCAGGACCAATTTTAGTTTTGAGATTTAGTCAAAGAAAGATATAGAAGCTAAATATAGGGCCACAATTTGAAGACATAAGAAAGGTAAGATTTCACAGTGTTAGTGCTGAGATGGGGCCAGTTGTACAATATGATCCCAGAATCTCAGTGCTGACATCATTCCAAGTTTAATCTTCCAATTCTCCAACTCAGAATGTCATATTTTCCTCCTTCACTCCCACGTCACCTCCTGTAGGGCACTTCTGCATGGCGTGCAAAGAATCTCCCTTGATGGCTATTTTCTGTGCTTGCCCCTGGAGTCTTCTCTGTGTTGCACCTGTGATCACACTGTTCTATAACCAGGTTCTTCCCCCAGAGGACTGAGGGCTCCCTCCATGTATCTCCAGTACTTAGCACAAGATGAGTTTTATTGCATACTTTACTTCATTTTTATCATATATTATTTAAAAATGGTTCTACAAAGCTTATAGTGAAAACTCTTAACTTTTCAGAGACAGGAATTTTTCCCTGTCCCACATCTCCTAATCTGAAAATTTCTGTTTTGTAGAAGCGGCCACTTTTTGTTCTTCAAAAAATTAAACATAGAATTGACATATGATCCAGCAATTCCTCTTCTGGGTACAGACCCAAAAGAAGTTAAAGCAGAGACCAAGCAGATATTTGTACATCATGTTTATAACAACATTATTCACAACTGCCAAAAGGTAGAAGCAACAGAGTATACATCCATCAATGGATGAACAAAGTATGGTAGATCCATACAGTGGAATATTTTTCAGAAGAAGGAAGGAAATTATTTTCCTGTATTATGTATGAACCTTGAAGACATGAAGCTAGATTAAATAAATCAGACTGAAAAGGAAAAATATTGTATGAATCCACTTACATGATTCACCTAGTTTAGTAAGATTCATAGACAGAATGTAGAATGGAGGTTATCAGGGGCTGGGGAGGAGGAGAGAGTGAGGAGATGTTGCTTAATAGACCTAGCATTTAGTTTGGGAAGATGAAAAAGTTCTGGAGATGGAGGGTGGTGATGGTTACACAGCATGAATATACTTAATGTCATAGAACTATACACTTAAAAATGGCAAAATGGTAAATTTTATTATATATTTTTTTAACCATAATTTAAAAAAGCAGCTACTCTAGTGCTTTAAATAGCTTCTTCTTATCCTTATCTCCATATTTCTTTATTTCTTGTTCAAACTTTTTTTATTTTTTATTTTTGGAGACAAGGTTTCTCTCTGTCACCTAGACTGGAGTACAATGACATCATGGCTCACTGCAGCCTTGGCCTTCTGGGCTCAAGTGATCCTCTCACCTCAGCCTCCTGAGTAGCTAGGACTACAGGTGCAAGCCCACCACACCTGGCTAATTCTTCTGTTTTTTGGTAGAGATGGGGTCTCACTACATTGCCCAGGCTGGTCTTGAACTCTTGGCCTCCCAAAGTGCTGGGATTATAGGTTTGAGCCACTGTGCCCAGCCTCAAACTTTCCATTATAGAAAACTTCAAATACACAAAAACAGAATTATATAATGAATTCTCATTATCCATCATCACATTCAATAATTACTAACATTTGTCCATCATATTTCATATGTTTCCACTTTTTTCCAGGAGAATTTTAAAAAATAGACTTCAGTTCTAGAACAGTTTTAACTACAGGAAAATTGAGAAGTTGTTTCTCCTGTTATTAACATCTAACATTAGTATGGTTCATTTCTTACAATTATTGAACCAATATTGATGCATTATTTTTAACCAAAAGTCATACATTACTCAGGTGTCCTTGAGTTTTACCTAATAATATTTTTCTACTCCAAGGTCCCATTCAAGATACCCTATTACATGGGGTTGTCATGCCTCCTTAGGCTCCTCTTGGCTGTGACAATTCCTCAGATTTTCCTTGTTTTTGATGACCTAGACGTTATTGAGGAATACTAGTTAGGTATTTTATAGAATGTTCCTCTATTGGAATTCGGTGTGTTTTTTTTTGTTTTTTTTTTTTTTTCATAATAAGTAGAGGTTATGGATTCGGGGGGAGGAAAGCCACAAGTGAGGTACCATTTTCATTACATGATATCAAGAATTCACACTTCCAGAAGAGGGAGTTAATGCTGTTCCTTTAAGGACAAAGTATCTACCTACCTTATTTGGAGTTCTTCTGCAGGAGAGATTTTGCCTCCTCTCCTCCATTGATTTATTTATCACATCATTTATATCATTATAAACTCATCTCTGGAGGATTGTAAAAGCAAATCCTTTACATACAATTTCACAGTTAAATAGTTCAGCATGCATCTTTCACAGAATAGGGTTTTTAAAAAACATAAAGCCATGCTATTCTCACACTAACAAAATTAACAACAGTTCTCTAATTTTGCTAAACACTCAATGCATATTCAAATATCTGTCTTGTCTTTTTCAATTGGTCTGTCTGAAACAGAAGCTAGAGAAGGTCCACACATTGCAATTGCTTCTTATGTCTCATTATTCTCTGTTCTTCTATACCATACCACCCACCCTACCTATTTTTTTTTTCTCAAGGCTTTGATTTGTTGGAGAAACTGTTACCAGAAAAACAGGTCCCGATCCCGACCCCAAAAGAGTATTCTTGGATCTTGCACAGGAAGGAATTAAAGGTGAGTCACAGAGTGCAGTGAGAAGGAGATAGTTTATTGAAAGTTACTCAGATACAGAGTAGGTGTCCTCAGAAAGCAAAAGGAAGAATGCACCATCTTTGTTGTAAACTCTTCTAATGTAGGGGTTTAATCTACATAAAAGCTAAGTTAAATGTCTATGTGTGGGTGCTCTGACAGCATGACAAAATTTAGGACCTATTGATTTAAAGAAAGTTATCCTTGGCATTTTAGTTAGTATATCAAAGCATGACTATAATAATCTTAAAAGCATATATTATAATGTGACGTCAGGACATGTGGACATTCTGTTGTCTGTCATAGGCGTTTGTTCTTGCAGGCATTATTAAGTTGTTTAATCAGCTGTAAACCTCTTATGACCATGGGTTGTGACTGGCAAGGAATATGCCTTGCTAGTTGAAAGATGGAGTTGACTTTAAAATGGTGTCACCCTGGCTCTCCTATGCTTCTGTTTCCCCAAAAAAGCCAGGTTACTTGTCCTGTAGAATGATCCACATTCTGAGTTTGGCTAATGACATTCTCATGGTATTAACTTGTTTCTTTATATGTTGTTTTTTCTGTTACCCACAAAATAATTCTTCTGATACACATTTGTAATCTTACCATGCCAGCATCTGCTACTCTTCATGTTACCAAATTTCTGTTCAAGGACCACTAAAGCCACAGTCAGTGGACATTCTGAGACCTCTAGGGGAGGGTGGAGATGCTGTCCTTTAATATAGTCTGACCCAAGCAACCTCCCCACTTGGCATGGTGAATCTAGACAAGCTAAAGAATTTACTACGCCCCAGGCCTGCACCAGCCCTCTCCTAAGACCTTGGGCACTCTCATTTCCCTTTTTTTTTTTTCTAAAGGAAGTCATAGTTTCTCATAACCTTTGCTAGTGATCCTGGACCTTGGTTGTTCCCTGAGGCTGTGTTCTCCACACTGCTGCCATCACTGCTACAGCAGAGGTGCAGAAAGCTCAGGAGAGAGAAGGGAGGAAAAGCTGAAGATTTTGTGTTATTCATGCTTTCCTGACTCCGGCGAAAGTGCTTCCTCCACCTGCAACCATTTCTGTTTCTATACTGCTGAGTCTTGTGTTCCCAAGACCAAGGGAAGCCCATTTTCTTTAAAGCCAGTCACAGTTTCTGTTGGCTGATGGAATATCTGTTGTCCAGCAGTTGTATTCCTGCTCACAAATGCAAAACAGTTTGATGCCACGCACATTCCAGGGCTTAGACTGGAAATGCTGTCCCTTGCCCCTTTGTTACCTTCTGACAGGGATCAGTCCATAGTGTAGTTGGTGTCACAACAGTCCCGAAGAAGCCTTCCAATAGATACCCAAATGTGATTCAAAGTGGCACAGGCACACACCACGGTGCCACATGGTGCCTATGTAAAGCAGGTATATCAGGAATGCTAAGCAGAGAAGTAGCAGAACACACTGATCCCCATGTTCTCATTGTACAGTTGGGTGCAATTAAGCTGGCACAATGGACTCTTCTCATGGCTACTGTTCCAGTAGTGTGGATGCCCCCAAATGCTGCATATTTACTAGGACAGCCAGGCAGAGACAGCTGTGTACTATGATACAACAGTAGTCCCTCTTAGAGGAAGTGACCTTGTTAGAAGTGGGAGTTTCTGAAGCTCTTCAGCTGTTACTGGCCTGCTCTTCCATAGCGTTACTTCAGACCTGCTGGCCCAGCTATCCACTCCGCTAACAGGTCTGTCTCTGCTAACAGGTCTAGCTCTGTCTCCTCAGCACATGTTCTAGGCTCTGACTGCAAGTGCTGACTTGGGCTCCCAGCCCCACACAGACCCTCTGTTCCATGAAAGGGCCATCTATGCAAAGTGCCCCCCAAATGCCAAAGGAGCCAATAAACCAAGGAACAAGACAGACAAATCTAGTTGTCAGTAAAGAGTGTTTTATTGGGGAACTTACAGACAGAAGCGTGGTCTTGGATGGCAGCAAGACAGGTAGGTTTCTGCACTTATTACCCCCACACCCAGGGCTTATATACCACAGGGGAAGAGTATACATGCTCTGTGCAAGACAAAGGCTACTACTGTCCAGAACAGGTAAGAATGCTAATGTGTCATAGCCTAGAATTTGTATAACATCAAGGTTGACATGTTCTTACAATAGGGATGGTAAATAAAGTGGGAATCAGGAGTCAGTCCTGGGACTGGGGCTAATCAGAAGTCAGCATAGAGAATTAGCATCCAAGAGGGAGTCACTTTTCTCTCCACATCCCAGCCCTCTAATCCAGCTCTTACAATCTCATGGACTCACATTTCCCCCATAGTCCCTGAGCCTTCAGAGAGGGCTGTGGGTGACATTTTGATGGTGTGAGTGACACATTTTATCAATTTGTTTTCTACTTGTTAAGCAGGGGCCACAGCAACAACACAAACAACAGGCGATGATATGTATGCCAGGTGTAAGACACAGAATTAAAAATGCCCTTTACCATGTTTATTCAGGAACCAAACCAAGAGGTATAGAGCAGAACAACAATAGGAACAGAAGACTATGGGTGGAATTAAAAATGTTTAGTAGGTATTTGGTGGGGCAGTTCTTCCCCATTAAACAGAATTACTGGTAGCTCCATCTCTGTTGATTAGGAACATAGGATTGTGGGCTGGGAGTACACACCAAACATGTTGCCTGAGGGGCAAAGGCGCTGGTATTATGTGTAAGGTTACAGGGGCAGCAAAGGACCATGTCAAATGGCCAGCCAGGGTGCTTCTTAAAAGGGACTGTGTTCCAGTTTATTGGTATGTGGAGTGTTTTGGCCCAGACTTCAGCAGGATCAATGGAGACCACTTTAGTTGGTAGGGAATTCCTTGCTGTCTGGAAAGAAATGCTCTATCCAACATAGGGGAAGTTGCTAGTCCAACCCCCATTCAAGTGTCTCCTCCCTGGCTCAAGATCTTGAGGAGTTCTAAATAACCTTTGCCATTGGCCTTTTATCTGCTCAGGTCAGAGATGCATCTGGTTGGACTTTCTTTACTATTATGGTTAATGGATCCATCTCTGTGGTGGTCCTGAGTCATTGGTGTGGTGCCAGCACCATATTTGTCTCAACTAAATTAAGGTTTCTAATGGCTTGAGGCAAAATCTTTGTCTAACTATGAAAGATATTGGATTTTGAGAGTGCTCAAAACTGTGCCTTCAAAATACCATTTTTCCTTTCAATCAACCCTGTTGCTTGGGGGAGTATACAGTAAGTGAAATACCCAGTCTATGTCCCTTTCATGCATCCAGTCTTGGACACCGTGTCTGGTGAAATGCATGCCTCGATTGCTATCAATATGTGGAGGGTATCCTTACATGACACTGAGTTGCTCCAAGCCCCTGATGGTGGCTGTTTGGTTTGCTCTTACAAGGGAAAGCTTGCAACAATCCCATGGCAGTGTATACACATGTTAGTGCATACTTTCGTCTCAAGATTACTGGCAAGGGTCTGATGTAGTCTATCTACCAGTCTGTCACAGGGGTGGCTGTCTTATGTATATGTCCAGGTGTATGTGGGATGTGGCAGAGGTACAGACGGGAACAAATTAAGCAGTTTGCTACCGCCACCACTAAATCTGCATAGCAGAGAGCCAATCCTGCTCCCTTTGCTATTTGGCAGCCCATTCATGCACTGAAATCCCCACTGTGATATGTACCTAATCAACTAGCTCAGTATTCTAATTTTTGCTAGGATGTCTGCCTCCATGTTTCTGGGAGGTGAATCTGACCAGTGTGCTGAAGCAATTAGGTCCACAGTGGGTTCCTGTAGACTTTTCCAAATGTCTTTCCACATATCAGCTCCCCATAAGGATTTTTAAATTATATACCAATCATCTCAGGCCCTTTGGGCAAGCCAAATTGTAAGACCCTTAAGTACTGCCAGACTGTCTGTACAGAGAACTATAGGTGGTGGCTCACGGGTACAAACCAACCATGTAGCTTGGAGTTCTGCCCATTGACTGCTCTGTTGCATTCCCATCTCAAACCAGATACTGTCTGTGGTTGTGCAGCTACTACTGTCCATACACAGGGTTACCTTGGCTCAATGCATCTAAGTACCAAGCATTATCAGGAATGAGGGCCATGCCTTCATGTACCATTGGAGACATCTCCTGTGAGGGCTCCACAATAGGGGCAGCACTGGACTCATAATGTACTGGCCCTAAGATAGCATGCAGTTCATCTCTTAAGGGATGCATGGAGAAGGCACTATGTTGTTGCATGTATGCATGGCACTTTTGTAAAGTGGAAACTTGGGCAATAGCTGATACAGGCCTGGCAAACACTCCTACCCAGTCCTTGATAGGAAACCTGTTCTCCCTGGTACCAGGAAAGCAGCAGTTATGGATTCAACTTGTGGCAAGACCTTCTATATCCCCAGGACCTGTTATTCAACTGGGAAATAGCAGGTTTCAGTACCCTTCCATTAATTGTGACTAAAATTCTAAAGGAACTGCTTCCCTATGCTGGACTTTATATTTTCATCATCCAAAATTATAGTTTAGTTTTACCTTTAAAAATATGTTTTTTGTTCTCATTTGTTCCATAGGTTTCTCCTTGAAATTTATATTGTATGGTAAGGTTTCCTATTGTTTGCATTTTGTGGATTGCACGCCAAGGTGTGGTTTAATGTATTTCTATTACCTGTATTTTCTGTAAATTGGTAGTTTGGTATAGAGGTTTGTGTACATTCAGGGTTTTTTTTTTCTGTAAGTATTGATGGTTCTGTAAAAGGAAAATAAAATCTTGGGGCCCCAAAATTACTAAGCTAAAGGGAAAAGTCAAGCTGGGAACTGCTTAGGGTAAACCTGCCTCCCATCTGTTCAGAGTCGCCCCTCTGCTCACTGAGATAAACACATGTCTGATTCCCTCATTTGGAAAGGCTAATCGGAAACTCAAAAGAATGCAACCATTTGTCTCTCATCTATCTGTGACCTGGAAGCCCCCTCCTTGCTTCGAGTTGTCCCGCCTTTCCAGACGGAATCAATCTTTAGCTTACATATGTTGATCACTGTCTCATGTCCCCTTAAAATGTATAAAACCAAGTTGTGCTCTGACCACCAAAGTTGTGCTGAGAAGTGACACCAAAGAACATGGTGGCATAAGAACTCCAAGGACCCCTCCCCTCCACAGCGGCAATGTGCTTGTTGAAACACCAGTATAAAAAAACTCGATGAGAGCTGTGATTGGATTTAGTGTTGATATATTTTTTGTAAATTGTGGTAAAACATGCATACTATATAATTTACCTTCTAACCATTTTTTCAGTGTACAATTTGGTGGCAGTAAGCACATTTACAGTGTTGTGTAACCACCGCCAATATCCATTTCCAGAACATTTTCATCATCCCAAACAGAAACTGTACCCATTAAACCATAACTGCCCATTCTCCCTACCCCCAGCCCCTGGTAATCTCTATTCTATTTTCTGTTTCTATGAATTTGCTTATTCTAGCTACTTTATATAAGTAAAATATCATATTTGTTTTTATTTCTGGCTTATTTCACTTATAGTGTTTTCAAGGCTCATCCAATTAGAATTTCATTCACTTTTAAGGCTGAATAATATTCCATGCTTATGTGCACCGTGGGTTGTTTATCCAGTCATCCTCTGATGGACACTCGGTTGCTTCCACCTTTTGGATATTGGGTATAGTGCTGCTATGGGCCTGAGTGTACACATATCTGGGTGAGTTCCTGCTTTCAGTTCTTTTGGGTATGCCCAAAAGTGGAATTGTTGGCTCATATAGTAATTCTATTTTTACTTTCTTGAGGAATCACTATTCTGTTTTCCATGGTGGCTGCACCACTGTATACTCTCACCAGCAGTGTACAAGTGTTCCAGTTTCTCCATATCTTCACCAACACTTGGCCTAGTGAAGTTTACCATATTTTTATGTCCTTATTGGCATTCCTTTTTTTTTTTTTTTTGTGAAACAGAGTCTTGCTCTGTTGCCAGGCTGGAGTGCAGTGGCACAATCTCGGCTCGCTGTAACCTCCACTTCCCAGGTTCAAGTGATTCTCCTACCTCAGCCTCCTGAGTAGCTGGGACTACAGGTACCTGCCACCATGCCCAACTAATATTTGTATTTTTTTGGTACAGACGGGGTTTCACCATGTTGGCCGGGATGGTCTTGATCTCTTGACCTCGTGATCCGCCCACCTCGGCCTCCCAAAGTACTGGGATTACAGGCATGAGCCACCATGCCTGACCAGCATTCCTTATTTTTATGTCCTTATTGTATATCTTCTTTGGAGAATTGTCTATTCATGTCTTTTACTTATTTTTGAATGAGATTGTTTTGCTATTGTTGAATTGTAGTTCTTTACATATTCTGGATATTAATTCTTTATCAGATATGTGATTGGCAAATATTTCCTCCTAGTCTGTGCATTTTCTTTTGATTCTCTTAATAGTGTCCTTTGATGCAAAAAAGTTTTTAAATTTTGATGCATTCTAATTTGTCATTTTTCTTATATTACTTGTACTATTGGTCACCAGCCAAGAAACCACTACCAATTCTAATGTCCATAAGATTTTCCTCAGTATTTTCTTGAGGGTTTTACAGGTTCAATTCTTAAGATTAGTTCTTTGAGTCATTCTGACTTAATTTTTGAAAAGGGTGTAATGGAAGGACATGAATTTTTTCCAGCATCATTCTTTTGCATGTTGATATCCAGGTTTCCAGCACCATTTGTTGATGCACCATCTGTTGCAGTGGGGCTGACACATTTGTAAGATGCAGTGAGCATTAATACATGGGAGCACCATGCATTTATTTACCTGTCTTTACTTCACAGTTGTTTTGAGAAGGCTTTCACTGACAGACTCAACAGAAATGAATATATATGACTTCTTATAAAATCATATTCAAGTAAAATTATAAATTTTAAAATGTTAAGACTGGAGCAAGACTGGAACATCACTAGACAAGCTGAAACATAGGCTGAAATGAAGGGTTATGTTTACCTTGCTACAAATTCTGTTGGCCCACAATCTCTTATGCTTATTGCTTAAGAGAGCCACAGAGTGGGGTGATAGCTCACATAACCAGTCCCTGGTTTTCTGCTTCAGAAAGAAGTTTAAATATTCTGCTTAGACAGAGTAAGGAAATTAACTGAAAGATGTCTAATGTGAAGTTGGCATCTACAAAGTGAAGGAGTGAGTAGTAAGTGTAAACATCAGGAATCCCAGGAGATTCTATCTTTTTGCACGGAAATGGCCTCACTATGCACTGCTGAAGGGAGAAGGTCCCTTCAGGGGACCTTCATGATGAAGAAGAACACAATATGATATAGGAATTTTCTGCTGCAGCCCTAAACTGAATTGTCCTTCTCTCTAACTACAGGTCTCACAAAGTTTTATAGCTTCAATGATTTCACCTGGGCCAAGATTTTGGTTTTTTTGATGTTATTTGTTTGAACTGCTGCCTGGGGCTTAGAAAAGTGACTTGGATATTTTGTCAAAATGGATTTTCTTTGATGGAATGTGAAATCCGTAAACACTCTGCTTTCCTGCTGTATCCCCAGAGCAGGTTGAGTACCTTGCACTTCTTCTCAGCACTTCGCTAGAAGTGGTAGAAGATTTGGAGTTAGGGCCTCCCTCAATCCCTACCCTTTCTTTAATTCAGAGGATCACAAACTGTTGGGAGAAGAGTGGTATCTTGGGCCTCTAGCTGATCTGATGAATATTAATATCCAATGTCCTGTAGTGAAGTCATGTGTGCGTGTAACATCACTTCTTCACGCAGTGTCATAGGAAAGTGGGTTCCTGGACCCCAGGTTAAGAGCCTAAGCACTAAAGGCACAGAGCTAGAGCTCTAGGAGGGGAGGGATGGCTGGGGTGGAACCTCGTCTTGTCATTTAGTCCTGGGGCCTTTTCACTCCTTACATGGTGGGTGGTGGGCGTCTGGCAGGTGCCGATGTTGATGGAGTCAAGGGAGGGAACTAGCCGGGACAGGGAAAAACAGGGTTGGAGAGATAATTAAGGTGGACATTATTTTTTCTGAGCGTAAGTCGTGGCTGGAAATCTGGAGAGCCTGAAAGAGTATCCCCCTACCCAAACCTGTTTTTTCCTTTTCCCTCAAGCCTCATTTGGCCACAGGCCCAGTGTCAACACCAGGGGGCGCCACAGACCATGAAGGCGCCCACAGACCATGAAGGCACCGTGCAGCTGGGATTGTTTGTGGTCGGCTACTGGGTCCCTGACTTAACCAGGGGAGCCAAGACCCTGTAGCCAAGTGGCCTGGATTCAACCTGCAGCTCAGGTCTTACTGACACTTCTCCCCCTGGTGCCTCAGTTTCTTAATCTGTGAAATGGTGAGGACATTACAGCATTTACCTCTGGGGCGGGTTTCTCAACAGCAGCACTATTAACAATTTGGGACAGAGAATCTTGTGGAGTGGTCTGTCCTGTGCATTGTGGGAGGTTTGCCAGCAACACCCCACTCACCCCCTCCCACCAATCCCCATGTGACAACCGAAAATGTCCCAGGATTTTTAGGTCTCCCTTGGGTCTAGAAGCTGCACTTAGGCATTTTCCCACCTGACACTTGAGTTCATCTCTGCTTTGGTCCACATAAGGCCACTTTAAAAAAATGTTGTTTCTTTAAAGATTCTAACCATCTTTTAAACAAATCCATTTTCTTCCTCTATTTCTGCATTCAGTTAATCCTTCCAAACCCTTTGTTTAGTATATCTTGAAATGTATCAATTCCTGTTCTAGTAATTAACATATGTGACTTGCATGATATCTGCTATGACCCCTAGTAGAGCTCTGATTCCTTTAGCACAGGGAATGTGTTCTCGATTCTGCTCTGGATGATGTAAATCAATTTATTTTACTTTACTTGTCTGGGATGTTGCTCCTCATCTGTAAGATGTAAATGTGGATATGGCTTGGATTACTAAGTGGTTTTATTTCTTAATTCACCTGACATTTGTTGTGTACCTGCTGCAAGTCAAATACATGGCATGGTATTGTTTCCTTGTTCACACCACAGCAAATGAGAAAATGAGACATTATAGCCAGGTGTGGCGGCACAGGCTTGTGGTCCTAGCTACTCGGAAGGCTGAGGCAGGAGAATTGCTCCAGCCCAGGAGTTTGAGGTTACAGTAAGGTATGATATCACCATTGCATTTCAACCTGGGCAACAGACCCTGTCTCTGAAAAAAGGGAAAAAGACCTTGTGAGCTGTCTACGTGTACTCTATGTCTCAGGAGACTCATATCCTGTAATTTTTCTAAATGGCGTCTCCATGTGGTCTTTCATGAATGTTTGTCTGGTATTCTCTATCCTTTTACTTTCAACTTTTCTTTACCTTCTACTGAAATTATGTCTTTTGTAAACAGCCCATGATTATTTATTTAGTTATTTATTTTTACCCCCCTGCACTATTTGTCTTGTAATTGGAGTGTCTGAGTCCATTATGTTTAATGTAATTATTGACCTCATTGGGTTTAAGTCTGTCCATTGTCATTTGCTGCCTTCTAATATTATCTCTTTCTTGCTCAACTATTTTTCTTATGTTACCTTCTTTAGATGAATAAAAACCTTTGCATTATTGTAGTCTTCTAAGTGTCCTAATTACACATTCTCTTATTATTTCTTTAATTATCTGAGAAAGCATAATGATCTGTGACTTATTATAACCAATAGCAGACCACAACTTCCCTGACTTTCACCTACCTGTGCCCACAGCCCAGGGGAGAATCAGTGCTCTGGCTCTGAGACACAGGGGTGGTGGGAGTAGGAGAGTGATTGGATGATGAATCTGTAGCTGCAGAGGCATCTGGGCCCCTCACCTGCATTCCTCATAGATGTCTCCTCCATTGAATGCCTGCGATGCCCTCTCCTCTGTGTACTCCTGCCAGAGTCTCCCTATCTCCACTGACAGCAGCTCCACCCTTCTGCTCACTCAGTCCAATACTGTGGGTGTCCTTGATTCTTCTTCTCACATCCATTAGCAAGTGCTGTGAGTCCATCTTCAAATTCATCCAGAATCCCTTCACTTCTCACTATTTCCCCTGCTCACACCCTAGTCAAGGTAAGCAACGTGTCCATCCTAGAATACTGTACTCCTTTCCCACCATTTTCCCCACTGCATCACTGGTTCCCCACCTCTCAATTCTGTTCTCAGCACAGCAGCCAGAAAGAAGCTTTCAAAGGATGAGCCCTACCATGTCCCACTTTTCAAAACTGTCCTCCCCATGTCATTCAGAGCAAAGGTCAACACCCTTCCCACACCCTTCAGGGCTACCTGCTCTAGCCACACCTTTGACCTCACTTCAGTTTCTCTGTGTCCAGCCCTTCTGGCCTCTTCCTCCTTCCAGGAACACAGACAATTTCCTGCCCTAGTGCATCTGCACTGAAGGTTCCCCTGCCTGAAAAGAACTTTCCCAGACATCCTTGTAGACAACTCCTCACATCCCTCAAATCTTTACTCCAAGGTCACATTTGCAACAAGGCCCATGCTGACCACCCAGCACAACAGCCACCTTCCTGTCCCCACAGCCCACCCTCTGGATCACCTGCCACACAGCACTTGCCACCTTCTAACTCAAGCATTTTCTGTTCCTACTCTGCTTATACTATATCTATCATCTGCCTACAGAGGTGTCCAATTTTTTGGCTTCCCTGGGCCAGTTGGGAAGAATAAGCATTGTCTTGAGCCACACATAAAATACACTAATGACAGCTGATGAGCAGAAAGAATAGAAAAAAGAAAAACATGTGCGTGCATAATTTTCATGATATTTGCTACCACAGATAAGCAAAAAAACTTCTTAGATTCAAAGCTGTCCCGGGCCACACGCAGCCCGAGAGCTGCAGGTTGGACAAGCTTGCATCTAGAACGTATACACCACAAGGCCAGAAATTTTTCTGTTTTTACTTTAATGATGTTTTCTAAATGCAAAAACAGTCATATACCTAGCAGACAACAAATGTCAGTTGAATGAATGATCACTGTAGAGCACCTCTGTATTCTAAAGGCAATATCTTTATTAACGTAGCTAAAGAACAACATCATCTCACACCAACATCAGTGCTGCCAGTGCTTTTCTCACCAGGGCTGCTTGTGTGTCCTTCCCACCTCCTCCCACACCAACCCTCCTGCACACTGCAGCGCACAGCCATATTTTTCTGTTCAGGAAAGATAATCCTAGCCTTGTGGGTCCAATTTTCCAACCCCATATAAATCTAAATCAGACTCTGCTTTATAAATGCATGAGTTTGGATTGGAGCCAGCACTGGGATTACTACAACTCAGGCAGGAAGAAGAGTAGGAAAGCAGAAGAGGAGTTCCAACAGAAAGTTACCTACGATGAGAAACTATGGGACCCCTCCTCTCTGCAAATTTCAGAATCTGCTTCCTTTAAGAAGGCTGGGGAAAAAGATGGAAAATACAATCCAGGAAAGAGACCTGGAAGGAGGGCAAAAGATACAGGGGACTGAAAATTTGTCTCTTCATACCGGAAGGACTTCGATGTGTAGGGACCACCCTAGGTGACATCCAAGTCCCTGTGATCACAGGTCCTGGTGGGACAAGGTTCTACTGAAGGGCCAAGGACAGTGGAGCAGCAAAGATGACCCAGGTGAGCTGTGACCACATAAAGCCCATGGTGGCCTGAGCACACACTGGGCACAGCCCCATCTACTCTCCTCCCCTGCAACAAATCAGCACAAGAAACACGTGGACTCTGGAAGGTTCTCATGTCTTCCATTTATTTTGTCTCTCAAATTTTAGGAATCTTCTCCTTTAATTAACCCATCAACCCGTCATGGAAATAATTTGAAAAAAGTAAATTTATACTCAGATTCTAATTTTAATAGGGAAGTAAGAAGTTACAGCTCAGTGCACCATGAAGTTGAGACAGAGATGGAGACATCCCAGCACCACTTCTCTGGAACAGGAAAGGTGATCGGGGAAGGAATGTAGGTCAGTGTGGGGAACAGGGTCATGGTGGACACGGGTGTGGGCTGGTCTCCCCACCACCTCACATTATGCCTATAGGGACACAGACACATTCAGATGCCTTTGCAGAAAGAGAAGTCAGGGTTCTTGAAGTCACAAAGGGAAGGCATGAACAAATCTTGCCTCTCAGTCCCACACAAGGCAGCTGTCTCACACTATAGAAAAAATATTCATGAACAAATTCATATCACTCACAGTGAGGGGTCACACCTTCAACAGCCCATCATGTGCTGAATACATCCAAGTCAAAGAAACCCCATAGCACAGCTATATCCACTGTTACCCCAACAACCCACACACATCAGCCTCCCCAGGGTCTCACCTTTACAAGCCGTGAGAGACACATCAGAGCCCTGGGCACTTTGGCTGCCTGGGGTAGAACAAAAACAGAACCTGGTCAGATCCCACAGGAGATGTGGCTAGAGGAGGAATTGTGGGGTGGGTGAGCTCCCCCATGGGCTCCCAACCACAATATCCCAAGGATCTCAGGGATCAGCCTCCTTCATACTTACTTGCAGCCTGAGAGTAGCTCCCTCCTTTTCTATCTGCGGGAAGAAAACGTCCTGTGAGAGGCCAGGAAGGTAGCAGGGCCATGAGGTCCTAGAGGAACCTCCTAGTCTTGGAACCTCGAGAAGTTTCCAGAAATGTGTGACTGCAAACCAAGGGCAGGATCAGGAAAAACAAGGAAAGCAGATGTGGGTCCTGGACCAACTGCCCTCCTAAGGTCTGTCCTCAGCAGGGACCTTCCCCTGACCTGTGATTACTGGGGTCAGATCCCCATCACTACAATCATCAAGGTGAGAAATCTGTCCTTCATTGTCACAGGTGCTTACAAAAGAGTAAGTGCTGGCACACAGGGCCCAGGCTGGGTAGGCCCATGAATGTGGATGGTGCTTCCCGGTAACCAGGCAGAACACATTTCTACCTGGAGCTTGAAACCCCCAGTGGGACAAGAAAACTCAAACCCGACTCCTCACCCCTTCCCCACCTGAGCTCTTCTTCCTCCACATCACAGCAGTGACCACAGCTCCAGTGACCACAGCTCCAAGGAGAACCAGGCCAGCAATGATACCCACAATGGGGATGGTGGGCTGGGGAGAGGGCTCTGGGAAAGGAGGGGAATGTGAGGGTTCTGACCTCCAGGACCCAGCCCCGACCCTGCTAAAGGTCTCCAGAGGGGCTCCTGCTTTCCCTAAGAGACATGGCCGCCCCCATCTCTCTCCTTACCCCATCTCAGGATGAGGGGCTTGGGCAGCCCCTTGTGCTGCACATGGCATGTGTATCTCTGTTCCTCTCCAGAAGGCACTACCACAACCGCCCACTTCTGGAAGGTTCCATCCCCTGTGGGCCTGGTCTCCACGAGCTCCATGTCCTGGGTCTGGTCCTCCCCATCCCGCTGCCAGGTCAATGTGATCTCCGCAGGGTAGAAGCCCAGAACCCAGGACCTCGTTATGCCTCATGTTCAGAGAGGGGGGTGGGTCACGTGTGTCTTGGGGGGGGTCTGAAAGGAAGAGTCGGAAAACTCAGGCACTTTGCATTCCTCATGGGACACCCCAGCAGCGCCCATGTGACCATCCTGATGAATAGGACACCTGGGGTGGGGAAGGGAGCACAGAGCCCAGACACCAGCCTGGACACAGGCGCCTGGGATAATCTCCTATTCCTTGGAAAGTTCTAGTCTCTGAGCAGGGTAGCAGGGACTTCTGGTCCTGATCTGAGTGGAGGCCAAGGGACTCAGAGGAGCTGGAGTCAGACTCCGACACATTGAGTGTGAGGCAGAGAACAAGGCCCGGGAGGAAAAGTCCTGGTGCCCAAGGTTGCTGTGGGGTGAAAGGGGACCGCGGATCAGTCTTCCAGGGATTGTCTTCCCCTCCACTCCCTCAGAGACTTCATCCCTTAATTGTCCCAGGAAGAGCAGGGTGGGCCCTCAGAGTCAATCTCTGATACAGGATCTGGAAACCCAGGAGGATTCCTCTCCGTCAGGACAGGAGGGAGGGCGATATTCTGGTGGTGTTTCCATTTTCTTCCCCTCCTTGTGCGAGGCCAGCCCGGGAGATCTACAGGAGATCGAGCAGGCTCCCCATGGCCCCTGGTACCCGCGCGCTGCAGCGTCTCCTTCCCGTTCTCCAGGTGTCTGCGGAGCCACTCCATGCAGGTGCCCTCCAGGTAGGCTCTCCTTTGCTCAGCCACATTGGCCGCCTCATACTTGCGCTGGGTAATCTGAGCCGCGGTATCCGCGGCGGTCCAGGAGCGCAGGTCCTCGTTCAGGGCGATGTAATCCTTGCCGTCGTAGGCATACTGCTCATACCCGCGGAGGAGACGCCCGTCGGGCCCCAGGTCGCAGCCAAACATTCCCTGGAGGATGTGATACCCTGGCCCAGTTCCCGCGGTCAGCCCCGCCCACCGAGCCCTGGCCCGGCCCCTAGCAACCTGCGGAGATTTTGGCCTCAACTGAAGATGAAACCAGGTAAAGGCGCCTGGGGCTCTCCCGGGTCGAGGATCTCTGCAGGTCCCGCAGCCTCGGGGTCGATCTTGGACCCGGAGACTCAGGGGACCAGGGCCGTCCGTGAGGCATGGAGCGGGGAGTAAGTGATCTGCGCCCCGGGCCGGGGTCACTCACCCGCCTCGCTCTGGTTGTAGTAGCGGAGCAGGGTCCGCAGGTTCACTCGGTCAGTCTGTGCCTGGGCCTTGGCGCCCAGTGTCTGTAGGTCCCAATACTCCGGCCCCTCCTGCTCCACCCACCGCGCCCGCGTCTTCATCCTCAGACTCACGGCGTCACTGTCGACCCGCATGAACTGCGTGTCGTCCACGTAGCCCACGGCAATGAAGCTGGGCTCCCCGCGGCCCGGCCAGGAAACGGCGGTGCTGAAATACCTCATGGAGTGGGAGCCTGGGGGCGAGGAGGGGCTGAGACCCGCCCGACCCTCCTCCCGGCGCGGCTCCCCGGGTCCTGCGCCCCAGCCAGGTGGACCTTTCGCTCCTCACGGCAGAGGCCGTTTCCCTCCTGACCCCGCACTCACCCGCCCAGGTCTCGGCCAGGGCCAGGGTCCCCGAGAGCAGCAGGAGGAGGGTTCGGGGCGCCATGACCCCATCGTCGGCGTCTGGGGAGACTCCGAGTCCCGGTGGGTGCGTGGGGACTTTAGAACCGGGGCCGCGCGACGCTGATTGGCTTCCCTAGAAACCCGACACTCAGTGGGAGTGAGAACTGGGTCCGCGTCGTGAGTGTCCAGGAAGAAGGACCCGTCGCAGGCTGGGAGAGGGAGAAGAGAAACTCTGCGGAGATGGGGAATCCCCAATGCTGCACCTCCCCAGCCCATGCACCGCCTTCGGGGCCTGAGACCCTGAGAGCCATGCCTGGGGCTCTGGGACTTCGCCCTGACCCCGCTCCTCCTGTGACAAACGCTCTGTCTCAATGTTCCCTGAGTCTTGGTCCAGGAGCTGTCCGAGAAACCAGGAAGAAACCCTCAGCTTGGGCCCCGTCCCTCTCCTTTCACTTTTCATCCGGGAATTCCTGTCCCTGAAATGGACTCCCTGCTTCCCCACTGCTTACCTGTTCCCCTGGACTCTTCAAAAAGAAAACTCACCCCAGGGAGCTTGGTGCCAGAGAGGGAGCTCTCCCTGGGAATGGAGGTGTAGAGACAGAGGTTTTTTTCTTTTATTTCTTTTTTCTTTTTCTTTAAATCTGGAAAAGTTGTGCCTGGGTGCATGAGATAGTATAGAGACCAGTTTGCTTTTTGTGTATTAACTACAGTGGGTAGCAGAATCTTGGTAACCCCTGAATGATCAGGAATCTAATCGGTAAAAACATGTGACTTTGGCCCCTTGATATATAAAGTGTCTAAAAGCATTACAACAGGACTCACAAAGCTCCTAAGTTTCACTTTTGCAAACAAGGTATCTGTGACTCCCGCTTGTGGTGTTTTAAATTTACCTTTATTCCATAGCCCTGAGTTTCTGTGAGTCCAGGACATCTCCTCAATACAAAGTAGCCACTGTGTTCCTATGTGTTGCAACCAGGAGTCAGTACAGACTTCATTCACCTCAAAGTTGCAAGCGCTCGATGCAGTCACAATGTCCATCACCAGTGCTCATGCACTGCCTGTTTTTAGGAAGTATCCACATCTAAGTGGTGTGTATATTTCTTAGGAACACTTAGTATTTTTAAAACCTGATTAACATAAAAACAATTAGTTTTTAAGCAGACCCACTTAAGGTATTAAAGGCCAACTGCAAGTAACACCCTGCGAGGCTCTGTAGATGGATCTATTGAAATACCATTAAAAAAAGTGTTCAAACCTAAGAGTTGTGCTGCTTTTGAATTCTATCCCTCTACTCCTTTTCCTCACCTACTGCTTCTCCAGCCCTTCCCTCCGTCCCTCTTATCACTCAGCCCCTCCTCTCCCCTTAGTCCCCATCACACTGTCACTCCTGAATTGTGACACTGGCACTCTCCCGTTACCTGCTACGTGACTGTTCTCTCCATAGTGGTCCTGCTAATGTGAGTCAAAGTGTGTCATTTCTCCACCTAAAACACTCCAGTGGCTCCACCTTGGTCTTGTGAAGCTTCTAGAATGTCAGGCACGTGAGCATATGAGGGGATACCTGGTTCATTGTAGGGACTAAATTAATTTTTGTTGACTGAATGAATGAAATATGAGTATATTAAATTGCATCACAGATAATTATAAAATGCAAAACACTGAAAAAGTTCAGAAAGATTTTATTTTATGTAACTAGTGTATATATCAATTCATCAGTTCATTCCATTAGTCTGTTGAGCCTGTGTATGAATTTTATAAGACTGTGTAAAAAATTATCACAAACATTGGCTTTAAACAACACCCATTTATTGTATTTATTTATTTGTTTTTATTTATTGTATTCATTTATTTGTTTTTAGAGACAGAGTCTCTAAAAACTGTCATCCAGCGTGAAGTGCAGTCACATGATCATGGCTCACTGCAGCCTCAAACTCCTGGGCTCAAGGAATCCTCCTGCCTCAGTCTTCAGAGTAGACAGGACTGCAGACAAGTGCCACCACACCCAGCTAATTAAAAAAAAAAGTGTAGAGACGAGTGTCTCACTGTATTACCTGGGCTGGTCTCACACTCCTGGCTGCAAGTGATCCTCCTGTGTCAGCTCCTCAAATGTTAGGATTACAGGAGTGCACCACCACGCCTGGCCAAAAAACACCCATTTATCTGTTTATAGTACCTTAGTCAGAAATCTGGGCATGATGTAGATGGAATCTCTGTTCCAGGCTTCCCAAATCTGAGTCTTCATTTTGAATCCTCCTTTAGGCTTATACAGAGGTGGCAGAATGTGCTTTCTTGCAGTTTTAAGACTGAGGTCCCTGTTCCTTGCTGGCTGTCAATGTAGAGAACAGGGAGGGCTGTACTCAATTCCTGGTGCCCACCGGTGTTGTTTCCTACACAGCCCCTTCATTTTCAAAGCCCACAGTGGAGGAAACCCCTCATGCTGAATCCCTCTCACACTGTGAATCTCTATGCTCAGGAAGAACCCAGTCCTTTCAAGGACTCTCCTGATTAGGACAGTCCAAGCAGCATAAACCCAGCCTGAAGTCAACTAATTGAGCCCCTTTATTATGTCTGCTAAATTCCTTCACAGCAGCACCTACATTAGAGTTGGTTGAATAACTGGGGGAAGGTGAATGACCAGGAGGTGGTTGTTGGGGCCATCATAGAATCACTCTAGCAAGGGATGAATCTTCCTTTTGTGTTTAATTGGGACACAGTTGGAAATTGAAGTTCAAGTAAAGTGATCATTGTGAACGATAATAAAATACATCCTCTTCAGCCATGGAACTTCTCCTTTCCTTTTAAAACTAAGTTACATGTTTAATGTCTTATAATTAAGTTAGGCAGGGGTGGTGGCTCACGCCTGCCATCCTAGCACTATGGAAGGCAGAGGAAGGCAGACTTGTTGACTCCAGAAGTTCAAGATCAGCCTGGGCAACATGGTGAAACTCTCATCTCTACAAAAAAACTAGAAAATTAGCCTGGCATGGTGGTTCATGACTATAGTCCCAGCTACTCAGGAGGCTAAGGTCAGAGGATCCCTTGAGCCCAGGAGGTCGACACTGCAGTGCATGGTGATCATGCCACTGCACTCCAGCCTGGGTGACAGAGTGAGACCCTGTCTCAAAAATAATAATAATGATGATGATAAATTTAGAGCAAATGCAAATTAACATGTAATAATGCATCCTGTCTTGTGAAAATGTATTAGTTATTTACTATGCATAACAAATTATGTAAAACTTAGCAGCTCAGAACAACAAATATTCCTCATCTCCCACAGTTTCCAATGATCAGAAATCCAGGAGAGGTTTCCCTGAGTGCTTCTGGCTCAGGGCCTCTCACAAGGTTGCAGTCCAGTTGTCAGCCTAGGCCTGCATCATCTGAGGACTTCACTGAGCAAGGCCATAGAGGAGTCCTCGAGCTACAATTGGCCATCAGAGGAGTCCCCTGTCTCCTAGGAATGTCCTGCCTTAGTGTCACTGGTATGACCCATCAGTCGTTGGGAACAGCCCATGGGAAGCAGGGCCTCAGCACCAATGTACTGAGGATGTCAGAACACAAGAGCAGGGCCTTGGGAGATTGCCCACAAGTGTGACTCAAACCTTCTGCCCTGACGGGTCTGGGCCCTTGGAAATCAAATCCTCTCAGGCTGAATTGCTGGATGATTCTGCTCACACTTACAATGGGGCAAGGGAAACCAGAAGGCTCCCAGGTGGATCTCTGGTTTCCACACACACTTCTACCCTTGTGTGAAACAGCCATGCCTTCTCCTGGGGATGAGGATCTATTTATTACCTGGGCCTGGAGAGGAGGAGAATCTTCTTCTCACCAAGTGGTATCTGGGCACACACTGTCCAAACTTCTCTGGTGACTAAAGTAATGTGTAGTTCAGTGGGCTGTCTTTTGTCTCCTTTTAGGGGTACACTCCTTTGGAAACCAGAACCTCGTATCCTGCACAGCCCAGTGTTGGGAGATAAAATATGCGAAATACCCCATTGAGTGAATCTAAGAGATTGGACATGGAGCCAAACCTGCTTCCGCCTTTTGATTTCTGGACACACATGTTCTTCCTATTGAGAACACAGAACTCTAGAGACGTCTCTGATTCAAACAATGAACTGTGTCCTGAAAGATGGCACCCACCCCTCAGAGTGCTTCCTCCAGGCTGGCACTGAGTTGTGCCTGTAGAAGACCTGTCCAGCCTTCCTTGTGGCTGGCAGCTCCTGGGTAGTGCAGATGGTGATAGGATTAGTGGAACCCACAGCCGTGGAAACACTGAAACTTTCCCTGCAAAGTGGGTCCTTCAGGCAGATAATGGGCTAGGAGCACTGCCTAGCCTGCAGACCAGGAATGTCAACAGCACCCAGAGAGTGGTGCTGGCTGTGTCTGAGAGCAGGACAGGAAAACCCACCCATAGAATCGGTACCTAACCCTGTGAAGATGAAACTCTGGCCCTTCCAGGTTGGAAGTAGCTAAATGTAGTCAACTTGTTACTTAGTGGGTAGTCATGTAAAGAAATAGTGCCCCACTAGGGCACATCATGGGCCTCAATTGCTGATGAGTTGGACATTCAGAGGTGGCAGCAGCTGGATCTGCCTTGGTGTGGGGAAGTCAGTGCTGCTGGCCCCTTACGGAGCCTCATGCCTGCCACTGTGGTTGCTCCATTCATGCACTCATCCTACCAGGCCTGGGCTGACCCATGGTGAAAGCTGGCTAACTGCCATTTGTCTGTTTGGTAGTTCAGTGCCACTTCAGACTTGGGTGTTTTCTGTGGGTGTCAGCAAGGGATTCAAGCTCAACCCAGGTGGACTGTTTTCACCTGATGATGAATGCTGTTGGGCCTGTACCATCTATGACTTTGTGGGTCACACAGGCACTTGGAACCCCGTAGTTGCTTGGTATCCCGTGGTCAAACATTCTATTGAATCAGGACAAGGAACACTAAAAGTTGCTTCTAACAGGGGGCATGTGTCTCTGCTGTGGATGACATGATCTTACTCCAGAATCCCAGGCCCTCCACTGTGACTCTCCCACTGGTGCTTGGTTCAGCTCCATCCTGTGTCTTTCCCCACCACTGGCACCACCAGCCCCAGGGGTCTGAGGGATGGTGGCTGCTTGTACCATGGCCTGGATCTGCTGCAGGGTCCTTTCCTGTGTAGGCCCCACTTGAAGCTGGCATCCTCCTATGTCACCTAGACTGTGGGCCAAAGCAAAATGTCTAGATGTGGAATGTGGTGTTGTTATAATTCAAAGAGGCTCACCAAGCAGTGTGCTTCCTTGCTTCTGGTGAGGATGCAAGATGCAACAGTTTTTCTTTTACCTTGGAGGGGACACACCTGCATTCCCCTAAACACTTGGCACTTGTTCACCCATAAAACTTCACTTCAGTGCCCACCTTTGAAGCTGTATAAGGTTTATCTTCACCTTGTGGGGTGCGTGTGTTTTGCAAAGGACTACAGTGCACTTTCTTCCTGCTGCTCATCTACTCCAGTCAACATGAAGTTGTCAATGAAATGTGCTGATTTAATATCCTAAAGGATATGCAGTATGTCCAGTACAGTCTTAAGCCTATACTATAGAGGGCACAGGTGTTACAATAGCCCTGAGGCAAACAATAAATAAATGTGTCGTTGATTCCACATGAATGTGAATCACTCCATATCCTCTTCCTTCCTTCCTTCCTTCCTTCCTTTCTTTTTTGACAAAGTCTTGCTCTTGTCCCCTAGGCTGGAGTGCAATGGCGTGATCTCGGCTCACTGCAACCTCTGCCTTCTGTGTTCAAGTGATTCTCCTGCCTTGGCCCCCCGAGTAGCTGGGATTACAGGCACCTGACATGATGCCTGGCTAATTTTTGTATTTTTAATAGAGACGGGGTTTTGCCATGTTGGCCAGGATGGTCTAGAACTCCTGACCTCAGGTAATCCACCGGCCTCGGCCTCCCAAAGCTGGGATTACAGGCATGAGCTACTGCGCCCAGCCCATATCCACTTTCTAATTGGAATGGAAAGGAATGCACTCACCAAATCCACAGCGGCACACTGTGTGCCCGGGGCTTTATTAACCTGCTCTACCAGTGATAACCAGACAACATAAAAGCTGCAATTATAACTCCTACTTGGCCAGACCTGGAGTAATCTCATTCATTCTTTAGGCCTTACCAGTTTCCCTCAGGGACAGGTTGCTGGATTACATAGAGACAATAGACAGCCCCAACACCACCCCACATCCTTCAGCTCTCTAATGTTGGTGCGACCCCATAATACTTTCAGTGTCTTCCACAAGACCCACCCTGGGACACACTATGGTTTTTGATTTGGCCAGGATGTGGGCAGTGTCAGAGGTTTCCGTTTGGCTTTCAGCACAATGAGAGTCCTTACTCCACAGACTAGGGACCCAGTGTGGGGGTGACTCCACTTAGCAGTGCAGCAGTGTCAATCATGCACTCAGGGAATTGAAAGATATCCAGCGTTGGGTCTGTTGGCCCAGTGGTCCCATTGTGGGCCATAATTTGTCCAGGTTTACTCCCTGGCCTCCATAAGCCCCACTGTGATGGGAGACATGAGTGCTGTGGGCATCTGGGCATCAATGTCAGCTCACACCCAGTGTCAATAATCCCTCCAGTTCTGCGTGTTTCCTTTCCCCAGTGTACAACCACCCAAGTAAATGTCTATAGGTTCCTTTGCCAAATGATTGAGGGAATTGTGCCAGCATATACTTCCACAGGGTTGCAGGGTCTTCCTCCTAGGGATATGGACTCCTCCTCTGTCACTGAGATCTGAATCTGAATCTTGGCTGAGGTCTAGGCATTGAGGATGGGATCATGACTTTGTATTGGGTCAAACACCTTCACCCTCCTGCTCCTCAATTCTTTCATTCCTATCATAGATATCAAGCAGCGCCCTTGTTGGCTGCCTGTCCTAACCCTGGGACACCACCCTCTATTAACCTTCCCCACATTCCCTGCAACTTGAGTCCTCCTGGCTGCTACTCTGAAGTTGCCATAGTAACCATGCCCTCTGCTTTTTCAGGTCACTGCCACCACTTCTTCTCTGTCTCTTCAGGGCCACACTCTCCCCAGGGATATGGATAAATGCAACTCTGGGACCATCTTTATTACCATCACCCGCAGCCTGCAGAGGACAACACCCCTATACTTAGTGATGCAGGTCCCTTTCACCATCATGTTCCTGAGGCTCTGGTGGAAGGTTGTGTCCTCTGGGCCCTCTTGTGGAGCATGACCCTGGTGGGCCTTCACCATGCCCACTTCCCTCAGCCTCGTTATTCCTTCCTTTACATGTACCAGGGCAACTAAGACATGTCTACCTTGTTGAGAGTTGGGCATCTTTTTTTCCAATCTATATGGATTCACCCCAGCGGTGGGTTTAGCTCCACTTATCAAAGTCCTGGGGTGTTTGACAAACCCATGCCTTGAGAAAGTGCCTCCAAGCCAAAGGATTTTTATTCATCCAGCCTGAAATTCTGGTTTCTTGATCAAACGCCCTCAAATTCCAATCCCAGAAGTGCTCCTTGGGCTCCTGTGGGGAAATGGCGGCTAATTCCTGCAAAGCTGCTGAGTAGGATTCCCGCAGAATCACGGGGGTGAGGCTTTTGCAGCATCTTCCAGCGTAGGAAGTGGGAACCATTATTAGATAATGGTGAGCCTCCTCTGCATTCCCAGAGGGTCCTGGAGGGCACCCATCGGATATCCTGGTTCCAGTTTCCAGAATCTCAGGTTTCCCCACCAGGACCCTGACTTTCCTGTAACAGGCCTGCTTTGGCTGAGTGTCAGACATGTCTGGAGCACTGTGGCCCTCGTAATGATGTCTTCAGCTGCCATTCCACGCTATCTGCCCTTTCGCTACAGGAGATAAAGGCCTCTCCATGAGACACTGCAGAGGCTGTCACCTGTAGCCAGTGACAGCTGTTAACAACCCGCAGATTCTCATGATCCTTTTATAGGGTATCAACGCAGCCAAGCAGTAACCACCCAACTCCTCTGTCTTTGTAGGTTTCCCCCAACCTCATCATTATTGTGTAGGGCATTCTATCACCTCACCTGCCATAGCTTCCCCTAACCAGGGCATCTTCTCAGCTCAGCACTGAGGAGACCACAGCACCTCAGCTGCACCTTATGCCATGGACTTTCTGTGTCCCCCACCAACCCGGGTGGCATCCTCTTGGCCTGCCAGGCAGTGGGCAAGATTATTTCAAATTCCCATTTTTGCCTGTTTTCATGGGTCACCCTTCATACCGCTTGGGTTAGTTAGGGTCCCCTGAGGAGCAGAGCCCAATACGGTAGTAAATGTGCAAGGATTTATTCAGGGAAATACTTGTGAGAGAAATTCAGGAGAGAGACAGAAAACACTGGGAGAGCCATCAGACCACACTGCAACTCTGAGCCCCAGTGAAGGAGAGAGGGCAGGAAGTTCAGCTGGAAGCATCCTAGACCCTGTGCAGGCTAAGGGAAATTTAGTAAAGGAGGCAGGGAGCCCTGGGGCTGCAGTCAGCCTTCAGAGGAGAAATATTCCTGCCTTAGTTTCTGCCCTGCTTTCCTCAATCATTGGCTGGAAAAGATCAGGGGGCAGGTGTGGGATCAGAGCAAATGTGGCAATAGATTTCAAGCTTCAAGAGCTGGGGTCATCATCGATTCTGCTTCCTGTAGCTGAGGGGCTGGGATGTGCATTCTCATGACTGCCACAATGATCCAGTGGGGAGAGAGGGAAAAAGTTGATGATAAAGATAAAAAAAGATACTAGTTGATGAACTGACAACTTTAAGTAGATGAGAAGGGATGATGTTTGGGGCACCAGAAGAGGGACTGGCTCTGACTGGGAGCAGAATTGTTAACCCCCAGCAATCCCTCCCGTGGTAAAATGCCTGACATGTGGTGCAGCTGCAAATGCATGAGCAGACAGTGGTGGAATCGGGGAAGTTGTCTTCTAATGTGTTCAGTTTTCTCAGTGAGGTAGGAGGCAAGGTTGTCAGCTGAGGTAAGAATGGGGAAGAAGGGTTGGATGTGTGAGCACAGAGAGAAGGTGTCTAGGAGTCACCCAGGCCAAGAGGAGGCTGAGGGTGAACCACGTAGGGAGAGGGTGATTGCTGGCCACGTCAATGGTAGGGGCTCCCCATGAGGTTTGGAATCTTAAAGAGACCAGTCAGCATGTTGTGTGCTGCTGTCCAGCCTCCTGCAGCTCATGGGGCAGGTGCAGCATAGACAGAGGTGGAACCCACCAGCTGTGTAGTTTTGCCAGGTGAGTATGACAATGCAAGGGAGAGGCAAGGGAGGGATTGAAATTATTTACTGTAGAATTCAAAATGGGAGAAGAGGGAGGAGAGGACACCAAGGGTGAGTGACAGGGAGTAGATGGCAGGATCACTCAATTGGGAATCCCAGTGGGCTGGAAGGATTGTTGGAATTGATGTACCACAGGGTGGACTCCAAGCCTGGAATGCAGGCACATAGGAAATGAGTGGTTCATTGATATTACATCACAGCATATGATAAAATGATAGTGTCTGTGTCATCAGAGCCTGTGGCCACCTTGCAAGGGGATGAGTGGAAAGATGGCCAGAGAGTGGGAAGTGTGAGATTGAGAGTATGGAAGGGCTGGGGTTCTTGGCCGTGATGAGGCCTAGGGGATGACAAGGGCATGAGATTCAGGCAGAGAGAGGAGAAGGTCATGGAGGAGAGGAGTTACAGGATCTGAGAGTCCAGGGAGCAAGGGCATCTTCTCTGCTGTATAGGTGTCTGTTGCTGCCATAAAAATTACCACAAACCAAGTGGCTTTAAACAGCACCTAATTATCATGTCACAGTCATGTGGGTTGCAAGTCCACACAGTCTCATGGGGCTAAGATCAATGTACGGGAAGGCCTGCATTCCTTCCTGGAGACTGGGGAAGAATCCACTTCCAAGCTCATTCAAGTTCTTGTCTGAATTCACTTCCTTGCAGATAGAACAGAGATTTCCACTTCCTTGTTAAGAGCCACCCTTAGCTCCTAGAGTTTTCTCTCAGGTACTCACACATGGCGCCTAAGGCACATCCAGTCCTCCTTCTTGGAACGTCTGACCTCCTCTCTCCAGCTTCTCCTCTGTTTCCTCTTCTGCAGAATCTGACTCCAGCCAGGGCAGTTTCTCTGCTTTTAATGGCTCATGTGATTTGATTGGGCCCACGCAGATAGTCCAGGATACTCTCCCTATTTTAAGGTCCTTAATCTTCATTACATGATTAATGTCCCTTTTGCCATGCAATGCAACCTATTCACATGTTCCAACGATTAAGCCTGGACATCTTTGGGGACCATTACTCAGCCCACCACATCTGCGTATGTTGAAGTCACCAAGAGTCAAGGAGACGCACTGCTGGAGAGGGTGACAGTGAACCAGGAGCTACAAGGGTCAGGATTAAGAGGAATGGCTTGGGGCACAAAGGGAATGGCTACAACATGGGGAATGGGGCCCTAATCTGCTGACAGCTTAGGGGTTTAGGGAGGAGGGAGGGAGAAAGGTGTGAGAACCACAGTGAGGAGCAAGGACCCCACCTCACCTCTGAACCCAGGGGTACAAGTCCCTGGGAAAACTCCCCCATGTGGGAGGACTTTGGAGGGGGTCGTGTCCTCAGGGAGACCAGGTTGCTGCTGTAGCTGTGAGGTGCAGGAACATCCTGAGAGAGGGTGTGGAGGTTTTGCTAATCTTTTTGCTGGGGGAGGGTCTTGCCTCAGTGTTGACTATTGGCTGATCAGGAGGGTGGTTGCTAAAGGCTGCTGTGGCAACTTCTTTAGATATGACAATAAAGTTTGTGGCATGGATTGTAAATCGGGAATCAGTACTTAAGTAAGGTCAATATGAGTTTTCAAGTCAGGTGGACCTGAATATGAACCCTCCAGGCCCTTCCACCAGCTAGCTATAGAGCCCTGGGCACATCTGGCCCACAGTTGGCCCTGACAGACACTTGCCCAGTGAGTGAGTGCTGAATGAGCCCATACGAGTCAGTTTCCTCATCTGCAAACTAGTGATGTAATTCCTGCCTTGCCAATTCAGAAGAATAAGTGAGAAGAAACCCAGTGCCAAGAAAAACAGACACAAGACCTGTGGAAGGCTGGGCACCAGTGCTCTAAAGCAAGCTCTGCCTAAACTGGCAGGATCATTTTTCACATCAGAAACAGGAATTGGTCTGGATTCTGTCTGGGACCAGGCTGAGAGGGAGGTGGAGGCAGCAGAGCAGGGCAGGGGTGGGGCCTATGCAGCACCAGGTGCTGAAGCAAAGCCAAGGCCTGGAGGGAGCGAACTCTTGGTGTCTTCTAGGCAACTCAGACTGCTCCCTGCCTCAGCTACCATGGTCCTTTCTCTTCCAGGATCTCTCGGTGCTGTTGTCTTCACCTCCTCCTGCCCTCCTGGTCCCTAGCTCTCCAGGACTCACAAAGATGCTGCTCTGAAAACCCCAAGGCAAGCGTGGAAGAGTAGAACAGCTCCAGGGACAGTGGGAAGATGAGGTCACCCCAGCATGTTGACGGACACCAAGGGTGGGGGTGGAGGACGTGAAGGGGATCAGCACAGGAGTCAGGGGAAATCCTCTAAATCCCACCCTGCACCACCCTCACCCCTGCAGCTCCTTGCCTAGTTCCAGCTCTGAGCTCTCAGCTCCTTCCCAACCACACCCCAGCTCAGACCTCAGGGCTCTCTCTCCCCACCCCCTCCAGAGCAGCACAGTCCACAGAGCCCTTGAACAGAAATTCCCCCTCATCTAACAGTTAATTATTTCTTAGCGGAGAGGGACAGCCGGTCCTCTCTTTCCAGTGACCCCATATCCTTGTTCAAGGTATCCAGTTATACTCCCTGAGCCAGGGATCTCTATTTGCCCCCCAGAGGCCTATGCCCAAGACAAGGGGCTCCCTGGGCTTCTCAGTACAGGAGGCCTTAAGCTAATGGGCTAGAAAAAGGGAAAGGGAGGTAGAATTCCTCATTTACAGCCAGACCCTGCAATACAGGTTCCAAGGGCCTCAGCCCCCTGCCCTGGCTGATGCTCCCTCCACCACTCCCCCTCACCAGGGCCATGAGCCCCCAACACAGCTGAGCTGGCCCAAGCTGAGAAGTTGCTGGAGCTGGACCAGGCCCTGCTGGAAGGGCAGGAGGGGGTCAGGGGCCCAGGCCCTGGTGCTCAAGGTCTAGAATTTGAAGGAATAGATGAGGAGGCACCAAGAAAGCCTGGGTGGAGACACTCAAGCTTCCCACCAGTGCCCACAGCACCCTCCATCCCTGGAAATACTGCGCACCATCCACCAGGAGCCCCAGGATCAGAAACATCCCAGCCTCTCTCAGGCCAGATAAAGCAGAAGAGACCCCAACAAAGGGCCGGAAATAGGCAGGTAGTTGGGGAGCCAGGGCTCTGCAGTCCGTCCCCCTTTGACCTCACAGCAGGGCATCCAGGCCTTACAGGAATTTACCCTGGACCATGCCCTAAAATAATCTTACCCCAAATACAATAAAGGGAGAGAGCACCCACACATAATGCAGATGCACTTGTGTTTCATGTTTAGTTACATTAAAAATTCTGACGATCAGGAATGATGGTTCGGGAGTGGTGCTGATGCAGAAGAGGAAAGCCAGGGGGTGGTGGAGGCTGTCAGGTGTGGGGGCAGCAGGGTCTCCTTCACCCACACCCTGCTGTCCTCTCCTGAAGGGCAGATGGTCACATTCCAGAATGAGCGAGTCTCCTACTGCATCTGTTCAACTGAGAAGGAGACATGGCACAGTGAGAATAAGGCATGAAAGGACAAAGCAAGGCAGGAACACACAGCACACATGCAGATGCTGGTGTACTGCCTGGGTTCAGAGGATGGACTTGGGCGTGGTGGAAGAGATGTAATATGAGAAAAGGCACAGACCCCACATAGAGGGCAGCAAAACGTCCCAACACAGCATCAACGGCCAGGGGGCATGAAGCAGTCAATTGTTCATTATGCGTTAAGTGCCCATGACCTACATGATGGGATTGAAGACACAGTAAGGAATAGGGAGGAACTAAGGGTTTCATGAAATCAGCACTCACTGTGGAGGAGACGTCTGTCTCAGCAGGTAGCTCCTAACACTGAACTTAAAGTGATGCTGCCCATCACTGAGGATCCTGGCACAATTCTCATCCGACACAAGCCCTGTTCCAAACCAGCCTGCTCTAGTCACCTGGAAGGAGACAGAGGTTAGGACTAGAAGACCCCAAAGAGGGAAGACAGCCAGAGGGAGGAATGAAGAAGTGAAGTGTGAAAAGATACAGAAAATAAGTGGGTGGGAGAGTGGGTGTCCCTCTGTGTATGGAGCTTACCTGATTCACGTAGGTCTCAGAATCTTCAGGCATGTCACAGGTAAAGGCAGTGTTCACCTGCTCCATGTCCATGCCTGGGCAAAATAGGGTTGGTAGCCAAAGAATTGGCCTTTAAAAATCTTTTGGGGTCATTCTCAGACAAGTACAGAAGAGCAAAAACTGTTAGTCACCTGAGGTGCATTCTCCTTCTCAGGTTCAGAAATGAACTACATGTAAAAGGAACCAAAGGCTGTAATTCTCATGGCACCCAGAAAACTGGACTAGGGACCTGGAGAGTCATGTGCCTGTCATTGCTCCACCACTCACGAGCTGTGTGACTTCAGGAGAAGCTCTCTACTCATAGGGCCTCTGATTCATCTGTGAATCATGGACAAATGCCTCCATTCTAGCAACCTTACTGAAATGCAGGGAGGACCAAGTGATCAATGCGGAGGAAAAAAGCAAAGTGATGACATTTACTCCTAGACAAGACTCTTTAGGAAAATGCACTTTAAAAGGAGGAGAAAACATAGTACCTGCCATCCCCTGCCAAAAAGCCTCTTTGGTTTAGTAATTATGATTGTTCATCATCTTTCTATAAAATTAGGGCAAAACTAGCTCACTCAATGTCTCAAATAAATTAAACACAGTTTGTGATTCTATGTCCACAACTTTTGCACTGTGTGAAACTGAAAAGAAATGGGAACACATCCATGTTTGTGTGGTGGCCAGGAGACCCACAAAGGCTTGGAAATGACCCTGTATCATCTATTTTCCATTGACTCACTCTATGTTTTGGAATCCCAGGTAATTCATATTCTTAAAAAGTCTCATGTTCATACATAGGACAGAGTAGAAAAGGTAATATTTCTGTTTTAATTTGCTAGGGCTACCATAACAAAGTACCACATGCTGGGTGAGTAAAATAATAAATATGTATTGTCTCACAGTTCTGGAGGCTACAGGTGCAGGTCAAGGTGCTGCAGGGTTGCTTTTTCCTGAGGCCTCTCTCCTTGGCTTGTAGATGGCCACTTCTGTCTTCTCAACATAGGACTCCAACATATGAATTTCGGTTGGGGAGGGACACAATTCGTCTCATAACAGCGTGGATCATCCTTGGTAGTGGATATTCTAAAAAATAAAAGAGAGTATATCCCTTTGGCTTGGTGCTTTCTCTTGGTTTTCTCAATTTTTGGTCTTGCAATAAGAACAAAAAAGAACAAGAACCAACGTTTAGTTTTTCCCAGAAGGTGAACCCTCCCTACATCTGGGTAACCCCAGACCCCAAGAAGAGGTGCTATGCAGTTCTCCAGAGTCTTACTTTCTCCAGGAATTCTGTTTCTGCCTTTCTAACTGGGGAGAAGATTCTCTCAGGAGAGCCACTTCTTCTGATGCTGTATGGGCTTCATTCTGCTTGAACTTACAAAGTGGATCTTAATAAAAAGGAAATATTTGCCAATTTTTATCATGGTCATATTTTTGTACTTTTTAAAATGTCCCATATTGTGTTGAGTTTATTTTAAAAATATTTTTTAAAGGTAATACATAACATTTTATATGTTTATGGGGCACATGTGATCATTTGATACATACACAGAATGTGGAATAATCAAGTCAGGGTGTTTAGGGAATCCATCACCTCAAGCATGTATCATTTCCTTGTGTTGGGAACATTTAAAATCCACTCTTCTAGCTGTTTTAAATATACATAATTGTTAGCTTTAGTTGGCCTGCTGTGCTATAGAACATTAGAACTTTTTTTTTTTATATAACTGTACATTTGTACCCATTAATCTACCTCTCTACATCTTCCCACCCCTACATTCTTCCCAACCTCTGGTAATTTTCATTCTACTCTCAACCTCCATGAGATTAACGTCTTTAGCTCACACATGTGAGTGACAACATGTGATATTTGTGTTTCCTTGCCTGGCTCATTTCACCTAACATGACCTCTGGTTCCATCCATGTTGCTGCAACTGACAGGATTTCACTCTTTTTTTATGGCTGAATTGCATTCCATTGTGTATATACTACAGTTACTTTATTCATTCACCCATTGATAAATTCACCATTGATTTCACATCTTTGCTATTGTGAATAGTGCTTCAATAAACATGGGTGTGCAGGTACTCTTTTGATATATTGACTTCATTTCCTTTGGATAAATACTCAGAAGTAGAATTGTTGCATCAGATAGTAGTTCTATTAATAGTTTCAGTTTTTTTGAGAGATCACTCTACTGTTTCCCATAATGGCTGCACTAATTTACATGACCACCAACAGTGTATAACATTCCCCTTTCTCCACATGCTCACCAACATCTATTATTTTTTATTTTTTAATAATAGCCATCTTAACTAGGGTTAGGGTAAGATATATCTCATTGTAGTTTGATTTTCATTTTCCTGGTATTTAGTGATGTTGGGTGTTTTTCACACACCTGCTGGCCACTTGTATGCCTCCTCTTGGGGAATGTCTATTCAGATCCTTTGTCCACTTTTTAATTGGATTATTTGTATTTTTTACTGCCAAGTTTTTGAGTTCCTTGTATATTCTAGATATTAGTCTAGAATATACTAATTGGATGAATATACTGGTTGGTTGAATACTTAGTAAATATTTTCACGATTCAACAGGTTATTGCTTCATTCTGTTGGATGTTTCCTTTGCTGTGCAGAAGCTTTTTAGCTTAATATAGTCTCATTTGTCTATTTTTACTTTTTTTGCCTGTGCTTTAGAGGTCTTAGCCATAAAATCTTTGCCTAGACTAATGTTTCCCATAAGTTTTCTTCTAGTAGTTTTACAGTATTGGGTCTTACGTTTAAGTCTACAATCCCTTTTGAGTTGATTTTTTGTATATGGTGAGAGACAGGGGTCTAGTTACATTCTTCTGCATCTGGTAGCATTTTCCCAGCACCATTTATTTAAGAGACTGTTCTTTCCCCAGTGTATATTCTTGGTTCCTTTGTCAGAGGAACTCCTTTGAGAGTTCTCATTAAGAAGCAATGTTTAGTTTCACCAAATGCTTTTTCTGCATCTATTGAGATGATAATATGGTTTATGTCCTTCATTCTGTTGATGCGGTATATGACATATTTTGATTCACATATGTCAAACAATCCTTGCATCCTGGGTATAAAACTCACGTGATTATGGTGTATTGTTTTGATCTGTTGTTGGATTTTGTTGCTAATATTTTCAATTACTATTTTTTATTACTAACGTTTAAATTTTTATTGTAAGCATTTTAAACTTGTAAAATTTACATATACTGAAATGATCAGATCTGTATCAAATTCATCAATGAATTTTGACAAATACAGCCATAGCACCCATGCCACTATGAAGATACACGAAGTTCTCTATTTTTCTGCCTTCAAATTAGCCCCCTTTCCCCAGCAGCCATTGATCTGATGACTATCATGATAGAGTAGCTCTTCCTGTTTCAAAACTTCATACGTATCCATTCATCCCATATGGCCTCCCTTGTGCCTAGCTTTTTGCACTTGGTGTAATATCTATGTGGTCTGCCCAGCTTGTTGCATGTATCAGTAATTCATTCATTTTTAATGCTGGTAGTATTGCATTGTATCACTGAGTCACAATTTTTTTGTACATTTTGGGGGTATTCACGGTTTTTTATTGTTACAAATGAACTATGGACATTATTGTACAGGGATTCTTGGACATAATCTTTATTTCACTTGAGTAAATACCTAGGAGTGGAAATGCTAGCCATAGAGTACTAGCTTGTTTAACTTTATTAGATGATATAAAAGTGATTTTCAGAGTGGCTGTTTTATATTCTTATAGGCAGTGGATGAGACTGTTTCACATCCTTGACAACATTTATATTTATTAATCACTTAAATTTCAGCCATTCTAATAAGTGCTTAGTGGTTTCTCGCTGTGGTTTTACTTTGCATTTTTCCCTGATGACTATTGGCCATTCATGTGTCTTTTTTGTAATGTTTCAGAAGATTTCTCTAAAGATTGTGGAAGGAGCTAAATAAACATGATTTCTCTTTCTCTAAGTGCTAGACCTAAAGCGGAATGTTTAGAATCCATCCACGCTTCCCAGTCTGGCCTACTCAATCCCATATTTGCCCCCTAAAGTCCCCACTCCTTCATCCCTCTTTTATATTTTATCCTCTTCATTCTGGCTCAAGCTCACACTCCTCCAGGAAGTCTGTTACTGTGAAGGTCACTGACATGCTCAGTATTGTCATCTCTCCATCTGTCTGTACCTCTGTGCAGCTTTCCTCACACTCAATAACTCTTTTCTTATTTTGCTCAGTTCCTGTGGATTCACTTCACAAACATTAATTCAAAGTAGTTCCAGCTGGAAGAAAGAATAGAAAATTATAAAAAATCTTTGTGAAGGCACCACCCAGGTTTGTCAATTGGCGACATTTTAATATTATTGGCTATATGTAGTATACATAGAAAAATAATAGAAATATATGTAGATAGCCTTGATTTTTCACAGCTCTGATATGCACATGTTTCAGTCAGTACTGTACTGAGCAAATCAAGAATTGCAAGAGGATGTGTGACTTGAATTTAGTGTATGCCTTTATATTTTTACTAAGTTTTAGGAAATCTCTTTGTTTGAAGTCTTTTAGACTTGTTTTTTTAGAACAGGTCTCCTCACTCTGTCACCCAGGCTTGAGTGCAGTGGCACAAACACAGCTCACTGTACCTCAACCTCCCAGGCTCAAGCGATACACCTACCTCAGCCACCCAAGTAGCTGGGGGTATAGCTATGCTCCACCATGCCGGGCTAATTTTTGTATTTCTTGGAGAGAGGGTTTTTGCCATGTTTCCCAGGCTGGTCTTGAACTCCTGAACTCAAGCGATCCACCCACCATGACCTCCCAAAGTGCTAGGATTACAAGTGTACACCACCTTGCCTGGCTTTGCTTTTAGACTTCTTATAAATTGTTTCTGGCTAATTTTATCATTCATTTGCTTGCTTTTTCAGTTAACATGTTCTATGACATGAATCTATGTTCATACAAATAGTTCATTTGCTTTCATTGGTGGATAGTATTCCATGGGAGGAATATACTACAATTCTTCTCTTTCCCTCTTCATTGACCTTTAGATTTTCTCTATTGTAGACCTCACTGCAATGAACATCCTGGGACATTGCCTCCTGCTCTCAGAGATATGTGAGTTTCCCTAGAATATGCATATAGGAGTGGGGTCACTACAGCTTTTCCATATGATGTTACATGATGCAAAATTGTTCTCTGAAAGAAATAATCCAAATGCCTATCAAGAGGGGGCTGATTAAAAAGCACCGCACTCAAAAGAAGCAATCTCTATTTTTTTTTAAAATATTGCATATATATACAATGGTGTATCATGAAAATTTCAAACAAAGATGTAGCTAAGCTCTTGGTATTTCTTCATGTGATGGTCTTTGTGATACAATGTGAAGGGAAAAGGCAAGGTGCAGGAAAGCATATGTAGTTTGCTAAAATTTGTGTGAAATGGGAGAAAGATTATATACATATACATTTAGATTGACTTGCATATGCATAAAATGCCTTTGAAAGAATAAGCAAGAAACTGATATAAATAGCTGCCTGTCAAGATGGGGTAGCATAAGAGAGAGACTTTTAACTTTTTGAGTTTTGAGCCAAGTCAAAACATAAAATAAAAGATAATTCCAAGGCAGACAAAACAAACAAAATCAAATCCTTCAAAATAAAAAACTTAAAAAAAGAGCCTAACAGAATTAATTCTCTTACCTTCCTTAATTAAAAAAAAAAACTGTCTAAAAATTATATCACTTCTCAAACAAGGATGTTTCCTGTCACTTTAATTCAGTATGTTGTTTTCTTTTTCATTGCACTATCTTTCTTTATGTGTGTGTCTGTCTTTCATTCATTAAAAGTCAAAATGAGAGCATGGTTACTTAACAAATGCAACCGGTTTGGTGAAGGAAATTTTGACCAAATCCTGATGTAAATGGTGAAGCCCAATCTACAAGGAATTCTACGGGGTCCAATGTACCAATTGTGGCTTCAGCAGGCTCAGAACTTCCTCTACTGTCCATGTGAGCTCAAGTATGTGATATTTAGAAAAGAGAACACTTGGTAATTCTCCTGGAAAACACACGATTGAATCCATTTGCTGAATTTGGAAGGTTCTCATTATGAGCCCATTCTAAGTATGTGTCATATGAGGTCACCCTGTATTTGGATCAGAAGGTATAGTCAGAGCTCACATCCCAGGCCCAAACAGCCCAGGACAGCAGAGCAAGACTCGTAGGTCAGTTTCATAAGGGGTGGGAAGGATTGGGGGTGTGGGGGCCACTTGTGAAGTAGTGGGAACCCCAGATGCTGTGTGAAGCTCAGCCTCTGGATTGCCCTGTAACCCCACATTTGATTCCTTCCTGGGTGTCTGCCATTCCCGGGATCCCAAGGAAATCAAATGCTGCAGACTTGGGTGGGGTGCTCTCCAAGATGGCCCATGCATGGTCTAGTTTATCCTATACCTTTGCCTGTCAGCCCTCTTCTGATATTAGAAATCAATATGGATTGCCTTAGGGTGGTGATTCTCAAAGTGTGTTCCTGGGACAAGTAGCATTGGCATCACCTGAGGACTTGTTAGAAATGCAATTTTCAGGCCCTGCCTCAGACCTACTGAATCAGAAACTGCATTTTAACGGGCCCCCAGCAGAATTCTGCATTTCAAATCAGGCCTCTCTCTCTCTGTCTCAAGACTCAATATTGAGCAGCTGTGACTTCTGGATAGTCATATATGGGACACACTTCCTTGCCAGGAAGCACCTGGCTCCTCAGTCAGCTTAGTCTGAGTCCTGGCCTGGCCTAGGAGAGAAAAATTCATGTCCTGGGTTCTGAGCAATGCTCTCCTGTCCTGGATGCCTGTCAGACTCCTATTTATACCTCAAAACGCAGCTCAAATGTTGTGTCTTATGAAGCTTCTGTGACTCCTTGGTCAGAGCAGATGGTCTACATGTGCATCCGCAAAGCAAGTTGCATATTCTGCCAACCATTTGTGTAAGAATTTCCTTACTGGCAACAGAGTGAGACTCTGTCTAAAAAAATAAATGAATAAATAAATAAATAAATAAAGAGTTTCCTTACTGATCTCTGCCTGAGCAAGACGGCTTAACCTTGAAGGCAAGGGGGGTTTGGTTCCTCTTACCTCAGCCCCAGCTCCTTTAACACAATGCCTAGCACATGGTAGGTGTTTGATAAATGTTTACCAAATGAAGGGATTTCCTGCAATGACCTAGGAGACAAGAAGGTGGAATAAAAGCTCACAAGCCAAAAGTGGGTGGGAAAAGGTCTTCCAAATCCCAGTGCTGTGTGAGCACAGGGCCCACTGATGTTCACTTTTAGAAGCTTCCCATCTATCTTGTTCTCTTCTCACCAGAAACATCTATGCTTCCCCACCAAGGTCCACCTAATCGCACTTTACCTTTCAGGACCACCTTTCAAATTAGCTGGGTACAAACTCCACAGCAACTTCCTGCCTTAGCTCCAAATACTCAGCTGCAGGCCTGGTGTGGGGCTTCATGCTAATCCTAGCACTTTGGGAGGCCGGGGCAGCAGATCACTTGAGCCCAGGCCTTAGAGACCAGCCTGGGCAACATGGCACAACCCCATCTCTACAAAAAACACAAAACATTAGCTGGGGCTTGTGGCGTTCACCTCTAGTGACAGCTATTCAGGAGTCTGAGGTGGGAGGATCTCTGGGGCCGAGGAGTTCGAGGCTGCAGTAAGCCGTGATCATGCCACTGCATTCTAGCCTGGATGACAGAGTAAGACCCCATGTCTAACAAACAAAAACTACAACTCTGAGGCTAATTTGGTGGGAGTTAAGAGCTTATCCTACTGCGGTGTCACTATGAGTGATATTGGGTGGCTTTAAGATTAGGGGGTGTTTACATTTCTAAAAAGAAAATTGCTCCACAAAGAATGTAAAGTTTTGGTGTGTGCAGGGGTGGGGTCTTCAGGAGAAAAAAGGCAATAGCTCCAGTAATACTCAGTAGCTGACTGTCCTGCCCACCTCTCACCCAGAGCCTAGGCAGGGGCTGGATTCTCACCTCAGCCCCTCCTCAGCGTACCCTGGATGTGGATGGTCCCTCAGTGTGAACCCACCTGGGCTCTGACTGTGGCTGCTCTTCCCACTGTTATGGAGCCTTAGTGGGTGTGGCGCATGCAGGGGGCCTGCTCAGGAGACCAAGTGCCCTTTAAGTCTCAAGACCTACATTTTTGAAGCACCCATGTCAGATGTTCAGGATGGAAGGGACTCAGATGCTCAAATCATAATAAAAGAAAGAATCCATCCCACTCTCTCAGGTGTGGTGGAATTAAAATTAAATGACAATCAGTAATCTAAAATGATCATATTCTCAGTGTTGACTTTATCATTCAGCCGACGCCTATAACCCAGGGATGGATGAGGCATTGTGGAGGAAGAGTTTATTTCTTCTTTCTGAAGGCTCCATCAGCTGGAGTTTTTGCCCTATGACATGGAGAGGAGACTTTGCTTCAAGCTAAGTTAGGACTGAGCACAGTGGCTCACCCATGTTATCCTAGAACACTGGGGAGGCTAAGGCAGGAGGATCACTTGAGCCCAGGAGTTCAAGACCAGCCTGGGAAGCAGTGAGATGTATTCTGTTCAATTTTTTTTTTTAAATTAGATGGTCATTTTGGGGCTTTCCTGTAGTCTTGGCTACTCTGGAGACTGAGGCAGCAGGATCACTTGAACCCAGGAGCTCAAGGCGGCAGTGAACTATGATCAACTCACTGCACTACAACCTGGGTGAGAGAGCAAGTCCCTATCTCTAAAAAAAGAGAAAGTGACCTGAGTTGGGACAGGACATTTGGACTTTTTCATTAAAATTGTATTTCAAATGTTGTAAAACTTCATAATCAGCATTTTACCCTTTTAGAAAGTAGAATCTGCTCAATTACAGAAAATATAAAAAATGTAGTGAAGCAGAAAGATGGAAAACACCTGTGTCCCCACTGGGAGGATCCGGATGAACCTCTGCCTGGCAGAGCCTCAGAGACGTCAGTGAAAAGGGGCCCTGGAGCTGTGCTTTGCAGCTGCCCCCTGAGTTTCCACCCCTGGTTTCTGTGCATGTGGTGTCTGTGCAGGATGACTTAGTGCAGTCACACTGTATGAGTTATTTTGAATCTTGCTTTTCAAACTTTATTATTATCAATAAGCAACTTTATATGTTATCATAAACTCTTCTTAAACAGTACTTTTCCTGGCTGTATACTATTTCCAAAAAATGACCCAGCTACTCTTCTTTTACAAGTTCTTCTTCCTTATTGTAAATAATATCTGATTAATATCCTTATACCTAAAGATTCTTCTATATTTTGCATTTCATTGTAGAATTATAGATTTCTCAAATATAAATTATTTGGTCAAACTGCATGAACTTTTTTTGCTTTGTTTTTGAGATGGAGTCTCACTCTGTCACTGAGGCTGGAGTGCAGTGGCACAATCTCGGTTCACTGCAACCTCCACCTCCCAGGGTCAAGTCATTCTTGTGTCTCAGCCTCCCGAGTAGCTAGGATTACTGGCGTGCACCACCACACCTGGCTAATTTTTTTATTTTTAGAAAAGACGGGGTTTTACCATGTTGGTCAGGCTGGTCTCGAACTCCTGACCTCAGGTGATCCACCCGCCTCGGACACACATGTTATAAAATTGCTTATCAAAAGCAGCATACCAATTATATTCACCCATCATTCACCTCTTATTTGTTAAGCCCCTCCTCTGTACTGGTATGTTCTAGATGCTAGGGATACAAGTGGTGGCTGGACAAGGTCCTGGCCTCAAATAATATGTTTTAGTGGTACAGACAACAACTTTCAAATTTATTCTAATATCAGTGATAATTGTTATGGAGAAAATATACTCGGGTTAGAAGATTGGTGGTGGTGAGGATGGCAGGAGATATATTTTGTTGGATAAGAGGTTCCTGAGAACTTGACTAAGGGACATTTGAGCAGAGAACTGAATGGCATGAGGAGTGAGCCATGTGGATCCCTAGGGAGCAAGTGCATGTGGGAGTACCAGCAGGGGCCGGTGGCAGAGACAGGATTGAGCAGTGACAAGAGACTGGTGCGAGTGCAGATGAGTGATCTGGGCTGAGAGTGGTGAGATGAGGCCAGAATGGCCAGAGGGGCCCCGTGTTGAGGGGCTAATAGGAAATGGAGAGAGGAAGGGAAGAGGCTGGAGTGTCTCTGGGATGTGGTGGTGAGGATGGGCTCTAATTCCCATTCGAAAGGTTCACTCTGCCTGTTGTGTGGGTGATGGACAGCTGCATGAGATGCAGCAGGCAGCCCAGCTGGAAGGCCCGTCGGATTTACTATCCTAGAGAGAATGGCTCTGGGGAGGAGGCAGTAGACGAGTGTGAAGTGATTGGTTTTGGGGTTAATACATTTTTCAGATGATCTCAGCAGTTATTTAATAGAGAACCATTCATTTATTTCCACAGTTGATTCCAGATGGCTTACTACAACAAACCAAATAATAAATATACATGCATTATTTAAAAACCAACAAGGCCTGGCGCAGTGGCTCATGCCTGTAATCCCAGCACTTTGGGAGGCCGAGGCAGGCAGATCACGAGGTCAGGAGATTGAGACCATCCTGGCCAACACAGTGAAACCCCATCTCTACTAAAAATACAGAAATTAGCCAAGCGTGGTGGCGGGCCCCTGTAATCCCAGCTACTGGGGAGGCTGAGGCAGGAGAATCGCTTGAACCTGAGAGGCGGAGGTTGCAGTGAGCCGAGATCGTGCCACTGCACTCCAGCCTGGGTGACAGAACGAGACTCCTTCTCAAAAACAACAACAACAACAAAAAAAACAGCTGGGAAAATATAGACTTAAAATATTAAGGCTGGGGTAAAACTAGAACATTACTCAGCAAGAAGGAACATCTGAAACATTTGCAGAAATGGAGTTGACTGTTTCCCCAGCCATAGATTTGTTGGCTCACAATTGTGTTGCATCAGGGAGCCACAGAGGGGGGTGACAGTGCAGGTCACTTGGCCCTTGTTTCCTGTTTCAGGAATATTTTCCTGTTTTACACTTAAAGTCAAAGCAAATTTATGTAACTGTAATTTGTTCAAAAATGAAGTCAACAGCTAAAAAGTCAGAAAGTAAATGTACAAACCCCAGGGGTCTAAGGACAGTCTATATTTCTCCCCCAAAATGTCCTCACCCTGCACTATTGAATGGAGACAGTCCTTTCCAGGCGCCCTAAGATGCAGGGGCGACTGGGCTGCAGCCCTACCTACAGGTGTCCTTCTTTATACCTGCAGTTTCCTTTACACCTGACAGCCAACTTCACTGACCTCACCTGAGCTAGGAATTTGTTTTTTTGGTATTGGTTCTATTTGAGTCATTGTGCAGGCTTAAAACTGTGACATGGAAGTTTTGCTATAATGGTTTTTCTTTGATGGAATTTGACACGCACAGTGGCTCTGGCTTCCCTGTCACTCCCAGGAGAGAACGGAGTGTCCTGCACTTTTTTTTCAAGATCCCTGTGTAAGAGTGATCAAGAGACTTGGAGTCAGGGGCTCCTCCAATCTCACCCTCCTCTCTGATGCTTTCCAGCGTGGGGCCCTTGGCTCTCTGCACATCTGATTAATACAATTGTCTCAGCTCCTGAAATAAAAGCACAGGTGCACATAACACTGACTCCTGCGTGCAGTGCCAAGGTGGGGAGGTTTCCTGGATGCCAGGTTTAGCACTTTGACTCTCATTCACGCACACACACACACACATACACACACACTCTCTCTCATATACAGATACACACGCTAACTGATACACACAGGCACACACAGTCGCACACACATTCACACACATATTTAGACACACTCTCACACACAGATTCACACACACGGGCACACACACACAGGCACACACACACACACACACATGCAGCCTGAGTGAGCGTTGTGGGACAGGCTGACTTCAGGGGTGGAGTAACAGGAGTCTCTCAGTTCCTTCTCAGTGGACTTTGTCTCTTTTTCCTGGAGGTGGAGGAGTCTGTACTCCATGAGGGGAAGTCCTCTGAAGAAGGGGGGAGATACTCAGGAGCGGGGTCCAGAGATGGACAGGGATGGAGAAGTGGAGACAAAGCGGAGGGGGCGGGGCAAGAAGGGAGCCCACGAGGAATGGGGAGAGGGAGGACCTTCTAGAGGTCAGAAATATCACACGCAGAATTTGGTTCTTTGTTTTTGTGTTTTATTAAGATGGATTTAGTAAACCAGCCGAAGTGCAAGATATGGAGTCTACATTGCAAAGGACACGTCTTAGTCTCCTGCTAGTTTGAACTCATCAGTAGTAGCTAGGAGAAGAGTGCCAGAAGCCTTGCGTGGGGCGCGCAACGCCCCTTTGCAGCGACCCCATTCTCTGCATCCCACGGACCTCCCCACCAGGGACCATGTTGGTCCCCTCCCACCCAACAGGAAGGAAAGGAAGAAGTCTGAAGGCTTTGGATCCTCCCTAGCGCACTTTTTCTCGCCATTTATTCCCAGAGTGTCCTTGCCTCCGCTCCGCTATCCCAACCCCACTATAACAAAGCACATCCTGCGCGCTGGGGCCAGAAATCCTCCTTTGGCCTCTGACTCACTGGTGCCATTTCACTGTGTCCTGTCCTTCCGGCCATTGTCACTGGGTGAAGCCCCAGAGAGCTTGAGCTTGGAGCCCAAGAGAGCTGGATTCTTAGAGCGTAGCTGTCCGCACAAACATTCTTTTTTTTTTTTGGTCTTTATTATTATTATTATTATTATTATTATTATTATTATTATTATTATACTTTAAGTTTTAGGGTACATGTGCACAATGTGCAGGTTAGTTACATATGTATACAGGTGCCATGATGGTGTGCTGCATCCATTAACTCGTCATCTAGCATTAGGTATATCTCCTAATGCTATCCCTCCCCTCTCCCCCCACCCCACAACAGGCCCCAGAGTGTGATGTTCCCCTTCCTGTGTCCATGTGTTCTCATTGTTCAGTTCCCATCTATGAGTGAGAACATGTGGTGTTTGGTTTTTTGTCCTTGCGATAGTTTACTGAGAATGATGATTTCCAATTTCATCCATGTTCCTACAAAGGACGTGAACTCATCATTTTTTATGGCTGCATAGTATTCCATGGTGTATATGTGCCACATTTTCTTAATCCAGTCTATCATTGTTGGACATTTGGGTTGGTTTCAAGTCTTTGCTATTGTGAATAGTGCCGCAATAAACATACGTGTGCATGTGTCTTTATAGCAGCATGATTTATAGTCCTTTGGGTATATACCCAGTAATGGGATGGCTGGGTCAAATGGTATTTCTAGTCCTAGATCCCTGAGGAATCGCCACATTGACTTCCACAAGGGTTGAGCTAGTTTACAGTCCCACCAACAGTGTAAAAGTGTTCCTATTTCTCCACATCCTCTCCAGCACCTGTTGTTTCCTGACTTTTTAATGATTGCCATTCTAACTGGTGTGAGATGGTATCTCATTGTGGTTTTGATTTGCATTTCTCTGATGGCCAGTGATGATGAGCATTTTTTCATGTGTCTTTTGGCTGCATAAATGTCTTCTTTTGAGAAGCGTCTGTTCATATCCTTTGCCCACTTTTTGATGGGGTTGTTTGTTTTTTTCTTGTACATTTGTTGGAGTTCATTGTAGATTCTGGATATTAGCCCTTTGTCAGATGAGTAGATTGCAAAAATTTTCTCCCATGTTGTAGGTTGCCTGTTCACCCTGATCGTAGTTTCTTTTGCTGTGCAGAAGCTCTTTAGTTTAATTAGATCCCATTTGTCAATTTTGGCTTTTGTTGCCATTGCTTTTGGTGTTTTAGACATGAAGTCCTTGCCCATGCCTATGTCCTGAATGGTAATGCCTAGGTTTTCTTCTAGGGTTTTTATGGTTTTAGGTCTGACGTTTAAGTCTTTAATCCATCTTGAATTAATTTTTGTATAACATGTAAGGAAGGGATCCAGTTTCAGCTTTCTACATAGGGATAGCCAGTTTTCCCAGCACCATTTATTAAATAGGGAATCCTTTCCCCATTGCTTGTTTTTCTCAGGTTTGTCAAAGATCAGATAGTTGTAGATATGTGGTGTTATTTCTGAGGGCTCTGTTCTGTTCCACTGATCTATATCTCTGTTTTGGTACCAGTACCATGCTCTTTTGGTTATTGTAGCCTTGTAGTATAGTTTGAAGTCAGGTAACGTGATGCCTCCAGCTTTGTTCTTTTGGCTTAGGATTGACTTGGTGATGCAGGCTCTTTTTTGGTTCCATATGAACTTTAAAGTAGTTTTTTCCAATTCTGTGAAGAAAGTCATTGGTAGCTTGATGGGGATGGCATTGAATCTATAAATTAGCTTGGGCAGTATGGCCATTTTCACGATATTGATTCTTCCTACCCATTAGCATGGAATGTTCTTCCACACAAATATTCTTGAGATTTCTTCAGATCTGAAAGTCAGCCTGAGTTTTTAGACTTGCTTCTGAGTTTTAGACTTTGGCCCTGGGAAAAAGGAAATCAGTACTCCAGGAACAAGATTTTCCTCGACTTTGTCTCAACCCAAAGACGCTATAGCAGCGCAGTTTTCAAACGTGCTTTGAAAATAAATGGGACAGTGTGTCCACACTGGATTTTGCCTTTCCCTTTTTATTACAGCCCGCCCCTTTTGTAAAATTGTTACACATCTCTCTACTGCACTAAAAACGGCTCTATCAAAGATACTTTGAGAAAGATTTAATGACATGAAAATATGAAGCCCCCTTAAAAGAGAGTTTCTGGAGTTGGGTTTTAATTAACACTTTGGTTTTTAAAATCCTGTAACTATTTGGGTGTGTGGCTTATCTTTATAATATTTTCAAACAAATATTTTTTCTTAACCACCACACAAATCCAAGTTTATTATTTTTATTTTTAAATTTTATTTATTTATTTCTGAGACAAGATCTCTTGCTGTCACCCAGGCTGGAGTGTAGTGGTGAGATCATAGCTCACTGCAGCCTCGAACTCCTGGGCTCAAGCTATCCTTCAGCTTCCAGAGCTGGGATTACAGGCCTGAGCCACCGCGCCTGGCCAAAATCCAAGTTTATTCTGTAATATAAAATTCCAACATTTCAGAGAAGGTGAAAGTCACAACGTTATCCCAGTCCCTGGGGTCCCTGTCAAAATTTTGGGGAATAATCCTCCATGTTTTCCCCTACTTAAAATATATATTATGTAAGTGGTATTACTGGTATTATAATTCCATATATCCTCGTCCTTTTAAAAATGGATAAAAGTAGGCTGGGCACAGATCTTCTCATAACAATACTTACAAATTTATCCTCCTCTTTTTAAGGACTGCGTGGAATTTTATCGCGTGGCTATTCTTTAGGGGACTATGGAAATGTTATTTCTTTATCTTCATTGTGGTAGTGGATATGTGGGTGTGTAAAACAGCCAAGCAGTACAACTCAATGAGCTGTGCATTTCAAATAGATACACTGATTGTGTGCAAAGTATGTCCCAATAATGGTTTAAAAATATTATTCTATTTGAGATTTGTACTTTGATTTTGTAAAACAAAACAAAACCCTTGTTCTTGCACCCACGAGATGCACCCTGGCACATCTGGAGGTAGAAGCTCATGTTCTCTGCAGCTTGACCTCGCAGGCTCTGAAATAAGAATAATAAGCCGTATATTTACAGATTCACACACAGAGAAAAAAAAGCTTTGGTAAAAATGTTCATAAATAACAAAACTAGATAAAGGGCAAAAATAAAATTAGAAATAATAAAACTACATCTTTCAGATATTATTCTCACCTTCACCTTTTCTCTCCCCTTTTCTCCCTCTCCCTTCCTTTCCTCGAAATGTCCCCCCATCCTTCCCTCCTTTCTCCATTCTCTGCATTTGATCCCCATGTATTCCAGCCTCGAGGCAAACACACGTCACCGCGTCCGCCTGGGGCAGGTCAGGGAAGGGACGCGAGGCAGCCGTGTCTCCGCATTCTGTGAGCGGCAGCGCCCTGGGCCTCGCTGATCTTGTGTCATTTCAGTGACCTTCGCTCTAGTCTTTGACGGGGCCACACTCGGGGTGTAAATTAGGATCCTCACTGAAGGCGCGCGACCCTGAGAGGCTTTTTCCTGGTCCCTTAGTTGTGAGTTTTCCTGCGGGCGGCGGAGCCCGTTTCCACCAGAACCGCCCAGAGGCCGGCGCTGCCTTCCTGGGGTGACGGAGCAGCTGGAAGCGTTTTCGGATCCTGGAATCAGTGGGCGGCCCGTGGGAGGGGCTGAGGCGCAGTTCCCTGCTCACCCGGCTCCGAATCCACCGCGGTGCTGTTTCAAGCGAGTCAGATTCCAGATCGCGCTCCAGCCCGGACTCGGAATTCCTGCCCCGCGGGTCTGCATTTTCACAGCGGCAGGTGTGAGTGCCGCGCAGCTGGAGACCAGAACCCTGAAGGCAGCTCGGCCCTCCCCAGCCCACAGCGCCGTTATTCCGTTTCTATATCAGTAAACACTTGTCATTTTCCGTAGACCAGGGCGGGGTGATGGGTGATCCCAGTCCTCGCAGTGAACTCCGGGCCGCAGTCCTGAGAACGCGCTCGGGCGCCCAGCGCAGCCGCGTCCTGAGTTACACACGCGACCACGCTGGGCCTTTTCTCTTTCTTTTCCGGACCCAGCAGTGGCGCCTACAGTCTGCGAGGAGAAAATCACCTTTGTGCTGGTAAGTCCAGGAATCTAAGGCGAGTGCTGAGGGAGAAAACGTAGTTGATGGCTCAGAGCAGAAGGGGCTGGAGGTAGGGTAGAGGGGGAGGGCTTTGGACAGAAAAGACCTGGGAGATTTGGTTGGTGAGGGGCAGCCAGGCCTAGACCCTGGGGAGCGACTCATCCAAAGTCCAAGATCATCACTGCCTCCCCTGCCCCAGAAAGGGAGGGATTGGCTTCGTGTCTTGTCTCGATCACCTCTAAATGCGTTGGAACAAACTTTGCATATTATTATTATTAGTATCATCGTCATTGAAGTATTAAAAGTCTTCTTGGGGGTGAGCTGAATGAGATCCTTTGCTGGAACTGGCACAGGGAGAAAAAGTCCTCGAGAGAGGGTAGACACTGTGGAGGGAAGAGCTTGGGACCAGCGTCAGGAGAGCTGGGTCCATCTCCCTCTCTGCCCCTCACTACCCTTGTGACCTTTAGCAGTGTAAATAATCCCTCTAAGGTGGGGACAAGACCCCAGTCCCTGCTGTGCTCAATAAATGATAATGCTCGAAATAAATAATCAGTGAATGTGGATGGGAAAACTAAGTAATTGTTAAAACTCTGTGGTGTATGACATTTTCATCTACAGAAAAGTGTAGGCTAGGGGTCCTGGGGAATGGTTAGTAATCATAGGTAGAGTTCCATTGGAAAAAAAAATGCTCCTAAAGCTGACGAAGATGGAAGGGACACAGTTAGTGATCATGGATGGTTCATTGTCTAATGGGGGTTGGTACCAGATGGTAAATGACAGCTGGACGTGGTGGCACTCGCTTGTAGTCCCAACTACTCAGGAGGCTGAGGTGGCAGGATTGTTCTAGCCCTCGGCTAGAGCGGGAGCGGCTTGGCGTTTCTGGGGGGTCCGAATGGGTCGCAGCGAGCGCGATGCGGTCGCGGCGGGGCTCAGGTGCGATGTGCAGCGAGGTGCGGGAGCTGGACGCTGCCGGTTGCCGCCACTCCTCAGCCCTGCTTTTCAGTCTCTTTTCAGTCCTCCTCGGGATCGCGCATCACCCCCACCCCCTGCACTTTCTGGTCTCTTCTTGCACTTGCTCTCCTCACCTCTCCTCCGCCTCCTCTCACTTTTTGGACAAACCTTCTGAAGTCCCTGGGTTCCTGGGCTGTTCCTGTGAATGGCATTCGAGGGCCCTTCCAGCTCTGCCGCTGAGGCAGTCACATCCCCCGGTGCTCAGAGCGGCTCTCGGGTCCCTGAAGCCCTGTCCTCTCCCTGGAGTCCGCGTGTTCTCAGCTCCAGGGCGGGCCGCAGTCCCTGGAGTTGGGGCCCTCCTTTTTTCGGGACCAGGAGCTGGTGCTTCTTATTGCTGTGGGGACTATGGGGCTCCTGAGTCTCAAGCTGAGGGGTTGGAGTCTGCCGGCTCCAGGCAGAGGATTCTTCCTGCGACTGCTCCCATCCCCAGCTCATTCTCCCTTCGCCTCCCGTTCCCAGGGTTCTTTCCTCTGTCAACCCTCCCAGCTACTGTGGACTCCAATGGTCTAAGGACACCAAGTTCCCTCCTACTTCCTCAGCTTCCTTTCTCATGGCCCCCTGGGTCCTGTTGCCCTCCCTGCTCCCTGCTACCCCTTTCTATCTGCAGTTCTCTGATCCATTTGTAGGGTGTCCTCTGCCCTCATCCCCTGCTCCCACCACCGCAGGTCCCTCCTGCCTCCCTTATGGGCCTTTCCTACAAGCAGCCTTCACCCAGTGCTGCCCCTATGCCTCTCCATTCCCAGCTGTCCCTGACCCTAACTTTCTGGTGCTGCCTTTTGTCGGGGGAGTCTTCCCTCCATCCCACTCCCCTCCAGGCCACTTAAGGGGAGCCCTGGTGCTAATGAAAGTTGGGCCTTAGGCAGGGCGCAGGGCAACGCAGATGCTCCCTCCCCTCCAGTGCAGATGCCTGCTCTGGGCCCTGCCTCAGGTGACCCGTTCCCCACTCCTTCATCCTCAGCCTCACCCTCTTGAGGACCCCACCCTGAAACCCTCAGGTGCTGGACCATCCCTCCCTGGTCCCTCTGCCCCTCTCTGCCTTGGGACCTTGTGCTGTTCCCACCTCTTGACCAGCTGCCTTGGGCCCTCAGCAAGTTCTCACCTTCCCCAAACCCCACCCTCCCCCAGACAACCCCTCCCTTCCTGTTCTCACTTTACCCCAAGTTCTCCCAGGGTCACCCCCCCTTCCTTCTCATGCCACCCTTTAGTCCTTGCCCTGCCCATCTCCTCACCCCCACCCAGACCCAACACAGGCTCTAGTCCAACGGCTCCTTGACCCTCATCCTCTTTCGGTTCCTTGACCCCGGTGGGCTGTCAGTTCCTAGACTTCATATCCAAAATCTTCACTTACCACATAGTGGGCTGTGGTCATCCCCTCCTCTGGGCCTTCTCCCAGCACCACCTTCCTCCTGTGAGGGTTTTCTAACCTGAACCCTCTTTTGGAGTGTGACTGCTCCGCCTTCAGCACCACTCCTCTCTGAAGGCCCTTCCTCAGGCCTTGTTTTTTTTCTCTCTGACCAGGACCCCAGCCTCTTTCTAATTCTATATTATTGTTTGGTATGCTGTGACAATTTCTTTTTTGTTGTTTAATTGTCATGAAATATATATATAAAGTTCACTGTTTTCACCATTTAAAAGTGTACAGTTCAGTGGCATTAAGTACATTCACATTTTTGTGCATCCTGAAACTCTGTGCCTACTAAACAGTAGCTCCCCATTCCTCCTTCCCCCTGGCCGCTGGAACCACTGGTTCTACTTTCTGTCTCTATGAATTTGGCTATTGGGAATTATGCTGCTATGAACATGAGTGTTCAAATATCTTTTTAATGTTCCTGCTTTCATTTCTTTTGGGTAAATACCCAGATGTAGAATTTCTGGATTACATAGTAATTAATTTTTTAGTTTTTGGAGGAAGCAACACACTGATTTCCATAGCAGGTGCCCCACTTTGTCTTTCCCAATGTACTACACAAATGTTCCAGTTTCTCTACCTCTTTGCCAAACTTGCTTTCTCTCTCTCTCTCTCTCTCTCTCTCTCTGTGTGCGTGTGTGTGTGTGTGTGTGTTTGATTATAGCCATCCTAATTGGTGTGAAGTAGTAGCCCATTGCAGTTTTGATTTGCATTTCCCTAATAACTACAGATGTTGAGCATCTTTTCATGTGTCTATTGGCCATTTGTATGTCTTCTTCGGAGAATTGGCTATTCAAATTCTTTGCCTACATAGTTTTTTTGAGTCTTATGTTTGTGTTACAGGAATTCTTTATGTATTCTGGATATTAATCTTTTATTAGATAAATGATTTGCAAATACTTTCTTCCATTCTAATGGTTGCTTTTTCACTCTGCAGATTGTGTTTTTTAATGCTCAATTTTTTTTATTTTGATGGGTCCAACTTATCAATTTTTTCTTTGTTGTCTGTGCTTTGGTGTTATATCCATAAAAGTGTTGTCAAAACCTATGTCATGAAGATTATTCCCAATGTTTCATTCTAAGAATTTTTCAGTTTTAGTTCCTGAGTGTAGGTCTTTGATTTATTTAGAGTTAACTTGTATATGTGGTGTAAGTCAGGAGTCCAACTTCATTTCTTTTTGCATGTGAATGTCGTTTTCCTGGCACTGTTTCTGGAAAAGATGCACTGATCCTCCCTTACTCCCATCTTGTACATGATGAGCCTTCCTCAAAGGCAGCGGCCCGCGACTCCATCTCACCCTCACCTGTGTAGCACAGCCATGCTGGTCATGGGTCCCTCTGAGCCTGGGTCCCTTCCCATTTCCACCCTCCCCTCTGGCAAGACCTTCCTTCCACCACTGCCTTCGTGCTCCTCCCTCACCACTGCAGGGCAGCCTCTCTCCTTGGCCTCCTCCCTATACCCTTAGGTGGCCTGTAGCCACCCTGCCTTGGCAGCTGGCCTACATGTTTGCCATCTCCATTCCCCCTTCTTCTGTTCCTCAGTCTGCTCCTCCATCCTCCTGCCCTCCCAGTTTTCCTTGTATCTGAAATCCTCATTCTTGTCCCTTTGCATATGTACATTTCCTGCCTCCTCAGAAAGGTTGAGACAGCAGACCTGTGTGTTAAACATCAATGTGAAGTTACTTCCAGGAAGAAGTTTCATCCGTGGTTTCTTGTTCCCCAGGGCCCCACAGTCTTCATTACAACCTCACGGTGCTGTCCCGGGATGGATCTGTGCAGTCAGGGTTTCTTGCTGAGGGACATCTGGATGGTCAGCCCTTCCTGCTCTTCAACAGGCAGAAAGGCAGGGCTGGGTCCTGGGGACAGTGGGCAGAAGCAGTTCTGGGAGCTGAGACCTGGGACACAGAGACTGAGGACTTGACAGAGAATGGGCAGGACCTCAGAAGGGCCCTGGCATATATCAAGGGACAGAAGGGAGGTGAGAGGTGGCAGCAGGCAAGAGTGATGGGAGACCTTTTCCAGGAGAGCTGGGGGCAGAGAGCAGGGACCTGTCTGTCCCCACTGGATCTGGCTGGGGGCAGGGGTGAGGAATAGGGGTCAGCAGAGCTCGGTGGGGAGGTAACCTGGCACTCAGCCCACACAGAAAGGCATGGAGGAGGGCCAGGGAGGGGTCTCCTCTGGTCTGAGTTCCTCACTTGGAACTGCTGGGTGGGGGTAGCCTTGCATTCCCTCCAGGAGATTAGGGGTTGTGAGATCAGGAAGCCAGCAGCACCAGGGGCTCTAGGCATTCCTACTCTTATGGGTAGCTCTTCCTCTCTCTCAACCTGGAGACTCAGGAATGGACAGTATCCCAGTCCTCCAGAACTCAGACCTTTGCTATGAACATCACAAATTTCTAGAAGGAAGATGCTATGCCGGCCGAGACACACTCTCACCCTATATGGGTAGACTGCAGGCAGAAACTACAGCAGTATCTGGAATCCTGTGTGGGTGTCAGGAGAGCAGGTACTGGGCCTGGGTAGGGGCTTTCCTCTCCCCTATTCCACTAGAGTCACCCCGACCCCCAACTCTGTCCAGGGAAACCCTCCTTGTGCTATGGATGCATGTGTTTTCTGTTGGTGTGTTATATCCTGATTTTTCTCTCCTGTTAGAGCCACTGGAAAAAGACAGTGGGTCAGGGATTGAAGGGTCCAGTGTCACAATCTGGGGAAGCAGTGGGCCCTTTGACAGAAGCCTGAACCTGGGTGGGTGTCAGGCAGGAGAGGAAGGCCCCAGGGCCAAGGCTGCCCCATCTGCTTCCCAGCCTGCCCATCCCTAAGAGTTCCCTCTGGCCCCATGTACCAGGAGCCCACCCCTGACATTCCCCTCCTCAGCATCAATGCAGGGATCCCAGAGCATAAAGACACAGTCTCGAGGCCCATCCTTCTGCCAGCCTTGAGGAATTGGTCCCCAGGGTGAGGACAGACTTGCAGAAGGTCTGGGGTCCGTGAGGACTTCTGCCAGAGTCGGAGCAGTGGAGCGGACCAGCCCTATTCCCTGCATCTCCATTAGAGGGGAGCAGGGTTTGGCCATGTGCCTCATTGTCTCTGCCCTTTCTTCTCCAGTCCCCCACTCCTCCACCATGAGTGTGGCCTGCAGTGAGGCCCTGGAGGGCAACATCACCCTGATATGCTGGGCTCTGGCTTGAATCTCCAGAATATCTCTCTGACCTGGTGACAGGATGGGGCGTCTTTGAGCCAGGATGCCCAGCAGTCTTGGGGTGTTCTGTCCAATGGGATGGGACCTACCACACAGAGGTGGCCTGCAGGATTCCCCAAGGAGAGGAGCAGAGGGTCATCTGCTCCATGGGATACAGCAGGAATCACAGCACTCACCCTGTGTCCTCTAGTGAACCTGGGACCACCCTTGAGGGTTCCAACATAAGGAGGATCAGGCCAGGGTGGGGGCAGCAGGAACGGCTGTGGCTGTGGGTGCCCAGTGTGTAATAGGCCCTTTTTTTCAGGGATGGCCCTGGTGCTTCAGAGTTGATGACCAGCCATTCCATATGTTGCTGCTGTTGCTGCTTTCATCATCATTAGTATTATTAGTAGTATTATTATTCTCTGTGTCCTTTGATGCAAGAAGAAGACAACATCAGGTGCAGAGGGTCCAGGTGAGAAAAGGGGACAGTTGCTAGAGATGGGAGGGTCCCTGTCTGGGCTGTAGGGTCCCCTCATACCTTCTGTGCAGATAGGCTTGTAGGTGACAAGGCTTCTGGAACAGGCGATGAAAGTTGGGGTATTTGGGAGGGGAATGAGAGCCACGTTGCCATCTACATCCCTGTGAGAAAGAAACTCACCCATTCAAACCCAAAGAATAGACTCAGAGACCCAGAGAACAGCGAAAGAGAGACTTTTAATGACAGTCTTGCAAGATCAGGTGTCTGGAGTGCAGGTACACCTGGGACAGTTTCAACAAACTATTTCTTCCCTAGTGTGCAAGTCCCTCCCCCAGTTCCTCATTAGCTGAGTACTACGGGGTTATAGTCTTCCTGGGCATCGCCTATTGGTAGTTGTATTAAGACTTCAAGTATGTTCTTTAGGGTCTTTTTGCTGCATTTTTTGCTGCATTTTGTTGCAGCCACCCATAATGCATGGCGACTGTCTCAAGACTCTGAGCATTTGACTTACCGCCCTAGTGACTGCACTTAGGTGATGGCAAGCTAGCCCAAACTAAATTCTTTGGTGAGGTGGGGAGGGGGGTGATTGAGGGGGCCCTGACCAGTAGGCTCCTGGACACTGGGTCAAAGGGAAAGCAGGAAGGAGGGGATTGTGGCTTAGTATATTTTGCTTCTTTATCTCTTTGTTTCCATGTGGCCTGCTTAAACATATTCTAAGGCACTTATGAAAATGAACCTTCTTCACATGTAGGTTATTTTTTACACTTACCTCCTCTTTTTCTTTTTACCCTTTTTGGTCTTATTTTCACTTACATATCTTTGTTTATTAACTGTTCTGGAAGTTTTTTACTTTCTTCATTATAGGAGGAGAAGTTTAGTTTGGCTTTTAATAATAGTAAGTCATTCTGTTGGGACATTAGGGGCATTTGTTTACTAATAGCTGCTTTAATTAACCTTTGTGTTAAATAAACCCTTCACACAAGGTATGATACAACATCCTATGGCTGTTAAGACCCCAGCCATAATCACGAGAGATGTAAGAATTGAAGGTACCATTCCTTTCTATTTTTCAAACCAACCTTCTAACCAGTTAGTAAAAAGGTCATTTACTCCTGTGTTTTCTGCCAGCTCGTTGACTAGAGTTGTTAGTCCCTGCCATCCCTTTATGATGGTTCCATTTGGGGCAGCATTGTTGTGAATGGAAGTGTCACATTTTCCACCCAGCATATCACATATATCACCTTTCTCTGCTAATATTATGTCCAGTGTAATTCTGTTTTCCCAAGCCATTTAGCTAGTGGCATTTAGTTGTCTGGCTACTCCCTTAAGGGCATTTTGCGTGTAATTGATGAATCTTTGCTGATTATAAGACATGTAATTAATCTAATTTACATTCTTGTTAATAGTTGACCACCAGAAAAGTGCTGACTCAAATCTAGCAGGTATTTGGTTTCGTGCTTTAAATTTATTAGGCACTCCTCTAGGTACTCCTATGGAGTTTAGATAGATAAATAGATAGATAGATGGATAGATAGATATACAAAGCTTTCATCCACTGTTCCAGAAGCCTTGTGTGTATGTGTGTGTGTATATATATATGTGTGTGTGTGTGTATATATATGTGTGTGTATATATATGTATATGTATATGTTTGTGTGTGTGTGTGTATATATATATATATACACACACACATTATATATGGGTTAAAATAAATTGCTAAATTACTCTGATCTCTATGACCATGTGTATTTTTAGCTGTTTCATGGAATGACAGGGTGAACGGAATGGCCAATTGTACTAAAGCACAAGTCCCGGTCCAATTGGACGGTAACAAGTTACGGAGGTTCCCTTTCCCGAAATACCACCAGACATTTGCCTGGGGTATATGGAGAGTTGAATGGTTGCCACAGTCTGGGTTACCAGTGACATTTAGGATGTGGGTGCAGGTTGCGAGTTTTCCCACAGGTTTATCGAACCTCACCTTCTGTCTAGAGTGACAACAGGAGTGATTTATATTCCCTATAGAGAATGAGGGGATTGCTTTAGGATCTGATCTCTGCAAAGTGGGAAAGAGCAATGACAGACTTTTACAAGTCTTATTTCCCCATGCAACCTTGTCTTGGTATACAGCCAACACGCAACACATTCCTTTGGGATTAGTATCCCATCCAAGGGGAAATGGAACCACCTGTGCCTGAGGTTGACCAGCAGCACATGCATAACAGTTACTTTTATCGAGGGCTTGTGCTGAAAATTTCACCCATTTAACACAGGCATTTATGTCTCTATATCCTGTTTTAATTTTTAAAGTCTGCCTTAAGTCAGTTACTTTAATTATTTTTACTCTCTTAGGTTTATTGTTTGGTGGGTTAAAGGAAGTTAATGGGACCAGGAGTTCTAGTAATTCTGGGTGGGCTTGGGGTAGAGTTGGTGACTAACCTAAAAGCTAACTGTCCCACGGGATTCCTTTCTGAGATATTTATTTTTAATTTATAACTTCAAGATTTCTGGTTTAGAGTAGCTGGGTTGTTTATAGTAATTAATATAGGATTGCACTTTAAATTTTTACAGTTAGGTGGCGTGTGGTTCTTATACAATACTTAGGTTTCCTTTCACCCCTTGTGTTAGGATTAATTCTAACCATATCAGCCCCCAGTGATGGAGCCTGCTTATGGCTTACTTTTAGGTTTTCCTTAGAATTAGCTTAAAGGGTTTCTTAGGTGATCTATACACTTCCAATTTACCTTCCGTTTTTTTTTTTAACCAGTTTCTTGACCCGAGTGTAATGTGTCCACCCCTGATCAGCTGTTTGTACAGCTGCCTCACTTGATAGGGACCTTCCCAGCTTGGGTGGAGCTTGTCTTCTTTCCAAGTCTTAATTAGCACTGAGTTGCCAAGCTGGAAGTGGTGAACTGTGAACTCAAGGGGTGGGGTTTGTGTTACAAGTTCTTTTAACCTTAAGTTGTTTCCTGGGAGTTCACACAATTCCCACACACTTGTTTAGCCAGGGCATACATTTCTATACACCCATAATTCTTTAGTATTTCATCATACATGTCCTGGGGACCCCAATGACTTCCCTTATGCAATATAGACATTAGATTTTTTTTCTTTTTTTAGACAGAATCTCGCTCTGTCACCCAGGCTGGAGTGCAGTGGCACGATCTCGGCTCACTGCAAGCTCCACCTCTTGGGTTCATGCCATTCTCCTGCCTCAGCCTCCCGAGTAGCTGGAACTACAGGCACCCACCACCACGCCCCGGCTACTTTTTTGTATTTTTAGTAGAGACAGGGTTTCACTGTGTTAGCCAGGATGGTTTTGATCTCCTGACCTTGTGATCTACCCGCCTCCACCTCCCAAAGTGCTGGGATTACAGGCATGAGCCACCGCACCCGGCCAACATTAGATTTTTTATTATGGGTTTGTTTATTATTTCTCTCCCATCAGGGAGCACTCACCTTCCATTCTTAGTTTAAGTGGCTCCTATCTTGCCTAGCTTTTCCTCCTCTTTTGAAAATTGGGGTTTTAATATCACCTTAGGGATATCTGGGCTAAACAGTTTAAATTTTTCCTCCAGGGAGACTTGCTTAGCAGCCTTATCCACAAGCCTGTTCCCTACAGCTTCTATAGTGTTTCTTTTCTGATGGCCATTTACATGAACTATGGCTGTCTCTGCTGGAAACAGGAGGCTTTCTAAAACTTGTTCCCCATGTACCAATTATTTTGCCCTGCTATTTTCTAGGCCCTGCTCTGTCCAGATTTTTTTCAAAGGTGTGTACTACTTTATAGGCATATTTGGAATTAGTATATATAGTGTCTTCTTGATCTTCTAGGAGCTTTAGGGTCTGGTTAAAAGCATAAAATTTACAGGTTTGGGCTGACCAGTTATTGAGTAATTTAACTTTTTCACATAAGGATTGTTTGTTTTTGTTCATGACAGCACAGCCATTGTGTCTTTTACCATTTATTACTCAGGATGACCCATTCATAAACAACCTCATCCCATTATGTAGTAGAGTTCCTTTAAGGTTTGGTACTAACTTTAGTTTGATACTCTGTGATATCTAAACAGTTATACTCTGACGCCTTCTTATTCTCCTCTCCTTTTCATAAGAAACTGGCTGGTGTTAGTTTAGTCACCTCCCGAGGGCCCATTGACCCCAGGAGGAACTTGGGGAGGCAAGGGACTGATCAGCTGGCATCCCAGAGTGCCCTTGGCCGGGCCCTGCTGGGTTTGGCTTTGGGCCAAGAGCTGCTGGTTTGAAGATCTGCCAGCCTATGGAGCCTTCCCTGATGGGTACTCTCATTAGAAAAGGCATTTCTGGCTCCGCCCTCCCTTCCTGTTTTTTTTTTTTTTGTGCTTCAAAGGCACCGTTCCTCTCCGTGGCAGGCCTAGAGGTGCACTGTTTGTGTTTCAAGCAACCCCCACTGGTGACCCAGCAACTGTAAAGGGTCTCCAGTTTGTCCAGCCCTGGGAGGGGACTTAGTGGCTTTTCCTCCTCCTGGGCTGCAAGGATCCTCCCCTGGCCCAGCCCGACTCTGGGAAACAGAACTTTTACACATTCCACCTTAAAGCATTTTGGCAGACTTTTCCCCAGCACGAGCTCTCTCTACTTCAGGGATTGCAAACTGGCATCCTCTTTTGCCTGTTTTGGGTTTTTAAGTTATTTGAACAGAATATCAGCATTTTAAAATTATATTTTACATAAAAAGTCAGAATTTTGTCCTCTGACAAAGCAGACAATCTGGCAACACAGTGCCAGCACTGTAAGAAGAGCTGAGCAGCCGCCACAGTTCCCACCCAGCCCTGCAGCCCTCCTTTTTATTATTTGCTGGCCCTGTAGTCATTTGAGTTTACAACCCTAGTACTGATTTTCCTTATGTAGCGACCCCAGCCCTTCTGCTGCCTTACTGACAGCTAACTGCCCCTGGTGGCCTTCCAGCCTCTCACTAAAACAACAACAAAACCTTAATGTTATCTTATTCATTTACTCTTCCATAACTTGAATCCTTTTGACCACCTCCTGATAAACAGCCATCTAGTTTTTGCTGTAGGCAACCCGTTACACCTCAAGCAGCCTGATCCTAAACTCTCCTCCACATCCCTTTCTCACTTGCATCCATCCCCCAGTTCCCGGGTTTTACGTTCCTCAGTGGCCACGCACTGCATGCACCCTTCCCCTGCACCTCCTTGTTGCTTAAGTCCCCAGAAACTTCCCCCAGCCCTGCCAACCTCTCAGCATTCTCTCACTTTGTCTTGTACTCTTTTTTCCTTTTACATTATTTGTCTCCCCAGTCTTACCTTCTGTGTTTCTCTTTGATCTCTGTCTCTTTTAGTCTCTCTTGCTAATTTTCCTCTTCTATTCTCTCTCTGTCATCCCCTGTTTCCTTTCTGTCTCACACTCAGCTTCTTCCTCTTTCTCTGGGCATGAGCCGAGCCGTGCTGTGCCCTGGCTCCCCTTGTCTGTCTGCAAAAACAGGCAGCTCTGCGGAAATGACTCAGCAGTAACCTTTATCAACAGCTTTTAGAAGCCAGCTGCCACACACAGCTGTGCCGCTGGCTCTCTCTTCCTTCAGGTATAGCAGCTTAACTCTCTCTCTCTCTCTCTTTCTCTCTCACACACACACAAACTTTTTGAGCTTCCCTCAGTATTTCCTTAATTGGTTTTTTATTCCATCCGTTAATCTTTTGCAGTTTCTTAGTAATATTACATCAGCTTTTAGTTACAAAATTAACCTTTAAAAGGCCTTGCCCTACTGGGTCCTCTGGATTTAATCCTGAATATTTTTTCACTTGATCCCTGAGCCTCTGCAGAAATGCAGAGGGAGTCTCCTCTTCTTGTTGTTGGATCTTGAATGCTTTGGGGACGTTTTGTGTCCTATGAGTGGACTGCATAATCCCTCTAATTATTAGCTCCCTAAGGTCTTGCATTTGGACCCGATCCCTGGGGTCATTATTATCCCATCCAGGGTCTGCATTTGGGAATTTCTGCTTAGCTGGCAGGACTCCTTACCCAGGAGGATGCTGCTGTCTCTCCCAAATGATTATGGCTGCCCTTCTAATTATTCCCGTCTTTTTCCCAGTAAACAGAATATTCATGATTGAATTATCTCAGCCCAAGTATAAAAATTAGGTTCTAAAAATTGATCTAGCTGTTCTGCTAAACTGAGGGGATCTTCCGAGAGTGGCCTCATTTCCTTTTTAAAATTCCTAACCTCAGTACTTGTTAAAGGCACACTTACAAATCCAATTTATTATTATTATCATTATTATACTTTAAACTCTGGGATACATGTGCAGAACATGCAGGTTTGTTACATAGGTATACATGTGCCATGGTGGTTTGCTGCACCCATCAACCCATCATCTACATTAGGTATTTCTCCTAATGCTATGCCTCCCCTAGCCCCCTACCCTCAGACAGGCCCCAGTGTGTGATGTTCCCCTCCCTGTGTCCATGTGTTCTCATTGTTCAACTCCCATTTGAGTGAGAACATGCAGCATTTGGTTTTCTGTTCTTGTGGGTCTTTCTCTGAGAGACCCAGAGAACACGTAGCTGATGGTTTCCTGAGAATGATGGTTTCCAGCTTCATCCATGTCCCTGCAAAGGACATGAACTCATCCTTTTTATGGCTGCATAGTATTCCATGGTGTATATGTGCCACATTTTCTTTATTCAGTCTATCATTGATGAGCATTTGGATTGGTTCCAAGTCTTTGCTATTGTGAACAGTGCCGCAATAAACATATGTGTGTATGTATCTTTATAGTAAAATGTTTATAATCCTTTGGGTATATATCCAGTAGTGGGATTGCTGGGTCAAATGGTATTTCTGGTTCTAGATCCTTGAGGAATTGCCACATTATCTTCCACGATGGTTGAACTAATTTACACTCCCACCAACAGTGTAAAAGCGTTCCTATTTCTCCACATCCTCTCCAGCATCTGTTGTTTCCTGACTTTTTAATGATCGCCATTCTAATTGGTGTGAGATGGTATCTCATTGTGGTTTTGATTTGCATTTCTCTAATGATAAGTGACTATGGGCCTTTTTTCATATGTTTGTTGACTACATAAATGTCTTTTTTTGAGAAGTGTCTTTTCATATCCGTCGCCCACTTTTTGATGGAGTTGTTTGTTTTTTTCATGTAAATTAAGTTCTTTGTAGATTCTGGATATTAGCCCTTTGTCAGATGGACAGATTGCAAAAATTTTCTCCCATTCCGTAGGTGGCCTGTTCACTCTGATGATAGTTTATTTTGCTGTGCAGAAGCTCTTTAGTTTAATTAGATCCCATTAGTCAATTCTGGCTTTCGTTGCCATTGCTTTTTGTGTTTTAGTCATGAAGTCTTCGCCCATGCCTAGGTCCTGAATGGTATTGCCTAGGTTTTCTTCTAGGGTTTTTACAGTTTTAGGTCTTATGTTTAAGTCTTTAATCCATCTTGAGTTGATTTTTGTATAAGGTGTAAGGAGGGGGTCCAGTTTCAGTTTTCTGCATATGGCTAGCCAGTTTTCCCAACACCATTTATTAAATTGGGAATCCTTTCCCCATTGCTTGTTTTTATCAGGTTTGTCCTTCCTTACATTGTTCTAATTCTTTCCTCAAGTTTGGATAAGGATTTAAGGGAGCATTGGGTTTAGCTCCTTCATGACCTCCCAAATCCTTTTCCTCTGACCTTCCTTTTGCCCCCTGATCTCCCTGTCCTCTACTTTGTGAGATGTATAGGGTGTAGGGCAAGCGTGTTAGGGGATCCCAGGGCTTTTCACTGGGTGAGGGCTCTTTACTATGCTCTTTTTATTTCTCTTTAAGGGGGAACACGGGGCTCAATTCACTAATCCAGCAAACAGCATAACCCATCTCCTCTTGTGAAGATGGGGTTTTATCATTCACATAGAGAATTAAAGCTTGGCATATACAGTCCTTATTTGAGCTAAACTTAGGCCAAAGGACTGAAGGCTGACAAATGGACTTTTTAGGCCAGATAAAACAGCAATACATTATTATTTTTTGTTTTTCCTTATTTCAGGTTTTCTAGTTATTTTTGAGTCAGTTTTGGCAATTTCTATCTTTGTATGAATCTGTCCATTTTATCTAAGTGGTCTAACTTATTGACTTCAGGTTTTTCAGAGTCTTCACTTATAATGCTTTTGAATTTCTAAAGGGTCACTAGTGATAATCTCTCTTTTGTTCACAATTTTGGTAATTTATCTCATTTCTTATCATCTCTGTTTTGACTGTTGGTCAAGAAAACAGACAGAGGCAGCAGATGGCTATGTGATTCTCTAGTGGGAAGGCTTTGATCATACATGGCTGGCAAGCCAGACTGATGGCAGCAACCCCAAAGGAGCTGCCAAGGGATCTTGACAGGAAAGTCACTGACTCTGGATTGGGCTATGCTCAACCAGGGGAAGAGGTCAATGCTTCAAGGGCTATGAAATCACCAGAAAAAAAGAGATTGCACCAATGTGGACTGCTGAGTCCCATTTCTTTACGCAAGAAAACACACTTTACAGCCTCAAATGGCTAACAATGCACAGGGAGATGTCCTCCTCAGAAGAAAACTTTGATAGAAAATTGAAATGGTCAGTTGAAGCATTGTTTGTCTAAAAACTGGCAATATAGTTGTTGGGCAATATAAACATGAAGGACTGGCTTTTACATCTTCATGAATGTGCTCACTGTCCACATGGGTGGGGCTGCAAGAGTGACTCCTCTAGATAGCTTCCTCTCTTTTACCTGATGGATCAGGACGATGCTGTTATGACTATACATACAATTCTTCTGAAGGGGAGAGGATGCTGGAATAATGACTACGCTTCACCTCAAATTTCTTTTTTCATATGTGATGCAGTGGTACCAGGAATAGGGATGAAAATCAAAGTGCCAGAAACAGGAATTATCTTTAAGCCAAAAACCATAACTATATATTTACATCTTTATATAAGAATTCCCAAGCAACTCAAAGATGGTGCTATGCCTTCATTTCATCTGGCAAAGTCAGGATTAACAGTAAATAGAGCTATATAGCCTGGTAGTCAGATGGCCCCCACTAGTTCCTTACCTACATAACCTACCCTCTATGACCAAGAGTAGACTGAGGGAAGGCATGCTAGAATACTATTGCTGCCTGCAGTCTAGGTCAGCACAGCAGACAAACCTGATGTCACCTCTAAAACTGGAAAAGACTGATATAAAGGGACAGAAGGAGGAATAGTGGCTGAGGGTAAGTGAATAAATCAAAGGGTTATATAATGAGGAAAATTCAATATTAGCTTAACTCCTCAAAAGTGCTGTGAGCAAGAGAAGATATTGTCTCTTAGGTCAATTATACTGGGTGCCTAAAAGAGTGAAGCCATATGTCCTTGAGACCATTCTTGTTTTTGGAGCCTGGTAAGGTTGAGTGGTGTCTGCAAACCTGAGTGACTTCATTCTGGGAGACATATTCATACGAGAGGATGGTAAACTGTTCTAATTTTGAATGACTGAATGAGACTCTGATAATACGCCAATACCTCTTTACTTTTATAATCCTTTTCCTATAAAAGATATGTGGTCAAAGAAAAGCGGGTAATCTGAGGTAAAACAAAAACATTTAGTCTTTGTCCCTGGTTTCTCCTAAAAACCTTAGAATCTCTTGCGTGATAAGAGTTAGAATATTAATGAGAGGACTCATGGCTGAGCGGACCCTGGATATCTTGAGAATGGGGGCTGGCTGCCAGAGACACATACCTGTGATGAGAGCGCTGTCTTATTCCATTTTGTGTTGCTATAAAGAAATGTCAGAGACTGACTAATTTATATAAACAAGGTTCATGTGGCTTGGGATTCTGATGTCTGGAAATGTTTGAGCATTTGATGAGGGCCTCAGGCTGCTCCCACCCATGGCAGAAGGCAAAGGGGAGCTGGTATGTGCAGAGATCACACGGTAAGAGAGGAACAGAGAGCTTAGGAAGTTGCCAGGCTCTTTTTAACAACTGGCTCTCTTGGAAACTAAAAGAGTAACAATTCATTCACTTCCGAGAGAGGACAGGATCTCTTTATTCATAAAAGATTGGCTCCCATGACCCAAACAGCACCCATTAGGCCCCACATCCAACACTGGGGGTCAGATTTTAACATGAGGTATCAGGGGGTAAATATTTATATCATTGCATTCTGTCCCTAGCCAGCCAGAGCTCATGTTTTTCTCCCATTGCAAAATATGATAATTTCCCAATTGTCCCAAATGTGCTAGGTTGTTCCAGCATCAACTCAAAATTCCAAAGTCTCATCTGAGACTCAAGGTAAGTCCCTATAGCTGTGAGCCTGTAAAGTTTTAAAAAGGTTATTTACTTCTAAAATATTAATACAACAGTGGAAGAGACATTTCTTATACATTTCCATTCTAAAAGGAATAAATGGGCCAAAAGAAATGAATGCAGTGTCCTCACAAAGCTGAAACTCATCATGGAAGATGTTAAAATTTAAAGCTCTAAAATAATCTCCTTTGACCCTATATCTTGAATCCTGAGCACACTGGTTCAAGTGGTGGGCTCACAATGCCATTTGCAGCCCCACATCCTTGGCTTTGCTGAACATAACCCATATAGCTGCTCTCATGGGTGAAAATTGAATACCTATGGATTTTCCAAGCTGAGCTTGCACATTGCCAGTGGCTCTACCATTTAGTAGTCCTGGCAGGGGTCCTGCTCCTGCAGCTCCACTGGGAATTGTCCTGGATATTAAATTTCCCCTTTAAATATCAGTTCCAGTTTCAGATCATTTTTTTGCTCACACATATGTGCATAGACTATTACAACAGGAAGCCAAATCTTGAATGCTATGATGCTTAGAAATTTCTTCTATCAGATACCCTTAATCATCACCCTCATGTTCAAAGTTCCACAGATCCCTAAGGAGGGGGCAGAATGCCTCCAAGTTCTTTGCCAATGCATAACAAAAGTGACCTTTTCTCTAGGTCCCAGTAAGTTCCTCATCTCCATCTAAGACCTCATCAGCCTGGGCTCTATTGTCTATATCACTATCAGCATTTTGGTCACAACAATTTAACAAACCTCTAGGAAGTTCCAAGTTTTCCCCCATTTTCTTGTCTTCTAAACTCTCCAAACTCTTCCAACCTATACCTGTTACCCAGTTCCAAAGACATTTTCACATTTTCAGCTACGTTTATTGCAGTACCCAACTTCTGGTACTGATTTTCTGAATTATTCATTCTCAACTGTTATAAAGAAATACCTGAGACTGGGTAATTTATAAAGACAGAAGGTTTAAATTGGCTCATGGTTCTGCAGGCTATATGAAAGTATGATTCCGGCATCTGCTCAACTTATGAGAGGGCCTCAGGAAACTTTCAATCATGCTGGAAGGTTAAGGGGAAGTAGGCATGACTTACAAGCCTGGAGTAGGAGGGAGAGAGAGCAGGGAGGTACCACACACTTTTAAACACCAGACGTTGGGAGAACTATCACAAGAACAGCACCAAAGAGATGGTCCTAAACTATTCATGAAGGATCCATCCTCATGAGCCAATCACCTCCCTGAGGTGCCACCTCCAACCTTAGTGATTACAAGTGAACATGAGATTTGGGTGGGGACACAGATCCAAACAATATCAGGGGTCATGGTGGACATGAAGGTGGGCTGGTCTCCCCACTTCTCACATGATACCAGGGATGTAGACACATTCAGACGCCTTGGCAGAAAGAGAAGACAGAGGCCCTTGAAGTCACAAAGGGGAGGCATGAACAAATCTTGCATCTCAGTCCCTCACAAGGCAGTCTTAGAAAAAAAATAGTCATGAGCAAATTCAGAACAGTCATAGTAAGTGGTGACACTGAACAGCCCACCACACCCTGAAAAATTCCAAATCAAAGAATCTCCAGAGCCTAGTTGTGTCCCCTATGCCCCAGCCCCTCCTTCCCTTCAGGCCCCCTAAGTTGTCATTTTACAAGCCTTGAGAGACACATCAGAGCCCTGGGTACTGTCCCTGTTTGGGGTGGAACAAAAACAAAATCTGGTCAGAGCCCACAGATGATGTGACTAAAGGAGGAATTGTGGGGTGGTGAGCTCCCCCATGGGCTCCTGTCTACACTATCCCAAGGATCTCAGGGATCACTCTTCCCACCCCTACCACACTTGCATGAAGCCTGAGCATAGCTGACTCCTTTTCCATCTGTGGAAAGAAAATAAACTGTGAAAGGCCAGGAAGGAAGCAGGGTCATGAGATCCCAGAGGAGTGTCCAGAACTGTGACTGCAGACCCAGGTCAGAATCAGGAAACCCTAGGTAAGAGGATGTGTTGAAACTGGACTAATTGTCCTAGTGAGGTCTGTCCTCTGCGGGTACCTTCCCCTGACCTGTGACTGCTGGGAGTCAGGTTCTCATGACTCCAATGAAGGTGATAAATTTGTCCTTCATTTTCACAAGTTCTTTACAAAAGAGTAAGTGTTGATAGACAGAGATGGTGCCTCACGACTAGGCAGGATACAAGCCAACTCCCATCTGGGGCTGGGAATCCACCAATGGAAGAAGAAAACTCGGAGCTCACCCCTTTCCTACCTGGGCTCTTACTCTTCCACATCACAGCAGTGACCACAGCTCTGGTGAAAACAGCACCAAGAACAACCAGGACAGTAACGATGCCCATGATGGGGATGGTGGGCTGGGAAGACAGCTGTAAGAAAGGAGGGGAACGTGAGGGGCCCTCACCATCAGGCCTCAAACCCTGACCTTGCTGAAGGGCTCCTAGTTCCCGTGAGAAGAGACATGACCCCTCATCTCCTTCCTTACCCATCTCAGGGTGAGGAGCTCTGGCAGCCCATCGTGCTGCACATGGCATGTGTATCTCTGCTCCTCTCCAGAAGACACCACCACAGCTGCCCACTTCTGGAAGGTTCTGTACCCTGCAGGTGTGGTCTCCACAACCTCTGCATCCTACATTTGGTCCTATCCATCCCACTACTGGGTCAGTGTGATCTCCACAGGGTAGAAGCCCAGAGCCCAGCACCTCAGGGTGGCCTCATGGTCAGAGATGGGGTGGTGGGTCATGTGAGTCTTTTGGGGTTCTGAGGGGAAGAGTCAGAAAATTCAGGCACTTTGCATTCCTCATGGGACATTCCACCTCATGGGACCATCCTGAAAATTGACGGGACAGCTGAAGTGGGGAAGGGAGCAACTCAGACACCAGTCTAGACCCAGGCACCTGGGGCAATCTTCTATTCCTTAGAAAGTTTTAGTGTCTGAGGCCGGAACAGAGATTTCTGGTCCTGACCTGAGCGGAGGCCGAGGTCAAAAAAGCTGGAATCAGACCCACAAATACACATTGAGTGTGAGGCAGAGAACAAGGCCTGAGAGGAAAATTCCTGGTGCCCAAGGCTGCTGTGGGGACAAAGGGGACCGCGGATCAGTATTTCAGGGATTGTCTTCCCCTCCTTTCCCTCAGAGACTTCATCCTTTAACTGTCCCAGAGTGCAGGGCAGGCCCTCAGTCACTCTCTAGTATAGGATCTGAAAACCCGGGAGGACTCTTCCTCCTCACAAGAGGGAGAGGGATGTTTTAGCGTTGGTCCCATTTTCCTTCCCTTCTTTTGGAATGTGACTCAAGGAGATCTGCAGGAGATCAGGGAGGCACCCCGTGGCCACTGGTACCTGGGCACTGCAGCCTCTCCTTCCCATTCTTAAGGACTTTGCTGAGCCACTCCGCCCACCTTCCCTGCAGGTAGGTTTCGAGCAGCTCTGCATGTTCCTCCGCCAGGGCATCTGAGCCGCCTTGTCCGCTGCAGTCCAGGAGCGCAGTTCCTGGTTTCGGACGAGGTAACTGGCGCCGTCATAGGGTATGTTCATACCCACTGAGGAGGCTGCAGTCCGAGTCCAGGTCGCAGCTGTGTACCCATTGGAGGGTGTGAGACCCATTCCCAGCGACCGAGGTCAGCCCAGGCCGCTGAGCCCCGCCTCAGCCTCGACCAACCCCCGGGGATTTGGGCCTGAACTGAAAATGGAATCCGGTATAGGCACCTGGGGCTTTTATTTGGTGGAGGATCTCCGCTGGTCCCGCAGCGGAGTAGCACAATCTTAGTAACAGTGGGTATCACAGTACAGTGGGTAGCACAATCTTGGTAACCCCTGAATGATCACGAATCTAATTTGTAAAAGAGGTGATTTTTGGCCCCATTATATATAAATGTGTCTAAACGCATTGCAGTTAGACTCACAAAGTTAAGTTTTACTTTCCCAGACTGTGTATCTGTGACTCTGGTCTGTTGTATTTTTAAATTATCTTTATCTTATAGCCCTGAGTTTGTGTGCGCGAGTCCAGGACATCTCAATACAAAGCACATTGTGTTACCGTATATTGCAACCAGGAGCCTGGGCAGAATTTAATCACCTCAAATTTGCAAGTGCTCAATGCAGCCAAAGTGCCCTTCACCAGTGCTCATGCACCGTCTTTATTTATTTATTTATTATTTATTTATTTATTTATTTATTTAGTTAGTTAGTTATTTTTAGACCGAGTAACACTCTGTTGCCCTAGCTGGAGTGCAGTGGCATGCTCATGACTCACGGAAGCCTCGACCTCCTGGGCTCATGCGATCAGAGCTCCTCCTTCAGCCTCCAAGTATCTGGCACCACAGGCTTGTACCACCACTCCTGGCTAATTTTTCTAAAACAAATTTGTAGAGATGAGGTCTCACTATGTTGCTCTGGCTAGTCTTGAACTCCTGAGCTCAAGTGATCCTCCTGCCTCAGCCTCCCAAAATGCTGGTATTACAGGCATGAGCCACAATGGCCATCTCATGCACCTGCCTATATTTATGAATTATTCACATCTAAGCTATGTGCATATTTTATTAGGACACTTGGTATTCTTTTCTAACCTGTTTATCATAAGGAGGCAATTAGTTATTAGACAGCCCCACAGAATGTATTAAAGACCAAGGTGCAAGTAACACTGTGCCAGGCTCTGCAGATGAATGCATTACAAATCTATAAAAACACTGTGTTTAAGTCTGAGAATTCTATTGCTTTAGAATTCTTTCTCTCTGTTCCTTTACCTCACCTCCTGCTTCTCCAGCCCTTCTCTCTGTCCCTGTCATCTCTCAGGCCTTCCTCTCCCCTTAGTCTCTACTACTCTGTCACTACTGAATTGTGGCCCTAGGTCTGTCCCCTCACCTGCTGCCCATGACTGTTCTCCCCACAATGGTCAGAAATCCTGCTAATGTGAGTTAGATTGTGTCATTTCTTCACTTAAAACCCTCCAATGGCTGCATCTCACTCTCAAGAAGCCTCTAGAATGGAAGGCACATGAGCACAGGGGCTTTGGGTTGTTTTGATCAAAGTTGTTCCTGCAGCCTATAAAAGCGTATCTGGCACATGGTAGGCACTAAGTTAATTTTCTTGAATGAATGAAATATGATTGTGTTAAAAATTGTGTCACACAAAAATCACAAAATGAAAAATGCAAAGCAAGTGAGGAAACATTTGGTTTTATTCAACTACTATGCATATCAGTTCATAAATTCATTCCAGTGGAGAAAATGTCATATGCTTAGCTGTTGAATCTGTTTATGAATTTTCTATTAGTACATAACAAATTACGACAAACGTAGTGGCTTAAAAGAGCACTCATTTATTTGTCTGCATTTCCTTCATCAGAAATCCAGGCCTAGTGTGAGAGATTCTTTGTTCAGGGTTTCGCAAAGCTGTATCCTCATCTTAAGATTGGGATTCTCCCCCAAGCTTATATAGAGCTCGTTGGCAGAATTCGGTTTCTGGTAATTGTAGGACTAAGGTCCCCGTTTCCTTCAGGCTATCAGAGTAGACAGTGGGGAGGGCTTCTAATTCCTATTGGCCACCAGTATTTTTTCCCCATGATCCCTCCATTTTCAAAGCCCACAGTGGAGGAAGCCCCTCACACTGAATCCCTCTCACACTGTGAGTCTCTATTCTCAGGAAGAACCCAGTCCTTTTTAGATCTTACCTGATTAGGCCAGTCCAAGCAGGATAATCCCCATCTTAAAGCCAACTGACAGGGGACCTGGAATACATCTGCAAAATCCCTTCACAGCAGCACCTACATTAGTGTCAACAGAGTAACTGGGGTAACGTGAGTAACCAACGGTGGTTATTGGGGTGTCATCATAGAATCAGTCTAGCATAGCCTGGATCTTCCTTTTGTGTTTGAATAGAACATACAAATTGAAGTTAAAAAAAATAGATCATTGTTAATGATAATAAAATATATCTTATATAACCATGAAAATTCTTGTTAAATATTAAAAGCAAATGACATGTTTAATATCTTATAATCAATTTAGAGCAAATGAAAAAGTTCAATGATTCATCCTCTCTTGTGAAGGTGTATTAGTTATCTACTGATGCATAACAAGTCACTTAAAACTTAGCAACTCAAGTCAACAAATATTTATCATGTCCCACAGTTTCTAGTGGTCAGGAGTCCAGGAGAGGTTTCTCAAAGTTCTTCTGGCTCAGGGCCTCTCACAAAATTGCAGTGTAGTTGTCATCCAGGGCTTTATCATCTGAGGGCTCAAATGGGGCTGGGGATTCACAAGTCACAAGAATATCCCACGTGGCTGTTGGAAGAGGCATCTTCTTATTGTCTGGCCCCAGGAGGCCTCACTTCCTAGTCACTTGGAGCTTTCCACAGGCCTGCTTATGACACAGCAGCCAGCTTCCCCCAGGGCTCATGATCCCGGAGAAAGAGAAAACCAGAACCAAAGTAGAAGCTGCAGTGAGCTTTTTTGTTTTTTGTTTTCTGTTTTTTTTTTTTTTTTTTTTTTTTTGAGACAGAGTCTCACCCTGTCACCCAGGCTGGAATGCAGAGGCTGGATCTTGGCTCACTGCAACCTCTGACTTCCAGGTTCAAGTGATTCTCCTGCCTCAGCCTCCTGAGCAACTGGGATTACAGGCATGCACCACCACACCCGACTAATTTTTGTATTTTTAGTAGAGACAGGGTTTCACCATGTTGGCCAGGCTGGTCTCGAACTTCTGACGTCATGATCCGCTCTCTTGACCTCCCAAAGTTTTGGGACTACAGGCGTGAGCGACCACTCCCAGACTTAGTGAGTCTTACGATTTACACCCAGAGTCATAAACTATTATGTCAGCATTACTGTATCAGCCTGTAAGCGAGTCATTAAGTTCAGGCCACACTCACAGGAAGGGAATGAAGCTGCACCTCTGCAAGGAGGAGTATCAAAGAATTTATATGCATGTTAAGTATGTACAGTATGCATGTTAAGTAATGTACAGTATGTAATCACCTCAAATTTGCAAGTGCTCAATGCAACCAAAGTGCCCTTCACCAGGGCTCGTGCACTGCCTCTATTATTTAGTTAGTTAGTTAGTTAGTTAGTTAGTTAGTTAGTTAGTTATTTTTACACAAAGTATCACTGTGTTGCCCTGGCTGGAATGCAGTGGCATGGTCATGACTCGCTGAAGCCTCAACCTCCTGGGCTCATGCGATCAACGCTCCTCCTTCAGCCTCCCAAGTAGCTAGCACCGCAATTAACATTATAGTTTCAGGATTTTGTAAATCAAATACTTCTTGTATCTGGCTAATTTTCTTTAATACTTTAAAATTATCTTTTGTAAAGTAATGAATAAAACTTTGAGACAGAGAATGGAGATACAACAATATCTCAGATTTTTTTGCAAATGTCTTTAATATTAATGTTCTCTTTGATGAGTTACAAGAAAGTTGAGAAAATACAGTAGCTAGATCAAAGAGTCCCAAGACTGGTGCCGTATAATAATGCCTTTACAATCATAACTATCTTTCTTTTTCCTCAGAAGTTACTAATTCCGTTTAAGAATGCCCAAAATGCCAATTTTCTTACTCAAGCTTCTACAAAAATATTTGCCTAATCAGGGTGCTTTGCAATTAGAAAAAATGTGTCTCACATCTTTGTCTGTACAGCTAGCTTAGCATCACGACAACGATTTGATTTGATGTGGTAGGTGGAAATGGTTAACTCCAATCTAGGAACAAGATTTTTCAAAAACTGGGTATTCAGTGGGCATCCATTGATCAGTTTAACATCTTTCACTGTGTTTTTTAATTAGATGTGTTAGAAGTGATTTGGACTCCAGTATGATTCTGAAAAATGCAGTTATTTTGTGCTTCTAACATTGCTTTAAAAGCAGCTCTTTTGTGTTTTCCATTCTTATTGCTATTTCATCACTAGTTATTCCTTTATGTCTTTTCATTTAATTTATTTTGCTCGACAATGGTTTTTTCTATTCTGTAAAAGTTTAATTCACTTGTATGTGTGGTAAAATGTGAGCAACATATCAAATTCTCAAATTCTTTGCGAGATACAATTGCCTTGCACATCAGATTGAACATTGTATACCAGAGAATGTAGAGAGATGCCAATTAGCCAAGGATCAAATGACCTATTTCTAGCCAAGGCTATTTTTCATGGCATCCTGGTCCTCTTTGTCACATGGCTGCTTACAATTGGCTGTGGCTTTGTTTTAACGCAGGTAGTTATCGCTAAGGATCCTTTCAATGAACTTTTGTGTTTTCTTTTCTCTTTCATTTCCAAATAATCAGGAATGGCACACAAGGTGCATTTTGAAAATTGCCACTTTAAAGATTTGTGGGCTGGGAGTGGTGGCTCATGCCTCTAATCCCAGCACTTTGGGAGGCCAAAGTGGGTAGATCACCTGAGATCACCTGAGACCAGCCTGGCCAACATGGTGAAGCACAGTCTTTACGAAAAATACAAAAATTAGCCGGGCATCACGGCAGGTGCCTGTAATCCTAGCTACTCAGAGGCTGAAGTAGGAGAATCGCTTGAACACGGGGGGCGGAGGTTGCAGTGAGCTGAGATCACACCACTGCACTCCCACCTGGGCGATGAGAGTGAGACTCCATCTCAAAAAATAAATGAATGAATAAATAAATAAATAAATAAATAAATAAAGATTTATGATCAAGTAACTAACTACCTGGGCATCCTCTCCTGGCATAAGAAACAGAACCTATGAAGCCACCCTAGACTGTTGTCCAATCCTATCCCCCAAAAGGAACCTCTATCTTGAGTCTTGTATTTACTATTCCTTTGCATTGTCACTAAAGATTTTTACAATAAATATATATACCCAAATCACAGTCTGACCTGTTTTTTTAACTTCCCTGTAGAGAGAACTCACACTATATGTATTCTTCTGTGATGCACCTTATGTGTAGGAGAGTTATCTCTGATGTGGGTGGGTGCTGTTCATTCATTTTTACTGCTGAAGTTTTACTTTTCATGATTATATCACAATTTTGTTAATTCCCATTGATGTATATGTGATCGTTTCCAGTTTTTGCCATAAACATTGGTGTACACGTCTCCAGGACACATAGCCAAGAATTCCCCAGAGTGTATGATCAGGAGCAGATGATGGGATTATACAGTGTATGGACCTTAATCATACTAGATAAGGCTAATTTGATTCCTCAAGTGCTTGTACCAAGAATGGGAAAGAACTTATGTTGCTCATGTGTTCTGAAAACACTCAGTTGAAGGTGGAGATTACATGTGAAAAACCACTGTCTTGGCTACAGAATCACCCTAGGCATTTTTTCATATTCCATTAATAACTTCCTTTTCTTTACTTTTATCCTGTAAATTATGGCATTATACTTTAAGCATAAGATTCAAATAATGCTTCTTTTTAGCCTAACCACATAGAGTTTGTGAAAAAATGGAGAGAGGGAGAAAGCTCTGAGGGAGGAAAGGAGGAAACAAAGATGGAAGGACAGAGAAAGACAAAATGAACATTTTCAAAAAAGAATAGGAGGAAAGGATTAGAAACAGCAAGTGTGGCTAACATTATTAAAATGCAGGGAATTAAAAGATGTAGATAACATCCATGGAATAATAGAAACTTAAGAAAGCCTTAATAGTTATTAACTGCTGTGTCACAAACTACCTCAAAATTTAGTGGCTTAATACAACAAATATCTGTTAATTCAAAGAGATACTAAAAACACAAGCAAGATAGATTTTATGGGGGTGGCAGAAGTTAGATAAAGAGATGGATTTTATAGGTTGGAATAAGTAAAAGTTATTGGTGTGCACATGGAAATGCTTTTTAGTCCAAGTCCTCCAAGGAGCAGATGCCAAGATGAGCTTAAAGTCTGCGGCATCTTATGAGGGAACACACCTGTAAGGGAATATGGGAAGCGAGCCAGAAATCCCTGGAAAAGGCGGCAGACAATGATGCAAGTGTGACCCCAAGTGCTGGACAGAAGGAGACAAGGTTTGTTCGACGCATCCTAGAGCAGAGGCAATCTAAGGAGAGTTGAGCAAGGGCATGGAGGAGTCCTGGAGCCACATTTGGCCATCAGAGGAGTCCTGTGTCTCCCAGAAATGGCTCCTTAGTGTGCTTGCTGTGACCAGTCACTGGCTGGGAACAACTCATGGGAAGCAGGGCTTCTGCACTAATCCTGCTGAGGATGTCAGAGCACAGGAGCAGAGATGTGGGACATTACCTAGGTGTATCACTCAATCCTTCCTTCCTGAGGGTTCTGGGCTCTTGAATATCAAACCCTCTCAGGCTGGGTTGCTGGATGATTCTGCTCACACTTACAACGGACAAGGGAAACCAGGATGTCCCCAAGTGGATTCCTGGTTTCCACACACACTTCTCCTGCCCTCATTGTGTGATAGCAGCCCTGCCTCCTCCTCTTCTCCCCTGCTTGTCTCTGGGCATACTATTCAAATATCCCTGGGTGCAACCACAATGTTTAGTTCCATGGACTCTCATTTGTCTCCTTGCCAGGGTGCCCTCTTTGGGAAACCAGGACCTCCTCCCCTGCAGAGTCCAGATTTTGGACGTAAGAAGAGCAAAATCACCCTGGGGGTGAATATAATGAATAAAATAAATACATAAATAAATAAATTTATGTATGTATTTATGTTATTTATGTATTTATTTATTTACTTATAAATAAATAAATCACCCTGGGGGTGAATATAAGGAATGAGACACACCTGCTTTGACTTCTTGGTTTTTGGACCCACATATTCTTCCTTCTGAAAACGGCACCACAGAGACGTCTTTGATTCAATACATGCTTCACATCCCAAAAGATGGCACCCATTCCTCAGAGGGTTTCATCCAAGCTGGTACTGAGTTGTGTCTGCAGAGACCTGTCCATGACTCTGTGTGCCTGGCAGCACCTGACAGGCACAGGTGGTGATATGACCAGGGGATCCCATGGATCCCCTTCCCCATGAGGTGTGTCCCCCAGGCAGATAACGTACTGAAATTTTGAGCCAGTGGATCAGGAATGCCAATAGTGTTGTTGACTGAGGATCTGAAAGCAGAGAGGAAAACCACACCACATCGAATAGGTGCCTATCCCTGTGAGGATGAACTTCTGCCCCTTCCAGGATAGATGGTGTTCAAGCTATTCAACTTGTCACTTAGGGGCTAGTCAGTTACCTGAAGAAATAGTGCCCTATCGGTGTCTATCATTGGTCTGTAATGCTCACAAGCAGAGTATTCAGAGGAAGCAGTAGCTGGATGGCCTTGGTAGTGGAGAGACAGTGCTGCTGGACTCATTTGTAGCTTCATCCCTGCCACTGTGGTTGCTCCACTCACGGGTCCTTCCTATCAGGCCTGGGCTGATCCATGATGCAGACTGGCTAACTTCAATTTGTTTGGTTATTCAGGGCCACATCAGGACTGGGTGTTTTCTGTGGGTGTTAACATGGAATTGAGGCTCAACCGACATGGACCATTTTCGTCTCATGATAGATGCCGCTGGGCCTGTCCAATCTATGACTCTATGGGTCACATAGAAGTCAATACACACAGGCACTTGGAAACACATGGTTGCTTGGTGTCCCATGATCAAGCATTCTATCTTATCAGGGCCAGTAACATGCTAAAAGTTGCTTCTAACATGGAGCATGTTTCTCCATGCTTCTAACATGGAGCTGTGGACTCCATGGCCTTACTCCAGATCCCAGGCCCTCCATTCTGACTCTCCCACTGATGCTTGGTTCAGCTCCATCCTGCATCTTTCCCCAGACAGCCACCTCCAGCACCAGGGGTCTGAGGGATGGTGACTGACTGCACCACAGTCTGGGTCTGCTGCATTGTCCTTTCCCATCAGGCCCCACTCAAAGCTGGCCTCCTCCTATATCACCCAGAGTGTCGGCCAAAGCAATATACTTAGATATGGAAGGTGGCATTGCCAGAACACAGAGAGGCTCAGAAGGTAGTGTGCTTCCTTCCTTCTGGTGAGGATGCAAGATGCAAGTTTGTCTTTTACTTTGGAGGGGACAGCCCTGCATGCCCCTAACCACTGGACCCATAACACTTCACTGCAGTGGCCACTCTTGAAGCTCTGTAAAGTTTATCTTCACCTTCTCTAGTGCACATGTTTTGCCAAGGAATTCAGCGTACTTTCCTGCTCTTGTTCATCCTTCCCAATTTATGTGATATTCCCAATGAAATGAAGAGATTTAGTGTTCTGTGAGATGTCTGATTTGTCCAGGTCTCTTAAGGTGATATTTATAGAAGGTTGAGGAGTTAAGGTAGCCCTGATGCAAGCTATCAATAAATGTGTTATAAATCCCATGTGAATGTGAATCATTCCATATCCATCTTTTAAATGAAATGGGAGGGAATGCACTCACCAAATCCACAGCTGCATGCCATGTGCCTGAGTCCTTATTAATCTCCCCAAGCAGTGATATCCAGTCAGCATGGCAGCTGCAATCAGGACTCCTACTTGGTCAAGTCTGGTGTAATTCCATTCATTCTTTAGCCATATCAGGCTTCTGCAGGTACAGATTGCTGAGTTATATGGAGATAAGAGGCAATCCCAACACCACCCTGCATCGTTCAGGCATGTAATGGCAGTGCCACCACTATACTACCTGCAGTACCCTCCACAAGACCCACCCTGGGGCACAATATTGCTTCTGGTTCAGCTTGGATGAGGGATGTTTCCCTTTGGGCTTCAGCACAATGAGATGCCTTACTCTCCAGACTAGGGACACAGTGTGGGGTGACTCCAGTTGCCAGTGCATCAAGGCCAATTATGTACTCAGAGAATGGGGAGATAACCAGGACAGGATTTATGGAACCGGTGATTCCACCATGGGGCATAATGTGTCTAGGTTTATTCCCTGGCCTCTGTAAGCCCCACTGTGATAGGGACATAATGGTGCTGTGGGAATCTGGGCAGCAATGTCAGCTCACACCCAATGTTAATACTTATCCCATCTCCTGATTAAATGGCTATAGGCTCCTTTGCAGAAGGGCTGATGGAATTGTCCCAGCATGTAACCATCATCGTGTCCCAAGGTTCTTTCTCTTAGGGATATAGATATGTCCTTAGTCACTGGATTCTGAATCTGAAGCTTGCTCCTCAATTCCACATGCTTATCATAGATATCAAGAAGTGCCCTTGCTGTCTGCCCATCTTTTCTGACCCTGGGACACCACCCTTTATTAACCTTCCCCACAACTCCTTGAAGGTCAAGCCCCCTTGGCTGATACTCTGGGTTATCACAGTAAATGTGCCCTTTATCTTTTGCAGGTCACTGAAAAGGAGGGTTCCTAAAGCATTCACTCCTGACCCTGAGGGAGGTGGGTGCACTCACTCCAGGACTCAGGTGCACCACAGATAAGCAAAAAAGTCCTCACATTCAAAATTGTCCTGGGCCACATGCAGCCCACGAGCCACGGGTTGGACAAGCCTGCATCTAGAACGTATGCACCATAATCCCAGAAATTTTTCTGTTTTTACTTTAAGGATGCTTTCTAAATGCAAAAGCAGTCATATCCCTAGCAGACAACAAATGTCAGTTGAATGAATGATCACTGTAGAGCACCTCCCTATTCTAAAGCCCATACCTTTATTAATGTAGCCACAGGGCAAATGCTGTTTTGTGGCAGCTAAAGAACATAAGTTCACATGGACATCCATGCCACCAGTGCTTTTCTCACCAGGGCTGCTTGTGTGTCCTCCCTCCTCCCACACCAACCCTCCTGCACACTTCAGCACAAAACCATATATTTCTCTTCAGGAACAATAACCCTAGCCTTATGGGTACAATTTTCCAACCACATATGAATCTAAATTAGACTCTGCTTTATAAATCTATGAGTTTGGATTGGAGCCAGCATTAGGATTACTACAACTCAGAGCAGGAAGAAGAGTAGGAGGGCAGAAGAGGAGTTCCAACAGAAAGTTAATCATGATGAGAAACTATGGGACCCCTCCTCTCTGCAAATGTCACAATCTGGTTCCTTTAAAAAGACTGGAGAAAAATCAAAAATACAATTGAGGAAAAAGCCCTGGGAGGAAGGCAAGACCTGGACAGGTCTGAAAATTTGTCTCTTGATACCACAAGGAGATTTGTATGCAGGGACCACCGTAGGTGACATCCAACTCCCTGTGATCACAGGTCTTGGTGGGACAAGTTTCTACTGAAGGGCCAAGGACAATGGAGCAGCAAAGATGACCCAGCCAAGCAGTGACCACATAAAGCCCATGGTGGCCGGAACAGAAACTGGGCACAGCCCCATCTACTCTCCTCCCCTGCAACAAATCAGCATAAGCAACACGTGGACTCTGGAAGGTTCTCATGTGTTCCATTTATTTTGTCTCTCAAATTTTAGGAATCTTCTCCTTTAATTAACTCATCAACCTCTCATGGCAAGAATTTGAGAAAGTAAATTTATACTCAGGTTCTAATTTTAATAGGGAAGGAAGAAGTTACAGCTCAGTGCACCATGAAGTTGAGGCAGAGATGGAGACACCTCAGCCCCACCTCTCTGGAACAGGAAAGATGATTGGGGAGGGAGCACAGGTCAGCGTGGGAAGAGGGTCATGGTGGACATGGGGGTGGGGTGGTCTCCCCACCTCCTCACATTATGCCTACAAGAACACAGACACATGCAGGTGCCTTTGCAGAAACAAAGTCAGGGTTCTTCAAGTCACAAAGGGAAGGGCAGGAACAAATCTTGCCTCTCAGTCCCACACAAGGCAGCTGTCTCACACTATAGAAAAAAATATTCATGAACAAATTCGTATCTGTCACAGTGAGGAGTCACACTTTAAACAGCCCATCGCATGCTCAATACATCCAATGCAAAGAAACCCCATAGCACAGCTGCGTCCACTGTTCCGCCCAACACCCAACACACATCAGGCCCTCCAGGCTCTCACCTTTACAAGCTGTGAGAGACATATCAGAGCCCTGGGCACTGTCACTGCCTGGGGTAGGACAAAAACAGAACCTGGTCAGATCCCACAGAAGATGTGGCTAGAGGAGGAATTGTGGGGTGGGTGAGCTCCCCCACGGGCTCCCAAACACAATATCCCAAGGACCTCAGGCATCAGCCTCCTTCATACTTACTTGCAGCCTGAGAGTAGCTCCCTCCTTTTCTATCTGTGGGAAGAAAATGTCCTGTGAGATACCAGAAAGGAGCCAGGGCCTTAAGGTCCTAGAGGAACCTCCAAGTCTTGGACCTCAGAGAAGTTTCCAGAAATGTGTGACTGCAGACCCAGGGCGGGATCAGGAAACATGAAGAAAGCAGGTGTGGGTCCTGGACCAACCGCCCTCCTGAAGGTCCTCAGGGACCTTCCCCTGTGACTTGTGACTGCTGGGATCAGGTCCCATCACCGCCGTAATCAAGGTGATAAATCTGTCCTTCATTTTAACAGGTGCTTTACAAAAGAGTAAGTGCTGGCACACAGGGCCCAGGCTGGGTAGGCCCATAATTGTGGATGGTGCTTCCCAGTAACGAGGCAGGGCACACTTCTACCTGGGTCTTGGAACCCTCAGTGAGACAAGAAATCTCAGACCCACCCTTCATCCCTTCACCCCACCTGAGCTCTTCCTCCTCCACCTCACAGCAGCGACCACAGCTCCAGCGAACATAGCTCCAAAGAGAACTAGGCCAGCAATGATGCCCACGATGGGGATGGTGGGCTGGGAAGACGGCTCTGGGAAAAGAGGGGAAGGTGAGGGGCCCTGACCCTGCTAAAGGTCAGAGAGGCTCCTGCTTTCCGTAAAAGACATGACACCCCCATCTCCCTCCTTACCCCATCTCAGGGTGAGGGGCTTGGGCAGACCCTCATGCTGCACATGGCAGGTGTATCTCTGCTCCTGTCCAGAAGGCACCACCACAGACGCCCACTTCTGGAAGGTTCCATCCCCTGCAGGCCTGGTCTCCACAAGCTCCGTGTCCTGGGTCTGGTCCTCCCCATCCCGCTGCCAGGTCAGTGTGATCTCCGCAGGGTAGAAGCTCAGGGCCCAGCACCTCAGGGTGGCCTCATGGTCAGAGACAGCGTGGTGAGTCATATGCGTCTTGGGGGCGTCTGTCAGGAAGAGTCAGAACATTCAGGCATTTTGCATCTGTCATGGGACACTCCTCCAGCACACATGTGGCTATCTTGAGAATGGACAGGACACCTGGGATGGGGAAGGGAGCACAGAACCCAGACACCAGCCTGGACACAGGCACCTGGGATAATCTCCTATTCCGTGGAAAATTCTAGTCCCTGAAGAGGGAACAGCGACTTCTGGTCCTGACCTGAGTGGAGGCTGAGGGACTCAGAAGTGCTGGACTCAGACCCCCACACACATTGAGTGTGAAGCAGAGAACAAGGCCTGAGAGGAAAAGTCACGGGCCCAAGGCTGCTGCCGGTGTGTGTCAAAGGGAACCACTCATCAGTATTCGAGGGATCGTCTTCCCGTCATTCCTTCAGAGATTTTATCCCTTAATTGTGTCAGAGAGCAGGGCGGAACCTCAGAGTCACTCTCTGGTACAGGATCTGGAAACCCAGGAGGATTCCTCTCCCTCAGGACCAGAGGGAGGGCGATATTCTAGTGTTGGTCCCAATTGTCTCCCCTCCTTGTGGGAGGCCAGCCCGGGAGATCTACAGGCGATCAGGGAGGCGCCCCGTGGCCCCTGGTACCCGTGCGCTGCAGCGTCTCCTTCCCGTTCTCCAGGTATCTGCGGAGCCACTCCACGCACGTGCCCTCCAGGTAGGCTCTCAACTGCTCCGCCACACGGGCCGCCTCCCACTTGCGCTGGGTGATCTGAGCCGCCATGTCCGCCGCGGTCCAAGAGCGCAGGTCCTCGTTCAAGGCGATGTAATCCTTGCCGTCGTAGGCGTCCTGCTGGTACCCGCGGAGGAGGCGCCCGTCCGGCCCCACGTCGCAGCCATACATCATCTGGATGGTGTGAGAACCTGGCCCCGACCCCACGGTCAGCCCAGTCCCCCGAGCCCCGTCCGGCCCCGACCAACCCGGGGGGATTTTTGGCCTAAACTGAAAATGAAACCGGGTAAAGGCGCCTGGGCCTCTCCCGGGGCAAGGGTCTCGGGGTCCCGCGGCTTCGGGGTGGATCTCGGACCCGGAGACTGTGGGCGACCTGGCCCGTCCGTGGGGGATGAGAGGTCGTGACCTGCGCCCCGGGCCGGGGTCACTCACCGGCCTCGCTCTGGTTGTAGTAGCGGAGCGCGATCCGCAGGCTCTCTCGGTCAGTCTGTGAGTGGGCCTTCACATTCCGTGTCTCCTGGTCCCAATACTCCGGCCCCTCCTGCTCTATCCACGGCGCCCGCGGCTCCATCCTCTGGCTCGCGGCGTCGCTGTCAAACCGCACGAACTGCGTGTCGTCCACGTAGCCCACGGCGATGAAGCGGGGCTCCCCGCGGCCGGGCCGGGACACGGATGTGAAGAAATACCTCATGGAGTGGGAGCCTGGGGGCGAGGAGTGGCTGAGACCCGCCCGACCCTCCTCCCGGCGCGGCTACCCGGGTCCTGCGCCCCCGCCGGGCGGGCCCCTTGCTTCTCCCCGCAGAGGCGGTTTCCCCACGACCCCGCACTCACCCGCCCAGGTCTGGGTCAGGGCCAGGGCCCCCAAGAGTAGCAGGAGGAGGGTTCGGGGCGCCATGACGGCCATCCTCGGCGTCTGGGGAGAATCTGAGTCCCGGTGGGTGCGTGCGGACTTTAGAACCGCGACCGCGACGACACTGATTGGCTTCTCTGGAAACCCGACACCCAATGGGAGTGAGAACTGGGTCCGCGTCGTGAGTATCCAGGAAGAAGGACCCTACATAGGTTGGCAGAGGGAGAAAAGAAACTGCGGAGTTGGGGAATCCCCAAGGCTGGGACTCCCCAATCCATACACCGCCTTCGGGGCCTGAGACCCTGAGAGCCACGCCTGGGGCCCTGGGACTTCGCCCTGACCCCTCTGCTCCTGTGCCAAGCGCTCTGTCTCAATGTCTCCCTGAGTCTTGGCCCAAGAGCTGTCTGAGAAACAAGGGAGAAACCCTCGGCATGGGCCCCGTCCCTCTCCTTTCACTTTTCATCCCGTAATCTCTGTCCCTGAACTGGACTCCCTGACTCCCACTCCTTACCTGTCCACCTGGACTCTTCTAGAAGAAAAATCACCCCATGGAGTTTGGTGCCAGAGAGTAAGCTTGCTCTGGGAATGGAGGTGTAGATTTTTGTTGTTGTTGTTTTTGTTTTTAATCGGGAAAAGTTGCGCCTGAGTGCATGAGACAGAATAGAGACCAATTTGCTCTTTGTTTATTAACTACAGTGGGTAGCAGAATATTGGTAACCCCTGAATGATCAGGAATCTAATAGGTAAAAAATGTGACTTTGGCCCCTTGATGTATAAATGTGTCCAAAAGCCTTACAACAGGACTCACAAAGCTACTAAGTTTCACTTTCCCAGACAATGTACCTGTGACTCCTGCTTGTAGTATTTTAAATTTACCATCATTCCATAGCTCTGAGTTTCTGTGTGAGTCCAGGACATCTCCTCAATACAAAGTAGCCACTGTGTTCCTATATGTTGCGACCAGAAGCCATTACAAGCTTTATTCACCTCAAATTTGCAACTGTTCAATGCAGTCACAATGCCCTTCACTAGTGCTCATGCACTGCCTGTTTTTAGGAAGTATCCACTTCTAAGTGTTGTGTATATTTTATAGGAACACTTAGTAATTTTTAAACCTGATTAACATAAAAAATTAGGTTTTAGGCAGGCCCACATGAGGTATTAAAAGACAACTGCCAAGGACACCCTGCTAGGCTCTGTAGATGGATGTATTAAAATCCATAAAACAATGTATTTAAACCTAAGAATTCTGCTGCTTTCAAATTCTTTCCTCTGCTCCTTTTCCTCACCTCCTGCTTCTCCAGCCCTTCCCTCCATCCTTCTCATCCTTCAGGCCCTCCTCTCCCCTTAGTCCCCACCACACTGTCACTCATGAATTGTGACACTAGCACTGTCCCATGACCTGCTACGTAACTGTTCTTTTCACAGTGGTCCTGCTCCTGTGAGTCAGAGTGTCATTTCTCCACTTAAAACACTCCAGTGTCTCCACCTCGGTCTTGTGAAGCTTCTGGAGTGTCAGGCACTTGAGCATATGAGGGGATACCTGGTTCATTGTAGGGACTAAGTTAATTTTTGTTGACTTAATGAATGAAATATGAGTGTATTAAATTGCATCACAGATAATTATAAACTGTAAAACACGGAAAAAGTTCAGAAAGATTTTATTTTATGCAACTAGTGTGTATATCAATTCATCAGTTCATTTGCACACTACCACGCCTGGCAAAACAACACCCATTTATCTGCTTATAATTCCTTGGTCAGAAATCTGGGCAAGATGTGGATAGAATCTCTGTTCTGGGCTTCCAAAAGCTGTGTTTTCATTTTGAATCCTCCTTCAGGTTTATACAGAGGTGGCAGAACGCAGTTTCTTGCAGTTGTAAGACTGAGGTTCCTGTTTCTGGCTAGCTGTCAATGTAGAGAACTGGGAGGGGCTCAATTCCTGGTGCTCACCAGCGTTCTTTCCTACACAGCCCCTTAATTTTTTTTTTTTTTTTTTTGAGACCGAGTCTGGCTCTGTAGCCCAGGCTGGGGTACAGTGGCCCAATGATCTCTGCTCACTACAAGCTCCGCCTCCTGGGTTCACACCATTCTCCTGTCTCAGTCCCAAGTAGCTGGGACTACAGGTGCCCACCACTACGCTCTGCCAATTTTTTTTTTTTTTCTTAGTAGACACAGGGTTTCACCTTGTTAGCCAGGATTGTCTCGACCTCCTGACCTCATGATCCGCCCGCCTCGGCCTCCCAAAGTGTCGGGATTACAGGCGTGAGCCACCACGCCTGGCCCATAGCCCCTTCCTTTTCAAAGCCCCTGGTGGAGGAAACCCCTCATGCTGAATCCCTCTCACACTGTAAGTCTCTGTGCTCATGAAGAACCCAGTCCTTTCAAGGGCTCACCTGATTAGGACAGTCCAAGCAGGATAAACCCAGCATAAAGTCAACTAATTGAGACCCTTAATTATATCTGCTAAATCCCTTCATAGCAGCACCTACATTAGAGTTGGTTGAATAACTGGAGGAAGGTGACTGACCAGGAGCTGCTTGTTGAGGCCATCATAGAATCAGCCTAGCAAGGGTTGGATCTTCCTTTTGTGTTTAATTGGGACACAGTTGGAAAGTGAAGTTCAAGTAAAGTGATCATTGTGAATGGTCATAAAATACATCCTCTTCAGCCATGGAAATTGTCCTTACCTTTTAAAACTAAGTTACATGTTTAATATCTTATAATTAATTTAGGCCAGGTGTGGTGGCTCACGGCTGTCATCCTAGCACTGTGGAAAGCAGAGGAAGGGAGATTTGTTGACTCCAGAAGTTCAAGATCAGCCTGGGCAAAACCTCCATCTCTACAAAAAATTAGAAAATTAGCCAGGCATGGTAGTTCATGATGGTAGTCCCAGCTACTCAGGAGGCTGAGGTCAGAGAGTCCCTTGACCCCAGGAATTTGACACTGCAGTGCATGGTGATCATGCCACTGCATTCCAGCCTGGGTGACAGAGCAAGACCCTGTCTCAAAAATAATAATGATGATGATGACACATTTAGAGCAAATGCAATTTGATGTGTAATAATACATCCTCTCTTGTGAAAATGTATTATTTACTATTGCATAACAAATTATGTAAAACTTAGCTTGAAACAACAAATATTTCTCATCTCCCACAGTTTCCAATCGTCAGGAATCCAGGAGAGGTTTCCCTGAGTGCTTCCTGCTCAGGGCCGCTCACAAGGTTGCACTCCAGTTGTCAGCCAGGGGCTGCAGCATCTGAGGGCTTCTCTGGGGCTGGGAATTCACAAGAAACATGGATCAGTCACATGGCTGTTGGAAAAGGCCTGGTTCCTTGTTGTCTGTTCCCAGAAGGCCTCAGTTCTCAGTCATGTGGACCTTCCTGCAGGGCTGCTTATGGCACAGTGGCTGGCTTCCCCCAGAGCTCATGATCCCAGATTCAGAGAGAGAGAGAAGGTGGAAGCCGCAGTTAGTTTTATGTTCTACACCCAGAGTCACAAACTGTTATGTTGGCACTATTCTATAAGTTAGAAGTATTAGTCCATTCTCACGCTGCCATAAAGAAATACCTGAGACTGGGTAATTTATAAAGGAAAGAGGTTTAATTGACTCACAGTTCTGCATGACTGAGGAGGCTGCCCCAGGAAACTTACAGTCATGGCAGAAGTGGAAGCAAACCCGTCCTTCTTCACGTGGTGACAGGAGAGAGAAATGCACAATGAAGCAGGGAAAAGCCCCTTATAAAACCATCAGATCTCATGAGAATTCCCTCAGCATCAGGAGAACAGCATGGGGGCACCGCCCCCATTATCCAATCACCTCCCATGAGGTCCCTCCCCCAATAGGTAGGGATTACAATTTGCATAACAATTCAAGATGAGATTTGGGTGGGAACACAGAACCAGGCCATTTCAGAAGTGCCTCATTAAGTCCAAGCCACACTCAAGAGAGGGAATTAAGCTGCACCTCTAGAAAGGAACAGTATCAAAGGATTTGAATATATGTTAAAAGCAAAATTATAACTATTGTTTCAGGTTTCTGAAAATCAAAGTCTTCTTGTATCTAATTAGTTTTCATTAACTCTTTAAGCTTGTCTTTTAATTTAATTTTTTTTAAGATCCAGGGTACATGTGTGTAGGATGTGCAGGTTTGTTACATAAATGTGTGCCATGTTGGTTTGCTGCACCTGTCAACTCATCACCTAGGTATTAACCCTGGCATGCATTAGCTATTTTTGCTAATGATCCTCCCATCACCACCCTCCCCCAACAGGCCCCAGTGTGTGTTTTTCCTCTCCCTGTGTCCATGTGTTCTCATTGCTCAGTTCCCAATTATATATGAGAACATGTGGTGTTTGGTTTTCTGTTCCTGTGTGAGTTTGCTGAGGATAATGGCTTCCAGCTTCATCCATATCCCTGCAAAGGACTTGATCTCATTCCTTTTTATGGCTGCATAATATTCCATGGTGTATATGTACCATATTTTCTTTATCCAGACCATCATTGATGGGCATTTGGGTTGATTCCTTGTCTTTGCTATTGTGAATAGTGCTGCCATGAATGTAAACATGCATATATCTTTATAATAGAATGATTTATATTCCTTTGGGTATATACTCTGTAATGGGATTGCTGGGTCAAATGGTATTTCTGGTTCTAAATCTTTGAGGAATTGCCACACTGTCACTGTCTTCCACAATGGATTAACCATTTACTTTTCCACCAACAGTGTAAAAGCATTCCTATTTCTCCGCAACCTCGCCAGCATCTGTTGTTTCTTGACTATTTAATAATTGCCATTCTGACTGGCATAAGATGGTATCTCATTTGTCGTTTTGATTTGCATTTCTCTAATGATCAGTGATGGTGAGCTTTTTTTTTCATATTTTTTTGGCCACACGTATGTCTTCTTTAGAAGTGTCTGTTCATGTTCTTTGTCCACTTTTTTAATGAAGTTTTTTTTTCATGTAAATTTGCTTAAGTTCTTTGTGGATTCTGAATACTAGACTTTTGTCAGATGGGTAGATGGCAAAATTTTTCTCCCATTCTGTAGCATGTCTGTTCACTCTGATTGATGATAGTTTCTTTTGCTGTGCAGAAAAAAAATTGCCTAATCTGATTGCTTTTCATTTACAAAAATGTGAATCTCATACTTCAGTCAACACATCTAGTTTAGCATGATGCCAATAATTTTGGCTTGATGCTGTAGCCCGAAATGGTTAGCTCGAATTGAGAGACAAGTTATTTTCAAAAACTGGCTATTCGATGGGCATTCTATAACAAACTTAACATCTTTTGTTGTGGTATTGAATGAGATGTGATAGAAGTGATTTGGACACCACTATGATTCTAAATAGCACTGCTATTACGTGCTTCTGAATTTTTTTTTCTTTTTAGCAGTCCTATTCTGTTTCCATTCATATTTGCTATTCCATCACTGGGTATTCCTTCCTACTCTTTTCATGTTTCATTTATTTTGATCAATGATGTGCATTTCCAATTCTGTAAAAGTTTAATTCCGTTGTATGTGTGGTAAAATGTAACATCAAATCTTTGCAAGATGAAATTACCTTGCACAGCATATTGAACATTGTATTATTGAAAATCTAGAGAGACGCCAGTGAGCCAAGGATCGAATGACCTATATGTAGCCAAGGCCGTTTTCATGGCATCCTGGTCCTCTCTGTCACATAGCTCCTTACAATTCTCTGTGGTTTTCTTCCAATGTAAGTAGTTCTTGTTAAGAATCTTTGCAATGAACTTTGAAATTCTTTTCTTTTTCATTTCTATAAAAAACAGGTATATTTTAATTTGGAAAACTCTGTTTAAGGAATTATAATCAAGTAACTACCAGGGTGCCCAGCACTGGTGTAAAACACGAAACTGTAAAACTACCCTGGACTGCTACCCAGTCATCCTCCAGAAGGAGACTGTTGGGAGCAAGTCCCCCAAAATCTGGTCATAAACTGGCCCCGAGACTGTCCATAAACAAAATCTCTGCAGCACCATAACATGTTCATAATGGCCTTAGCACCCAAGCTGGAAGGTTGTGGGTTTACAGGAATGAGGGCAAGGAACACCTGGTCCGCCCAGGGTGGAAAACCACTTAAAGGCATTCTTAAGCCACAAACAATAGCATGAGTGATCTGTGTCTTAAGGGCATGTTCCTGCTGCAGTTAACTAGCCCAACCTATTCCTTTAATTTGGCCCATCACTTCGTTTCCCATAAGGGATATTTTAACTAATTTAATATCTATAGAAACAATGCTAATGACTGTAATAAATATATGGGTAAATCTCTGTTCAGGGCTCTCAGCTCTGAAGGCTGTGAGACCCCTGATTTCCCACTTCACACCTCTGTATTTCTGTGTGTGTGTCTTTAATTCCTCTAGCACCACTGGGTTAGGATCTCCCTGACCGAGCTGGTCTCAGCAGAAGACTCCATGCTGAATCTTGTGATACTTATTCCTTTGTATTTCTTCAAAGATTTGTGCAATAAGTATATATATATATATACATATTTGTATATATATATTTGTGTATATATATGTATGTATGTATATATATATATCCCCAAAACAAATATCAGTTGGTTTTGCTGGTTTTTAAGCTTCCTGTACAGCAAGTTCCTACTGCATTTATTTTCCCATGATGCACATTATGTGTAGGAGTTATCTGTGGTGTGGGAGGCTGTCATTCTTTCATTTTTACTGCTGAAGGCTTACATATGGTTATACCACAATTTCACTAGTTTCCTATTGATGTATATGTGGCTGATTCCAGTTTTTGCCATAAATATTAGTGTGCATGTCTCCTGTGCACATAGGCAAGAAAGCCCCCCAGAGTGGATGATTAGGAATGGGTTGGTTGGATGATAGGTTGTATGGACTTTAACCATAGTAGATAATGATAATATGATTTGCAAAGTGATTGTGGCTAAACTTTTACAATAAATGTGTAATACTTGATGTTGATGATGTGTTCTGAAAACACTGCATTGAAGGAATTGAGTTAAAAGCCACTGTCTTGGCTGTAGAATTATAGCGGGCATTTTTATTCAGACTCTGTTAATAACTTCCTGTTGTTTACTTGTTTCTCATATACATGACATTATATTTTTGACATATAGATTCAGAAAATGCTTACTTACAGCCCAATCACATAGAGTTATTGTATATATTAGGAAAATTTCATAATAAAAAGGAAAAAATGGAGGAAGAGAGAGAAAGAAGGAGGAATGGAGGAAAAAGCAAAAGAAGAAAAGAAGGAAGGGGAGGGGAAGGAAAGGGAGAAAGAAGGAGGGAAGGCGATAGGTTGAATGGAAATAGAGAAGAAAGAGATGGAGGGAGGGCTAGAAGGAAGGAGAAAGGGAAGGAAGAGGCCAGGCGCAGTGGCTCATGCTTGTAATCCCAGTCTTTGGGAGGCCGAGGCAGGCAGATCATGAGGTCAGGAGATAGAGGCCATCCTGGCTAACATGGTGAAACCCTGTCTCTACTAAAAACACAAAAAATTAGCCGGACATGGTGGCAGGTGCCTGTAGTCCCAGCTACTTGGAAAGCTGAGGCAGGAGAATGGCATGAACCTGGGAGGCGGAGCTTGCAGTGAGCCGAGATCGAGCCACTGCACTCCAGCCTGGGCGACAGAACGAGACTTTGTCTCAAAAAAAAAAAAAAAAAAAAAAGAAAAAGAAAAAAGAAAAAAAAAGGATGGAACAAAGGAGAAAAGAAACTAAAATAAAGAAAAGAATAGGTGTTGAGAAACTAGAAACCCTATGTGTGGCTAATATTATCAAAATAGGAGAAAATAAAACAGATGTAGTTAACCTCTAGAGAATAATGGAAATGTAAGAGGGCTTCATTAGTTATCCATTGCTGTGTAACAAACTACCCCCAAATTTAGTGACTTGGGATCACTAAATGAGGGATCGTCTTCCCGTCATTCCCTCAGAGATTTTATCCCTTAATTGCGTCTTCCCGTCATTGCCTCAGAGATTTTATCCCTTAATTGTGTCAGAGAGCAGGGTGGAACCTCAGAGTCACTCTCTGGTACAGGATCTGGAAACCCAGGAGGATTCTTCTCCCTCAGGACCAGAGGGAGGGTGATATTCTAGTGTTGGTCCCATCTGTCTCCTCTCCTTGTGGGAGGCCAGCCTGCGAGATCTACAGGCGATCAGGGAGGCGCCCCGTGGCCCCTGGTACAGTGCGCTGCAGCGTCTCCTTCCTGTTCTCCAGGTATCTGCGGAGCCACTCCTCGCACGTGCCCTCTAGGTAGGCTCTCTGCTGCTCCGCCTCATGGGCCGCCTCCCACTTGCGCTGGGTAATCTGAGCCGCCATGGCCGCCGCGGTCCAAGAGCTCAGGTCCTCGTTTAGGGCGATGTAATCTTTTTACAGAGAATCGTTTTTACAGAGAATGGGGAGATAACCAGGACAGGATTTATGGACCCAGTGATTCCACCATGGGGCATAATTTGTCCAGGTTTATTCCCTGGCCTCTGTAAGCCCCACTGTGATAGGGACATAATGGTGCTGTGGGAATCTGGGCAGCAATGTTAGCTCACACCCAATGTTAACACTTATCCCATCTCCTGATTAAATGGCTATAGGCTCCTTTGCAGAAGGTCTGATGGAATTGTCCCAGCATGTAACAGTCATGGTGTCCCAAGGTTCTTTCTCTTAGGGATATGGATACTTCCTCAGCCACTGGATTCTGAATATGAAGCTTGCTCCTCAATTCTTACATGCTTATCATAGATATCAAGCAGTGCTCTTGCTGTCTGCCCATCTTTTCTGACCCTGGGACACCACCCTTTATTAAGCTTTCCCATAACTCCTTGAAGGTCAAGCCCCCTTGACTGATACTCTGGGTTATCACAGTAAGTGTGCCCTCTATCTTTTTCAGGTCACTGAAAAGGAGGGTTCCTAAAGCATTCACTCCTGACCCTGAGGGAGGTGGGTGCACTCACTCCGGGACTCAGGTGCACCACAGATAAGCAAAAAAGTCCTCACATTCAAAATTGTCTTGGGCCACATGCAGCCCACGAGCTGCAGGTTGGACAAGCTTGCATCTAGAACATATGCACCACAAGGCCCGAAATTTTTCTGTTTTTACTTTAATGATGCTTTCTAAATGCAAAAACCGTTATATACCTAGCAGAAACAAATGTCAGTTGAAGGAATGATCATAGAGAACCACTCTATTCTAGAGGCAATATCTTTATTAATGTAGCCTCAGGACAAATGCTTTATTTTTGTGGCAGCTACAGAACAACATCATCTCACACTGACATCAGTGCCACCAGAGCTTTTCTCACCAGGGCTGCTTGTGTGTCCTCCCTCCCTCCCTCCCTCCCCCCACACTAACTCTCCTGCACACTGCAGCACACAACCATATTTTTCTCTTCAGGAAAGATAACCCTAGGCTTATGGGTCCAATTTTCCAACCACATATGAATCTAAACTAGACTTTGCTTTATAAATTGATGAGTTTCTATTGGAGCCAGCACTAGGATTACTACAACTCAGGGCAGGAAGAAGAGTAGGAGTGCAGAAGAGGAGTTCCAACAGAAAGTTACCTATGATGAGAAACTACGGGACCCTGCCTCTTGGCAAATTTCAGAATCTGGTTCCTTTAAAAAGATTGCAGAAAAGATGGAAAATACAATGAGGAAAGAGCCCTGGGAAGAGGGCAAGAGCTTGAAAGATCTGAAAATTTGTCTCTTGATACTACAAGGACCCTGGTATGCAGGGACTGCCGTAGGTGACATCCAAGTCCCTGTGATCACAGGTCATGGTGGGACAAGGTTCTACTGAAGGGCCAAGTGTGGGCGGAGGATTACTCAGGTGCAGAGGCAAGAGACTGAGTGCACAAACTGTTTTAGTATAATAAAGAAAATAGTTAGAATAAGAATAGTCATAATACAAATTAGATATAGAGATGATCATGAAAAATTATCAATCATTATTATAAACATTATTAATCATTAGCTTTTAATATTACCCTTTGTTGCATTACTAAGATAACCTAGGAATAACCGGCGGGCATAGGGTCAGGTGCTGAAGGGACATTGTGAGAAGTGACCTAGAAGGCAAGAGATGAGCCTTCTGTCACGCCCGCATAAGGGCCGCTTGAGGGATCCTTGGTCAAGTGGCAATGCCAATGTCTGGGAAGGCACCTGTTACTTAGCAGACCACGAAAGGGAGTCTCCCTTTCTTGGAGGAGTCGGGGAACACTGCTCCACCAGCTTCTTGTAGAAGGCTGGATATTATCCAGAGCTACCCGCAGTCATCCAGAGGCCTAAACCCCTCCCTGTGGTGCTGTGCTTCAGTGGTCATGCTCCTTGTCCACTTTCATGCTCCTCCTGTACTCCTGGTTCCTCTTTGAATTTCATAGTAGATAATGGTAGAAGAAATAGTGAAAGTCTTAAAGTCTTTGATCTTAAGTGCAGAAAAGAAAATGGTGACATATGCTACCTAAAAGGGAAGGGCCCCCTATCCTGTAATCACGTGACTTGCTTCACCTTGTCAGTCAGTTAGAAGATTCACCTTCCTTACCCTGCCCCTTGTCTTGTATGCAATAAATATCAGCGAGCCCAGCTGTTCGGGGCCACTACCGGTCTCCGCATCTTGATGGTAGTGGTCCCCCGGGCCCAGCTGTTTTCTCTTTATCTCTTTCTCTTGTGCTTTTATTTATTACAATCTCTCATCTCCGCACACGGGGAGAAAACCCGCTAAGCCCCGTTGGGCTGGATCATACAGCCAAGGACAACGGAGCAGCAAAGATGACCCAGCTGAGCAGTGACCACATAAAGCGCACGGTGGCCTGAGCACCCACTGGGCACAGCCCCATCTACTCTCCTCTCATGCAACAAATCAGCATAAGAAACATGTGGACTCTGGAAGGTTCTCATGTCTTCCATTTATTTTGTCTCTCAAATTTTAGGAATCTTCTCCTTTAATTAACCCATCAACCTCTCATGGCAAGAATTTGAAAAAGTAAATTTATACTCAGATTCTAATTTTAATAGGGAAGTAAGAAGTTACAGCTCAGTGCACATAAAGTTGAGACAGAGATGGAGACATCTCAGCCTCACCTCTATGGAGCAGGAATGATTAATTATTGGAGAGGGAACACAGGTCAGCATGAGGGAAGAGGGTCATGGTGGACATGGGGGTGGGTTGGTCTCCCCACCTCCTCATATTATGCCTACAGGAACACAGGCACATTCAGGTGCCTTTGCAGAAAGAGAGTCAGGGTTTTTGAAGTCACAAAGGGAAGGCGTGAACAAATCTTGCCTCTCAGTCCCACACAAGGCAGCTGTCTCACACTATAAAATAAAATATTCATGAACAAATTCATATCCGTCACAGTGAGGGATGACACTTTAAACAGCCCATCACATGTTCAATACATCCAATTCAAAGAAACCCCATAGCACAGCTGCATCCACTATTGCCCCCAACACCCCCCACACATCAGGTCCCCCAGCGTCTCACCTTTACAAGCCGTGAGAGACACATCAGAACCCTGCGCATGGTCGCTGCCTGGGGTAGAACAAAAACAGGACTTGGTCAGAGCCCACAGGAGATGCGGCTAGAGGAGGAATCTGGGGTTGGGTGAGCTCCCCCATGGGCTCCCGACCACAATATCCCAAAGATCTCAGGGATCAGCCCACTTCATACTTACTTGCAGCTTCAGAGTAGCTCACTCTATCTGTGGGAAGAAAATGTCCTATAAGAGGCCAGAAAGGAGTCAGGGCCATACGGCCCTAAACAAACCCCCTAGCCTTTGATCCTAGAGAAGTTTCCTGAAAGTGTAACTGCTGATCTAGGACAGGATCAGGAAACATGAGGAAAGCAGGTGTGGGTCCTGAACCAACTGCCCTCCTGAGGTCTGTCCTCAGCAGGGACCTTCCCCTGTGACTTGTGACTGCTGGGATCAGGTCCCCATCATCATAATCATCAAGGTGATAAATCTGTCCTTCAATGTCACAGGTGCTTTACAAAAGAGTAAGTGCTGGCACACAGGGCCCAGGCTGGGTAGGCCCATGAGTGTGGATGGTGCTTCCCAGTAACCAGGCAGGACACGCTTCTAACTGGGGCTTGAAACCCTCAGTGGGACAAGAAATCTCAGACCCCACTCCTCATCCATTCCTTACCTGAGTTCTTCTTCCTGCACATCACAGCAGAAACCACAGCTCCAGTGACTACAGCTCCAAGGAGAACCAGGCCAGTAACGATGCCCACGATGGGGATGGTGGGCTGAGAAGACTGCTCTGGGAAAAAAGGGGAAGGTGAGCGTCCCTGACCCTCAGCCCCCAGCACCGACCCTGCTGAAGTTCTCCAGAGAGGCTCCTGCTTTACCTAAGAGACATGACCCCCCCCTCCACTAATCTCTTGCCTTACCCCATCTCAGGGTGAGGGGCTCGGGCAACCCCTCATGCTGCACATGGCACATGTATCTCTGTTCCTCTCCAGAAGGCACCACCACAGCTGCCCACTTCTGGAAGGTTCCATCCCCTGCAGGCCTGGTCTCTACAAGCTCCATGTCCCGAGTCTGGTCCTCTCCATCTTGCTGCCAGCTCAGTGTGATCTCCACAGGGTAGAAGCCCAGGGCCCAGCACCTCAGGGTGGCCTTATAGTCAGAGATGGAATGGTGGATCATATGTGTCTTGGAGGGGGGTGTCTAACAGGAAGAGTCAGAAAATTCAGGCACTTTGCATCTCTCATGAGACACTCCAGCAGCACGCATGTGGCCATCCTGAGAATGGACAGGACACCTGGGGTGGGGAAGGGAGCACAGAACCCAGACACCAACCTGGACACAGGTACCTGGGATAATCTCCTATCCGTGGAAAATTCTAGTCCCTGAGGAGGGAACAGTGACTTCTGGTCCTGACCTGAGTGGATGCTGAGGGACTCAGAAGAGCTGGACTCAGACCCCCACACACATTGAGTGTAAAGCAGAGAACAAGGCCTGAGAGGAAAAGTAACGGGGCCCAAGGCTGCTGCTGGTGTCAAAGGGAACCCCTCATCAGTATTCCAGGGATTGTCTTCCCTTCATTTCCTCAGAGATTTCATCCCTTAATTGTATCAGAGAGCAGGGCAGACCCTCAGAGTCACTCTCTTGTACAGGATCTGGAAACCCAGGAGGATTCCTCTCCCTCAGGACTAGAGAGAGGACGACATTCTAGTGTTGGTCCCATTTTCCTTCTCTCTTTGTGGGAAGCCAGCCCAGGAGATCTACAGGCGATCAGGGAGACGTCTTGTGTTCCCTGGTACCCGTGAGCTGCAGCATCTCCTTCCCGTTCTCCAGGTGTCTGCGAGCCTCTCCACGCACGTGCCCTCCAGGTAGGCCCTGATCTGCTCTGCAAATTCTTCTGCCTCCCACTTGCGCTTGGTGATCTGAGCCGCCATGTCCGCCGCGGTCCAGGAGCGCAGGTCCTAGTTCCGGGCTATGTAATCCTTGCCATCGTTGGCGTGCTGTTCATACCCGCGGAGGAGGCGCCCTTCCAGCCCCAAGTCGCAGCCATACATTATCTGGAGGTTGTTAGACCCAGGCCCCGCCCCCGCTGTCAACCCCGCCCACCGAGCCCCGCCCCTGCCCCGACCAACCCGCGGGGATTTTGGCCTAAACTGAAAATGAAATCTGGTAAAGGCGCCTGGGCCTCTCCCGGGTCGAGGATCTGGCGGGTCCCGCAGCCTCGGGGTGGATCTCGGAGCCGGAGACTCGCGGGGGGGACCCGGGACGTCCGTGGGGGATGAGGAGGGGTCGTGACCTTCGCCCCAGGCCGGGGTCATTCACCGGCCTAGCTCTGGTGGTAGTAGCGGCGCGGCATGGGCAGGTTCACTCTTGTCAGTCTGTGCGCGGGCCTGATGTTCCGTGTGCTCCGGTCCCAATACTCCGGTCCCTCCTGCTCCAACCACGGCGCCTGCGGCTACATCCTCGGAGTCGCCGCGTCGCTGTCGAACCGCACGAACTGCGTGTCGTCCACGTAGCCCACTGCGATGTACCGGGGCTCCCCGCGACCCGGCCGGGACACGGCGGTGCTGAACTACCTTATGGAGTGGGAACCTGGGGGCGAGGAGGGGCTGAGACCCGTCCGACCCTCCTCCTTGCGCTGCTCCCCGGGTCCTGCGCCCCAGTGCGCGGGCCCCTAGCTCCTCCCCGCAGAGGCCATTTCCCTCCGGATCCCGCACTCACCCGCCCAGGTCTCGGTCAGGGCCAGGGCCCCCAAGAGCAGCAGGAGGAGGGTTCGGGACGCCATGACCCCATCCTCGGCGTCTGGGGAGAATCTGAGTCCCAATGGGTTCGCGGGGACTTCTGGAACAGGGACCCCAGCGACGCCGATTGGCTTCTCTAGAAACCCGACACCAAATGGGGGTGAGAACTGAGTCCACATCCTGAGTGTCCAGGAAGAAGGACCCTACATAAGTTGGGAGAGGGAGAAGAGAAACTGCGGAGATGGGGAATCCCCAACCCTGGGCCTCCCCAATCAATACATCGCCTTCGGGGCCTGAAACCCTGAGAGCCACGCCTGGGGCCATAGGACTTCGCCCTGACCCCGCTCCTCCTGTGCCAAGCGCTCTGTCTCAATGTCTCCCTGAGTCTTGGCCCAAGAGCTGTCTGAGAAACCAGGGAGAAACCCTCGTCATGGGCCCCTTCCCTCTTCACTTTTCATCCCGGAATCCCCGTCCCAGAACTGGACTCCCTGCCTCCCACTCCTTACCTATTTCCCTGAACTCTTCTAGAAAAAAACTCACCCCAGGGAGCTTGGTGACAGAGAGGGAGCTCGCCGCCAGAGAGGCAGCTCGCCCTGGGAATGGAGGCGTAGAGACAGGTTTTTTTTTTCTTTAAATCCGGAAAAGTTGTGCCTGAGTACATGAGATAGAATAGAGACAAGTTTTCTCTTTGTTTATTAACTACAGTGGGTAGCAGAATCTTGGCAACCCCTAAATGATCAGGAATCTAATCGGTAAAAAATGTAACTTTGGCCCCTTGATATATAAATGTGTCTGAAAGCATTACAACAGGACTCACAAAGCTAGTAAGTTTGACTTTCGCAGACAATGTATCTGTGACTCCCGCTTGATTTTTACATTTACCTTCATTCCACAGCCCTGAGTTACTGGGTGAGTCCAAGACATCTCCTCAATATAAAGTAGCACACTGTTACTATATGTTGCAACCGGGAGCCAGTACAGACTTTATTCACCTCACAGTTGCAAGTGTTCAATGCAGTCACAATGCCCCTCAGCAGTGCTCATGCGCTGCCTGTTTTTAGGAAGTATTCACGTCTAAGTGGTATGTATATCTTATAGGAACACTTAGTATTTTTAAAACCTGATTAATTAAAAAAAAATAGTTTCTAGGCAGTCCCAAATATAGTATTAAAGGCCAACTGCAAAGAAGGAACACTAAGTATTTTTTAAACCTTATTAACATAAAAAACATTAGTTTTTAGGCAGTCCTACATTAGGTATTAAAGGCCAACTGCAAAGAACACTGAGCGAGGCTCTGTAGATGGATGTAATAAAAATCTATAAAACAATGTGTTTAAACCTAAGAATTCTACTGCTTTCCAATTCCTTCCCTCTGCTCCTTTTCCTAACCTCCTGCTTCTCCAGCCCTTCCCTCTGTCCCTTTCATCCCTCAGGCCCTCCTCTCCCCTTAGTCCCCACCACCCTGTCACTTCTAAATTGTGGCTCTAGCATTGTCCCATTACCTGCTACGTGACTGTTCTCTCCACAGTGGTCCTGCTCCTGTGAGTCAGAGTGTGTCATTTCCTCACCTAAAACACTCCAGTGGCTCCACCTCGGTCTTGTGAAGCTTCTAGAATGTCAGGCACGTGAGCATATGAGGGCATACCTGGTTCATCTTAGGCACTAAATTAATTTTTGTTGACTGAATGAATGAAATGTGAAGGTATTAAATTGCATCACAGAAAGTTATAAAATGTAAAACACTGAAAAATTAAGAAATATTTTATTTTATGTAACTAGTGTGCATATCAATTCATTCCGAGTCTGTTGAGCCTGTGTATGAATTTTATAAGATTGCATAACAAATTATCACAAACATTGACTTTAAACAACACCCAATTATTGTTGATTTATTTGTTTTTAGACACAGAGTCTCCCTCTGTCATCCAGGGTGAAGTGCAGTCACATGATCATGGCTCACTGCAGCCTCAAACTCCTGGGCTCAAGGGATCTTCCTGCCTCAGTCTTCAGAGTAGCTAGGACTGCAGGCAAGTGCCACCACTCCCAGCTAATTAAAAAGAAATTGTAGAGATGAGTGTCTCACTGTTTGATCTCGGCTGGTCTCAAACTCCTGGATGCAAGTGATCCTCCTGTGTCAGCTCCTCAGATGTTAGGATTGCAGGTGTGCATTACCACGCCTGGCCAAACAACACCCATTTATCTGTTTATAGTACCTGAGTCAGAAATCTGGGCATGATGTGGATGGAATCTCTGTTCCGGGCTTCCCAAAGCTGTGTTTTCATTTTGAATCCTCCTTCAGGCTTATACAGAGGTGGCAGAATGCAGTTTCTTGCAGTTGTAAGACTGAGGTCCGCGTTCCTTGCTGGCTGTCAATGTAGAGAACAGGGAGGGCTGCGCTCAATTCCTGATGCCCACCAGCGTTCTTCCCTGTACAGCCCCTTCATTTTCAAAGCCCACAGTGGAGGAAACCCCTCATGCTGAATCCCTCTCACACTGTGAATCTCTATGCTCAGGAAGAACCCAGTCCTTTCAAGGACTCACCTGATTAGGACAGTCCAAGCAGCATAAACCCAGCCTAAAGTCAACTAATTGAGGCCCTTAATTATATCTGTTAAATCCCTTCACAGCAGCACCTACATTAGAGTTGGTTGAATAATGGGGGGAAGGTGAATGACCAGGAGCTTGTTGTTGAGGCCATCATAGAATCAGCCTAGCAAGGGCTGGATCTTCTTTTTGTGTTCACTTAGGACACAGTTGCAAATTGAAGTTCAAGTAAAGTAATCATTGTGAACGGTAATAAAATACATCCTTTTCAGCCACGGAAATTCTCCTTACCTTTTAAAACTAAGTTACATATTTATATCTTTTAATTAATTTAGGCCAGATTTGGTGGCTCGCACCTGCAATACTAGCATTGTGGAAGGCAGAGGAAGGCAGATTTTTTGACTCCAGAAGTTCAAGATCAGCCTGGGCATCATGGTGAAACCCCCATCTCTACAAAAAATTAGAAAATTAGCCAGGCATGGTGGTTCATGATTGTACTCCCAGCTACTCAAGAGGCTGAGGTCAGAGGGTCCCTTGAGCCCAGGAGGTCTACACTGCAGTGCATGGTGATCATGCCACTGCACTCCAGCCTGGGTGACAGAGTGAGACCCTGTCTCAAAAATAATAATAATGATGATGATAAATTTAGAGCAAATGCAAATTAACATGTAATAATACATCCTGTCTTGTGAAAATGTATTAGTTATTTACTATTGCATAACAAATTATGTAAAATGTACCATTTCAAAACAACAAATATTGATCATCTCCCACAGTTTCCAATTGTCAGGAATCCAGAAGTTTCCCTGAGTGCTTCTTGCTAAGGGCCTTTCACAAGGTTGCAGTCCAGTTGTCAGTCTAGGCCTGCATCATCTGAGGGCTTCACTGGGGCTGAGGATTCACATGAAACATGGATCAGTCACATGGCTGTTGGAAAAGGCCTAGTTCATTGTAATTGAGTCCCAGAAGGCCTCAATTCTTAGCCAGATGGACCTTCCTGCAGGGCTGCTCATGGCACAGCAGCTGACTTTCCCCAGAGCTCATGATCCCAGAGACAGAGAGAGAGAAGGTGGAAGCCACAGGGAGTTTTAGGTTCTACACCCAGAGTCACAAGCTGTTATGTCGGCATTGCTCTATCAGTTAGAAGTTGTATTAGTCTGTTCTCACACTGCTATAAAGAAATACCTGAGACTGGGTAATTTATAAAGGAAAGAGGTTTAACTGACTCCCAGTTCTGCATGGCTGAGGAGGCCGCCCCAGGAAACTTACAATCATGGCAGAAGTGGAAGAAAACCTGTCCTTCTTCACATGGTGGCAGGAGAGAGAAATGCAGAGGGAAGCGGGGAAAAGCCCCTTATAAAACCATCAGATCTCATGAGAATTCACTCACTATCATTAGAACAGCATGATCCAATCACCTCCCATGAGGTCCCTCCTTCAATACTGGGGATTACAATTCGCATGACAATTGAAGATGAGATTTGGGTGGGAACACAGAACCAGGCCATATCAGAAGTGCATCATTAAGTCCAAGCCACACTCAAGAGAGGGAATTAAGCTGCACCTCTGGAAGGGAGCAGTATTAAAGGATTTGCATATATGTTAAAAGCAAAATTCAAACTATTGTTTCAGGATTTTTAAGTTAAAGGCTTTTAATCTAATTATTTTTCCTTAACATTTTAATCTTGTCCTTTAATTTAATTTAGTTTAATTTTAAGTTCCAGGGTACATATGCAGGATGTGCAGGTTTGTTACACAGGTAAACGGGTTCCACGGCAGTTTGCTGCACCAATCAACCCATAACCTAAGTATTAACCCCTGCATGCATTAGCCATTTTTCCTAATGCTCCCCCCACCACCGCCCTCCCCCAACAGGCCCCAGTGTGTGTTGTTCCTCTCCCTGTGTCCATGTGTTCTCATTGCTCAGCTCACAATTATAAGTGAGAACATGTGGTGTTTGGTTTTCTGTTCCTGTGTTAGTTTGCTGAGGATAATGGCTTCCAGCTTCATCCATATCCCTGCAAAGGATTTGATCTCATTCCTTTTTATGGCTGCATAATATTCCATGGCATATATGTACCATATTTTCTTTATCTAGTCCCTCATTGGTGGGCATTTGGGTTGATTCCATGTCTTTGCTGTTGTGAATTGTGCTGCAATGAACAAACACATGCACATATCTTTATAATAGAATGATTTATATTCCTTTGGGTATATACCCTGCAATGGGATTGCTGGGTCAAATGGTATTTCTGGTTCTAAATCTTTGAGGAATCACCACACTGCCTTCCTCATTGGTTGAACCAATTTACATTTCCACCAACAGTGTAAAAGCATTCCTATTTCCTTACAACCTCGCCAGAATCTGTTGTTTCTTAACTTTTTAATAATTGCCATTCTGACTGGCATGAGATGGTATCTTACTGTGGTTTTGACTTGCATTTCTCTAACGATCAGTGATATTGAGCTTTTTAAAATATGTTTTTTGGCCACCTGTATGTCTTCTTTTGAGAAGTGTCTGTTCATGTGCTTTGTCCACTTCTTAATGAAGTTGTTTTTTTCATGTAAATTTGCTTAAGTTCTTTTTAGATTATGAATATTAGACCTTTGTCAGATCGATAGATTGCATAAATTTTCTCCCATTCTGTAGGTTGTCTCCTTTTCGCTCTGATGATAGTTTCTTTTCCTGTGCAGAAGCTCTTTTGTTTAATTAGATCCCATTTGTCAATTTTTGCTTCTGTGGCAGTTGCTTTTGGCAATTTCATCATAAAATCTTTGCCCATGCGTATGTCCTGAATGGTATTGCCTAGATTTTCTTTCAGGGTTTTTCTAGTTTTGGGTTTTACATTTAAGTCTTTAATCCATCTTGAGTTAATTTTTGTGTAAGGTGTAAAGAAGGGGTCCAGTTTCAATTTTCTGCATATGGCTAGCCAGTTTTCCCAGCACCATTTATTAAATAGCGTTTCCTTTCCCCATTGCTTATTTTTGTCAGGTTTGTTGAAGATCACATGGTTGTAGATGTGAGGTCTTATTTCTGAGTTTTCTATTCTGTTCTGTTGGTCTATATGCTTGTTTTTCTACCAGTACCATGCTGTTTTGGTTACTTTAGCCTTATAGTACAGTTTTAAGTAGGATAGCCTGATGCCTCCAGCTTTATTCTTTTTGCTTAGCATTCTCCTGGCTACACAACCTCTTTTTTGGATCCACATGAATTTTCAAAATTTTTTTTCTAATTCTGTGATAAGCTTCTCTTTTTAAATTAATGATTAAATGTTTGAGACATGACAGAGCCTTGGGTGCTGCAGGGAAAACAGTTTGAGACAGAGAAAGGAGAAACAACAGTATCTCTGCGTTTCTCTTGTAAATACCTTTAATAACAATGTTTTTCAATAAGTTAACACAGTTGAGAACATAGAGTAACTAGATCAAATAGTTCCAAGACTTCAGTGCCATAAGAATCATGCCTTGAAAATAAGTCTTTGTTTTGTCTAAGATGTCTCAAATTTAGTGGAAGTATGCCCCAAGTGCCAATTTTCTTATTGACATATCATCTTCAGAAAACATTTGCCTACACTTAAAAAAAAATACACACACACTGCTCTGTCTATGGAGTAGCCATTCTTTTGTTTCTTTACTTCTCTAATAAACTTGCTTTCACTTAGAAAAAATTGCATAATCAGATTGCTTCTCATTTACAAAAATGGGAATCTCATACTTCAGTCAACACATCTAGCTTAGCATAATGCCAGTAACTTTGGTTTGATGCAGTAGCCCAAAATGCTTAACTCGAATTGAGAATCAAATTTTTTCCAAAAATGGCTCAGGGGCATTCTATTGTAAACTTAACATTTTTGGGTGTGGTATTGCATGAGATGTGGTAGAAGTGATTTGGACACTACTACAGTTCTAAATAGCACTGCTATTATGTGCTTCTGAAGCTTTCTTTTTTTTTTTTTTTTAGCTGTCTTATTTTGCTTTCCATTCATATTTGCTATTCCATCACTGGTTGTTCCTTTCTACTCTTTTCTTGTTTCATTTATTTTGATCAGTGATGTGTATTTCCAATTCTGTGAAAGTTTAATTCAGTTGTATGTGTGGTAAAATGTAACACCAAATCCTTTGCAAGAAGGAATTACCTTGCACATCAGATTGAACATTGTATACTTGAAAATCCAGAGAGATGCCTGTGAGCTAAGGATCAAATGAACTATTATTAACCAAGGCCATTTTCATCACATCCTGGTCCTCTCTGTCACATGGCTGCTTACATTTCTCTGTGGTTTTCTTTCAATGTAAGTAGTTCTTGTTAAGGATCCTTGCAATGAACTTTGGTATTCTTTTCTCTTTCATTTTTATAAATACCAGGTATATTTTAATTTGAAAACTCTGTTTAACAAATTACAATCATGTAACTAAAAAGATGCCCAGCACTGGTGTAAAACACAAACCTGTAAAGCTACCCTGGGCTGCTGCCCTGTCACATCCCCCAGAGAGAGACTCCATCCTGAGTCTTGTGATCCTTATTCCTTTGTATTTCTTTAAAGATTTGCACAATAAGTATATATATATATGTACATATATATATCCGAAAAAAAATTATTTACTTTTGCTGGTTTTAAGCTTCCTGTACAGCAAATTCCTACTGCATTTATTTTCCCATGATGCACATTACGTACAGGAGTTATCTGTGGTGTGGGAGGCTGTCATTCATTCATTTTCACTGCTGAAGGTTTACATTTTATGCCACAATTTCCTATTGATGTATATTTCCTATTGATGTATATGTGGCTGATTCCAGTTTTTGCCATAAACATTAGTGTGCCTGTCTCCTGGGCACATAGGCAAGAAAGCCCCCTAGAGTGTGTGGTTAGGAGTGGGAGGGTTGGATGATATGTTGTATGGACTTTAACCATACTAGATAATGATAATATGATTTCCAAGGTGATTGTGTCAACTTAAACTCATGTGTTCTGAAAACACCTAGTTGAAGGAATTGAGTTAAAAGCCACTGTCTTGGCTGCAGAATTATAGCAGGCATTTTTATTCAGACTCTATTAATAACTTCCTGTTGTTTACTTGTTTCTCATATACCATGGTATTATACTTTTGACATATAGATTCAGAAAATTCTTACTGATAGCACAATCATGTAGGGGTTATTTTATATGTTAGGAAAATTTCATAATAAAAAGGAAAAAATGGAGGAAGGGAGAGAAAGAAGGAGGAATTGAGGAAGGAGTGAAAGAAGAAAAGAAGGAAGGGGAAGGGGAAGAAAAAGGACGGAAAGGAGGAAGGGAGAAGGAGGGAGGGTGAGAGATAGAATGGAAGTAAAGAGGGAAGGAGGGACAGAAGGAAAGAGAAAAAGAAGGAACAAAGGAGAAAAGAAACTAAAATAAAGAAAAGAATAGGCGTTGGGAACTGGAAACCCTCTGTATGGCTAATATTATCAAAATAGGAGGAAATAAAATAGATGTAGTTAACCTCTATAGAATAATGGAAATGTAAGAAGGCTTCATTAGTTATCTGTTGCTGTGTAAAAAACTACCCCAAAATTTAGTGACTTACAGCAACAAACATTGGTGAACTCAAAAACATAATACAAATACCAGCAAAATGGAGCCAATGCAGGTAGAAGAAGTTGAATAAACAAAAAGATTTTACACGTTGGAATAAGTAAGAGGTCACTGGTGTGCAGACGAAAATGATTTTGTAGTCCAAATGCTCCAAAAAGCAAGTGCCATCATAGGATTAAAGTTACAGCATTTTATTAGGGGACACACCTGTCAGACGATATGGCGAGGGAGGTAGGTTACCCTGGGAAAGGCAATAGAATAAGATGCAAGTGTGACCCCCAGTGATGGAAAGAAGGAAGGAAGGATTACTTAACATGTCCTAGACCACAAGCAATCTAAGGAGAGTTGAGCAAGGCCATGGAGGAGTCCTCCAGCCACAGCTGGCCATCAGAGGAGTCCCCTGTCTTCCAGGAATGTCCTGCCTTAGTGTCACTGGTGTGACCCATCACTGGTTGGGAATAGTCCATGGGAAGCAGGGCCTCAGCACCAATGCCACTGAGGATGTCAGAGCACAGGAGCACAGCTTTGGAGGATTACCCAGGAGTGTGACTCAAACCTTCTGCCCTGATGGGTCTGGGCCCTTGGAAATCAAATCCTCTCAGGCTGAATTGCTGGATAATTCTACTCACACTTGCAATGGGGTGAGGGAAAACAGAAGGCCCCCAGGTGGATCTCTGGTTTCCACACTTCTGCCTTTATTGTGTGAAAGTAGCCATGCCTCCTCCTGGGGATGAGGATCTATTACCTGGGCCTGGAGAGGAGGAGACTCCTCTTCTCACCAGGTGGTCTCTGGGCATATACTGTCCACACTTCTCTGGTGACAAACTTAATGTGTAGTTCAGTGGGCTGTCTTTTGTCTGCTTTTAAGGGTACCCTCCTTTGCAAACCAGGACCTCGTACCCTGCACAGCCCAGTGTTCTGAGATAAAACATGTCAAATACCCCATTACGTGAATCTAAAAGATTAGACATGGAGCCATACTTGCTTCCACCGTTTGATTTCTGGACCCACATGTTCTTCCTCTTGCGAACACAGAACTGTAGAGACATCTCTGATTTAAACAGCGCACCATGTCCTGAAAGATGGCATGCAACCCTCAGAGTGTTTCCTCCAGGCTGGCACTTAGTTGTGCCTGTGGAAGATCACGGGACTCCAAGCAACTATGTGGTTCCAAGTGCCTGTGTGACCCAGAAAGTCATAGATTGCACAGGCCAAACAGCATTCATCATGAGGTGAAAATGGTCCACCTGGGTTGAGCTTGAATCCCATGTTGACACCCACAGAAAACAGCCAAGTCTGAAGTGTCATTAAACAACGAAACAGACAAATGGAAGTTAGCCAGCCTTCCCTATGGGTCAGCCCATGCATGATAGGATGGGCACATGAATGGAACAACCACAGTGGCAGGTGTGAGGCTACATATGGGGCATTCTTTGTGGCTGGCAGCCCCTGGGGAGAGTAGCTGGTGATAGGGTTAGTGGAAGGAACAGCCATGGAAACACTGAATCTTTCCCTTGCCAAGTGGGTCCTTCAGGCAGATAATGGGCTAGGAGCACAACCTAGCCTGCAGACCAGGAATGTCAACAGCATCCAGAGAGTGGTACTGGCTATGTCTGAGAGCAGGACAGAAAAACCCCCCTAGAATAGGTACCTAACCCTGTGAAGATGAACCTCTGGTCCTTCCAGGATGGAAGTAGGTAAATGTAGTCAACTTCTTAGTTAATGGCTAGTCACCTAAAGAAATAGTGCCCCACTAGGGCACATCATGGGCCTAAAATGCTGATGAGTTGGACATTCAGAGGTGGCAGCAGCTGGATCTGCCTTGGTAGGGGGAAGTCAGTGCTGCTGGCCCTCATGCCTGCCACTGTGGTTGCTCCATTCATGCACTCATCCTACCAGGCCTGGGCTGACCCATGGTGAAGGCTGGCTAACTTCCATTTGTCTGTTTGGTTGTTCAGTGCCACTTCAGACTTGGGTGTTTTCTGTGGGTGTAAACGTGGGATTCAAGCTCAACCCAGGTGGACCATTTTCACTTCATGATGAATGCTGTTGGGCTTGTGCAATTTATGATGTTGTGGGTCACAAAGGCACTTGGAACCACATAGTTGCCTGGTGTCCTGTGGTCAAGCTTTCTATCAAATCAGGACAAGGAACACTAAAAGTTGCTTCTAACAGGGGGCATATGTCTCTGCTGTGGATGATACGATCTTACTCCAGAATCCCAGGCCCTTCACTGTGACTCTTCCACTGGTGCTTGGTTCAGCTCCATCCTGCATCTTTCCCCACCACTGGCACCACCAGCCCCAGGGGGTCTGAGGGACGCTGGCTGCTCGCACCATGGCCTGGATCTGCTGCAGGGTCCTTTCCTGTGTAGGCCCTACTTGAAGCTGGCCTCCTCCTATGTCACCTAGAGTGTTTGCCAAAGCACGTACCTAGATGTGGAATGTGGTGTTGTCAGAACTCAAAGAGGCTCATCAGGCAGTGTGCTTCCTTCCTTCTGGTGAGGATGCAAGATGAAACAGTTTGTCTTTTACCTTGGAGGGAACACACCTGCATTCCCCTAAACACTTGGCACTTGTTAACCCATAAAACTTCACTTCAGTGGCCACTCTTGAAGCTCTGTAAGGTTTATCTTCACATACTGGAGTGCGTGTGTTTTGCCAATGACTCCAGTGCACTTTCTACCTGCTGCTCATTCACCGCAGTCAACATGAAGTTGTCAGTGAAATGAGCTGATTTAATATCCTATAGAATATCCAGTATGTCTAGTATTGTCTTTAGACCATACTATATAGGGCAGGGGAGTTACAATAGCCCTGAGAAAAAACTATAAATAAATGTGTTGTGGATCCCACATGGATGTGAATCGCTCCATATCCCCTTTCTAATTGGAGTGGAAAGAAATGCACTCACCAAATCCATAGCTGCACGCTGTGTGCCCGAGGCTTTATTATTCTGCTCTGCAGTGATATCCAGACAACATAAAAGCTGCAATTATAATTCCTGCTTGGCCAGACCTGGAGTAATCTCATTCATTCTTTAGTCCTCATCAGGGTTCCTCAGGGACAGGTTGCTGGATTATGTAGAGACAATAAACAACCCCAACACCATCCCACATCCTTCAGCTCTCTAATGGTGGTGTGACTCCCACATTACTTTCAGTGTCTTCCTCAAGACACACCCTGGGACACGCTATGATTTTTTTTTTTTTTTTTTTGGCCAGGATGTGGGCAGCGTCAGAGGTTTCCCTTTGGCTTTCAGCACAATGAGAGTCCTGACTCCACAGACTAGGGACCCAGTGTGGGGGTGACTCCACTTAACAGTGCATCAGTGTCAATTATGTACTCAGGGAATTGGAAGATAACCAGGGCTGGGTCTATGGAACCAGTAGTTCCATTGTGGGCCGTAATGTGTCCAGGTTTACTCCCTGACCTCCGTAAGCCCCACTGTGATGGGAGACATGATAGTGCTGTGGGCATCTGGGCATCAATGTCAGCTCTCACTCAGTGTCAATAATCTGACCAGTTCTGCATCTTTCCTTTCGCCAGTGTACAATCTCCTGAGTAAATGGCTATAGGTTCCTTTGCTGAAGGACTGAGGGAATTGTGCCAGCATTTACTTCCACGGGGTTGCAGGGTATTCCTCCTAGGGATATGGACTCCTCCTCTGTCACTGGGATCTGAATCTGAACTTTGGCTGAGGTCTAGGCATTGAGGATGGGATCATGACTTTGTATTGGGTCAAACACCTTCACCCTCCTGCTTCTCAATTCTTGCTTTCTTATCATAGATATCAAGCAGCGCCCTTGTTGGCTTCCTGTCCTAATCCTGGGACACCACCCTCTACTATCCTTCCCCACATTCCCTGCAGCTTGAGTCCTATTGGCTACTCCTTTTAGTTTGCCATAGTAACTCTGCCCTCTGGCTTTTTCAGGTCACTGCCACCATTTGGTCTTTGTGTCTTCAGGGCCACACTCTCCCCAGGGTTATTAATAAATGTAACTCTGGGTCATCTTTACTACCATCACATCCAGCCTGCAGAGGACAACACCCTGACACTTCTTAATGATGCAGGTCCCTCTCACCATCACGTTTCTGAGGCTCTGGTGGAAGGTGTTTCCTTTGGACCGTCTTGTGGAGCATGGTACTGGTGGGCCTTCACCATGCCCACTTCCCTCAGCCTTGTTATTCCATCCTGTGCAAGTTCCAGGGCAACTAAGTCACGTCTACCTTGTTGAGAGTTAGGCATCATTTTTTCTAGTCTATATGGATTCACCCCAGCGGTGGGTTTGGCCCCCCCCCTTATCAAAGTCCTGGGGTGTTTGATAAACCCATGCCTTGAGAAAGTGCCTCCAAGCCAAAGGATTTTTATTCTTCCAGCTTGAAATTCTGGTTCCTTGATCAAACACCCTCAAATTCCAATCCCAGAAGTGCTCCTCAGCCTCCTATGGGGACGTGCCAGCTAGTTCCTGCAAAGCTCTTCAGTGGGATTCCTGCTGTATCATGGGGGTGAGACTTCTGTAGCATCTTCCAGCATAGGAAGTGGGAACCATTACTAGAGAAGGGTGAGCCTCCTATGCATGCCCAGAGGATCCTGGAGGGCACCCATCGGATAACCCTGTTCCTGTTTGCAGAATCTCAGGTTTCCCCACCAGGGTCCTGACTTTCCTCTAACAGGCCTGCCTTGGCTGAGTGGCAAACCTCTCTGGAGCACTGTGGCCCTCATAATGATGTCTTCAGCTACCATTCCACGGTATCTGCCCTTTCGCTACAAGAGATAAAGACCTCTGCATGAGACACTGCAGAGGCTGTCACATGTAGCCAGTGACAGCTGTTAACAATCTGCAGATTCTCATGATACTTTCATAGGGCATCATTGCAGCTGAGCAGCAACCAGCCAACTCCACTGTCTTTGTAGGTTTCCCCCTAACCCCGTCATTATTGTGCAGGGCATTCTATCACCCCACCTGCCATAGCTTCCCCTAACCAGGGCATCCTCTCAGCTCAGCACGGGTGAGACCCATAGCAGCTCAGCTGCATCTTGTGCTATGGAATTTCTGTGTCTCCCACAACCCTGGTGGCATCCTCTTGGCCTGCCAGGCAGTGGGCAAGCTTTTTTCAAATTCTCATTTTTGCCTGTTTTCATGGATCACCCTTCATACTACTTGTGTTAGTTAGGGTCCCCTGAGGAGCAGACCCCAATACAGTATTCAATGTGCAAGGATTTATTAGAGGAAATAGTTATGAGAGAAATTCAGGACACAGACGGAAAATGCTGGGAGTGTCATCAGACCACAAAGCAACTCTGAACCCCAGTGAGGTAAACAGTGCAGGAAGGTCAGCTGGAAGCATCCTAGACCCTGTGCAGGCTAACAGAAGTTCAGTAAGCGTGGCAGGAAGCCCTAGAGCTTCAGTCAGCCTTCAGAGAAGAAATGTTCCTGCCTTAGTTTCTGCCCTGCTTTCCTCAGTCATTGGCAGGAAAAGACAGGGGGCAGGTGTGGTCTCAGAGCAAATGTGGCAATAGGTTTCAGGATTCAAAAGTTGAGGCCACTATCAATTCTGCTTACTCTAGCTGAGGGGCTGGGATGTGCATTCTCATGACTGCCACAATGATCCAGTGGGGAGAGAGGAAAAAGGTTGATGATAAAGAGAAAAAAAGGTATTAATTGATGAACTGACACCTTTAAGTAGATGATAAGGGATGACGTTTGGGGCACCAGAAGAGGGATTGGCTCTGGCTGGGAGCAGAATGGTTTACCCACAACAGTCCCCAACATGGTAAAACACCTGACATGTGTTGCAGCTGCAAATGCATGAGCAGATGGTGATGGAATCTGTCTTCTAATGTGTTCAGTTTTCTCAGTGAGGTAGGAACCAAGGTTGTCAGCTGAGATAAGAATGGGGAAGGAGGGTTGGATGTGTGAGCACAGAGAGAAGGTGTGTAAGGGTCACCTAGGCCAGGAGGAGGCTGAGGGTGAGCCATGCAGGGAGAGGGTGATTGCTGGCCCTGGTGGGGGCTCCCCATGTGGTTTGGGTCATGAAGTTAGAGAAGACACCAACGATGAGGGACAGTGAGTAGATGGCAGAATCACTGGATTGGTATTCCCAGGGTGGGGGTCGAAGGATTGTTGGAATTGATGTGCTAAAGGGTGGACTTCAAGCCTGTAATGCAGGCACATATGCAATGAGTAGTCACTGATATTACCTCACAGCATATGATAAAGTGATAGAGTCTGTGTCCTCAGAGCCTGTGGCCACCTTGCATGGGATGAGTGGAAAGATGGCCAGAGAGTGGGAAGTGTGAAATTGAGAGTATGGAAGGGCTGGGGTTCTTGGGCATGATGAGGCCTAGGGGATGACAGGGGCATGAGATTCAGGCAGAGAGAGGAGAAGGTCATGGAGGAGAGGAGTTCCAGGATCTGAGAGTCCAGGGAGCAAGGGCATCTTCTCTGCTGTATAGGTGTCTATTGCTGCCATAAAAATTACCACAAACCAAGTGGCTTTAAACAGCACCTAATTATCATGTTACAGTCCTGTAGGTTGCAAGTCCGCACAGTCTTATGGGGCTAAGGTCAAGGTATGGGCAGGTCTGTGTTCCTTCCTGGAGACTCTGGGGAAGAATCCACTTCCAAGCTCATTCAGGTTCTTGTCTGAATTCACTTTCTTGCACATAGAACAGAGGTTTCCAATTCCTTGTTAAGAGCCACCCTTAGCTCCTAGAATCTTCTTTCAGCTACTCACACATGGTGCCTAAGGCACATCCAATCCTCCTGCTTGGAACGTCTGACCTCCCCTCTTCTATGTCTCCTCTGCCTTCCTCCTCTGCAGAATCTGACTCCAGCCAGGGCAGGTTCTCTGCTTTTAGTGGCTCATTTGATTTGATTGGGGCCACACAGATTGTCCAGGAGAATCTCCCTATTTTAAGGTCCTTAATCATCATTACATGAGTAAAGTCTCTTTTACCATGTAATGCAACCTGTTCACAGGTTCCAAGGACTAAGACTGGACCTCTTTCGGGACCATTACTCAGCCCACCACATGTTGAAGTCATCAACAGTCAAGGAGACTGCTGGAGAGGGTGACAGTGAACCAAGAACTACAAGAGTCAGGATTGAGAGGAAAGGCCAGGGGCCCACAGGGAATGGCTACAATGAGGGGAATGGGGGTCTAATCTGATGACAGCTTAGGGGTTTTAGGGAGGAGGGAGGCAGAAAGTTCTGAGAACCACAGTGAGGAGAAAGGACCCCACCTCACCTCTGAACCCAGGGGTACAAGTCCATGGGGGAAACTCCCCTATGTGGGAGGACTTTGGAGGGGGTCATGTCCTCAGGGAGACCAGGTTGCTGCTGGAGCTGTGAGGTGCAGGAACATCCTGAGAGAGGGTGTGGAGGTTTTGCTGATCATTGACTGAGATTCCAGGGGGTGCACTGGGAAGATTTCTGCGGTTCAGGAGGTTGGGGAGACAGAATAGTGGTGTTCAGAGCCTTGTGGGGATGTGAGTGCAGAGTATGTGGGGGACCCAGTGTCACTGACACAAACAGGGAAAGGACATGATGAGCTGAGTCCTGGTGGACTCGGCGCAGACAATGGTGCTGAGGCTGTGGGAGATGAGGGAGGAGGAGCAGGGGTGGCTCTCACCTGGGCTCTGTCCGTGGAGGTGAGGACAATGAGGTGGTTGGGTCTCAGTGCTGTGTGGAACTTGTTTTTGACCTCCTTATGAGTGGATGGTCTGTCTGAGATAGAACGGGTCTTAGAGGATTTACTCATTACCCTGAGAGAGGGGGCATGTTCATTCCAGGTTTCAGGTCTGCCCTGACACCTTTCTTTGTGGCTTAGACCTCCCTACTGTAAATTATTGGGTGTTAGTCCATTTTGGAGTTCATAACTTAAAGCAGAAACTCAGATGGTTGAAATGTCATTTTCATGAAGGATTTTTATTAGAGTATCATTTAGATTGCCTTTGCAACCTCCCATGTGTTTTGTTTTTTTTTCTAAAAGGCTGCTAATCTTGTTTTAAATTTGCAATGTAGTTAATTTATCTTCACTGTTAATTAGTTGTGGGTTGTTTAACCTTATACCATATAGTTTTACATATCTATAACAACAGTAGTTTGGGCCTCTTGTATTCTAATAGTTAAGTCCTTAAGCTGTGTACACATTGCAATTCAAGTATGAGTCATGCATAACCGTAGCACTAAGAGACAAGAGGGAAATCCCTCTCTCCTAAAATTTTGCAAAAGTTCTGGGTTTTTTTTCCACTGAGTGGGAACAAGTCAGCTAATCATGAACATGAGGTCTTTGGCCTCATTTAAAGGTGCTTCAGAAGCACTGAGCCATAGGAAGGCCTCTTTGTCTAGGTCCAGGACCCTACACCATGGCAGAAGCCATCTTCCATCCCAGTGTGCAGTGATGTCCCAGATAGCGAATTGGTTAGCCACTTTTCAGTCTCAGGCAGTTTTGTTTTCCAAAACATGGGTTTTTATCTCAGGACCTTCTTGTCCCCAGATGATCAAAACCAGGGCCATCCACTCCCTTCTGAGCCACCTCTGCCTGGGGGGCCCGTGGCTGTGTCCTCCAGTCACAACAGAACATTCCTTCAGAACACCTGCAGGAAGACAACATCTTGTCATTGGCTCACACATGCACGGTGCATGCACAGAGCTTTGGTTCTAGTTCAGGAGGTGTGTGGGGAGGAGGCTCACTAGTCCAACAGAGCTTGGTACCAGTGTCGTATGCCAGGAGCCAAGGTTACAAGGATGCAAAGTTCCCAGACCTACCAGAGAAGGCAAACCCCTGCAGCATGCAGGGCTAGACAGGGGCAAGAAACAAGGTCATTCCGGGCCAGCAGGAAGAGAGAAAGGGAAACTACAGACGTACCTCAGAGACACTGCAGATTTGGTTTCAGACCATGGCAACAAACAAGTCACACAAATTTTTGTTTTTCCAGTGCATAGAAAAGTTATATTCACACTCTACTGTAGCCTATTAAGTGTATGATAGCATTATGTATAAAAGAACTATGTATATACCTTAATTTAAAATTACTCTATTGCTCAAAAATGCTAAGGATCATCTGAGGCTTCAGCTAATCTTAATCTTTTTGCTGGGGCACGGTCTTGCCTCAATGTTGATGACTGCTGGCTGATCAGGAGGGTGGTTGCTAAAGGCTCTTATGACAACTTCTTAAAATAAGACAATGAAGTTTGCGGCATGGATTATAAAGGGGGAATCAGTACTTAAGTAAGGTCAATATAAGTTTTCAAGTTAGGTGGACCTGAATATGAACCCTCCAGGCCTTTCCACCAACTAGCTATAGAGCCTTGGACACATCTTGGCCATAGCTGGCCCCGACAGACACTTGCCCAGCGGTTGAGTGCTCAATGAACCCATCTGAGCCAGTTGCCTCACCCAACCAGTGATATAATTCCTTCCTTGCAGAAGAATAAGTGAAAAAAGGCACAGTGCCAAGAGAATCAGACACACGACCTGCGGAAGGCTGTGCCAGTGCTCTAAAGCAAGTTCTGCCTAAAGCGGCAGAAACATTTTTCACATTAGGAACAGGAGTTGTTTGGGATCCTGTCTGGGGCCAGGTTGAGAGCAGAGTAGGAGTGGGGGCCTGGGTAGGGCCAGGCACTGGAGTGAAGACGGGCCTGGAGAGAGCCTCCTGGAGGCTGCTGAGCGGCTCAGACAGCTCCTTGCCTCACCTGCCACAGTCCTCCCACTCCCCTGGCTCTCTCGGTGCTGTTTTCTTCACCTCCTCCTGCCCTCCTGGTCCCTGGCACCCCAGGGCTCATAAACATGCTGCTCCCAAAACTCCAAGGCAAGTATGGAAGGGCAGAACAGCTTCTGGGACAGTGGGAAGATGAGGCCACCCCCTATGTGGCTCCAAGTGCTCGGGTGGAGGAGATGAAGGGATCAGTACAGTAGTCGGGGGAAATTCTCTCAATCCCACCCTGCACTACCCTCACCTCTGCAGCTTTTTGCCTATTTCCAACTCTCAGCTCCTTCCACCCCCACCCCAACCCAGCCCTCAGGGCTCCCTCTCTCCAGCCCTCCCTCTGCCCAGAGCAGCACAGTCCAGAGTCCTTGAACAGGAATTCCCCCTCATCTAACAGTTAATCATTTATTAGTGGGGACAGACACCTGGTCGTCTCTTTCCAGTGACCCCATATCCTCATTCAAGGCATCCAGATATAGCCCCTGAGCCAGGGATCTGTATCTGCCCTCCAGAGGCCTATGCCCAAGACAGGTTGCTCCCTGGGATTCTCAGTACAGGTGGACTTAAGCTAATGGGCTGGAAAAAGAGAAAACAACGTCGAATTCCTCACTTACCATGAGATCTTGCAACACAGGTTCCAAGGGCCTCAACCCCTCTACCCTGGCTGATGCTCCCTCCTCTACTCCCTCTGACCAGGGCCCTGAGCCCCCCACACAGCTGAGCTGGCCCAAGCCGAGGAGTTGCTTGCACAGCAGCTGGAGTTGGACCAGGCCCTCCTGGAAGGGAAGGAGTGGGTGGGGGCCCGGGCCCTGGTGCTCAAGATCCAAAAGCTAAAGAAACAGATGAGGAGGCACTGAGAGAGCCTGGGAGGAGAGAGCCTGGGAGGGGACAGCCAAGCTTCCCAGCAGTGCCCACAGCACCCTCCATGCCTGGAACTAATGTGCACCACCCCCCAGGAACCCCAGGATCAGAAACACCCCAGCATCTCCCAGGCCAGAGAAAGCAGAAAAGACCCCACAAAGGGCTGGCAATTGGCAGGTAGTGGGGGAGCCAGGGCTCTGCAGTCTTAGTCCCATCCCTCTTTGACCTCACAGCAGGGCACCAAGGCCTTGCAGGAATTTACCCTGGGCCATGCCCTAAAATAACCTCACCCCAAATAAAATAAAGGGAGAGAGCACCCACACATAATGCAGAGGCACTTGTGTTTCATTTTTAGTTATGTTAAAAATTCTGACAATCAGGAATGGGGATTCAGGAGTGGTGCTGAGGCAGAGGACGGAAGCCAGGGGGTGGGGGAAGAGGATGTCAGGGGTGGGGTCAGTAGAGTCTCCTTCACCCCCAACCTGCAGTCTCCTCCTGAAGCGTGGTCACATGCCAGAATGGGCTAGTCCCCTACTGTGTCTGTTCAACTGAGGGGAAAATGTGGCATGGTGAGAATAAGGCATGAAAAGGAAAAAGTGAGGCAGGAACACACAGCACACATGCAGATGCTGGTGTACTGTGTGGATTTACAGGACAGACTTGGGAGTGGGGAAAGAGATGTAATATGATGAAAGAAAACAGATACCCCACATAACAGTCAGAAAAACATCCCAACACAGCATCAAAGACCAGGGTGCATGAACCAGCCAAGTGTCCATTATGCATCAGGTGCCCATGACAGGATTGAAGACAAACATATTAAGGAACTAGGAAGACCTAAAGGGCTTCATGACATCAGCACTCACTGTGGAGGAGATGTCTGTCTCATCAGGCAGCTCACTATCACTCACCTCAAAGCGATGCTGCCCATACTAAGGATTCTGGCATTATTGTCACCTGACACAAATGTGATGGTCAAGCCCTGTGCCACCTGGAAGGGGATAGAGGGTAGGATAGGACTAGAAGACCCAAAGAGGGAAGACTCCCAGAGGGAAGGATGAGGATGTAAAGTGTGAAAAGATACAGAAAGTAAGGAGGTGGGAGAGTGGGTGTCCCTCTGGGTGTGGGGCTTAACTGCTGCAGGTAGGTCTCAGAATCCTCATGCATGTCGTAGGTAAAGGCAATGCTCATCTGCTCCATGTCCATGGCTCAGCCAAATAAGTTGGTAGTCAACAAATTGATCTTATCTTTTGGGGTCATTCTCCAGCAAGTGCAGAACAGTAAAAAAATGTAGTCACCTGAGGTGCATATCTTGGCTTCCTGGCCAGTTTTCCCAAGGCCTCCACTGCCACCATGCACCCTGGGTGCCCTCCACACTCTCCAAGTGTCCAGATGTGTGTGAGGAGTTAAGGGCAGGAAGAACTATTGGATCGTGGATTTAGGTGCCTTTTTCCACCTCTGCAGGTGGCAAGGTGTGGATTCATAAGCTGGCATTGAAGTGAGCTCTGTCCTTTGTGAATAGTTGTTTGGTCACCCACAGTCATGGCTGAGCCCTGAGAATAAGAGAAACTTGTCTAGAAAAAGAAATTGTGCTGACTCTTAAATAAACATTTCTGGTCTGTGTTTTATTTCAAGTGTCTGGGAAGGGATAGAGTGTGAGGTTCAGGAGAGAAGGAGAGGTCTGTCTTGATGCTTTGACACAGCACCAAGAAATTTCCCCTCCTCCCCCACATCGCCCCGCCAGTTGTCAGTGAGGGACAGATTCACAGCAGTACTGAAAGGGCTGGGAAGAGATGGGGAGACATCTGGGGCCAATGTTCAGGGGTTGACCCTGTGGGAGGACACCTGCCTTCAGAGTTAGAGCCCACATGTGATGACGTAGAGCTGAAGGGTGATATCAGGGAGGTGATGGAGAGTGCTTTGGGGTTTCCTGATTATGAAGAGCAGAGGTCAGTCTGCTTCCTGGGTGAAGTGACTGCTGGGGAGATTGGATTGAATTAATGAAGAATAAATAAACGGGGAATGAGGATAAGCAAGCATCAGCATCTCCCACCATCAGTTCAGACTGAGGGGAGTTTGGATTGAATTAATGAAGAATAAATAAACAGGGAATGAGGATAAGCAAGCATCAGCATCTCCCGCCATCAGTTCAGACTGACTGGGGAGGTGGGATAGTTATTGACTCTGTTGCGTGGTTCCCCCTAACTTCCTGGTCTTGGGGCACAGATGGGTGGTGCTGTTCCTGGTCAGCGCAGCCTCAGCTCCACCCAGGTAAGGCAGTGGTGGCAGAGAGAGTTAGAGGAGCACCTGTGAAACCGACCAAGGCAGGGATGGGAGCCCTCTGTGCAGCAGGAGTGGATGCAGGACCTGCCTGGAAGCAAGAGGATGAGGGAACCTAGTTGGGTCCTGTTCCCTGCCTGCCTGTGTTCACAGGGTAACCAGTAAGGGAGCTGGGGTAGGGAATTCTTTCATAGGTTATCTAGCCAGAGATATGTTTATAGACATATTCTTTCATGTTTATATTCAGGTTTGTTGTCACATAGACATTTATCCATGCGTGTTTTATGTTTGTTACTTTAGAATGGCTCAGTCACAAAAGCTTAATCTCTTCATTCCTGCTGCCTCTCTACACACACATACACACACATTCACACACATGCTATGCAAACATGTCTACCTGTATCTACAAAGAGAGATGTTATTTTATTTTTAAATTTTTAAATTCGTATATATTTATGGGGCACAGGTGCAGTTTTGCTACATTGCTATATTGAGTTGTAGTAAAGTCAGGGCCTTCAGTGCATCCAGCACTGGAGACAGATACATTGACCCCAACAAGAAACTCCTCTACGATACACCCACTGCCAACCACTCTTACCCTTCTGGGTCTCTATTGTCTATCATTCCACACGCTGCTTTCATGCATATAAAGAGATATTAATCAGATATATCAGAGTGATAACTTGAATTTTACTGCACTATTCTTTCAGCTTCTTTGCACATTTGAAAATATGTACAATTATAAGTTGGAAGAATGAGGGAAAAAAAAGAGCGAGAGAGAGTGCTGAATCTGAATAGGCTAGGGGTTGGGTCTCACTAGGAACCATAATTGATCTCTGCCATTTTGAAAGTATGGCCCCCTGAGCTGCCTTCAGAGAGTCCTGGAGGGAAACCTGTTTTCACAGTAATACCAAGATGCCATTTGCCTGTTTCATTATGCTGACTTTTCCATTAATGCTGCAAATGCCAAGGTCGGTAACACACCCAGCACCTTAGCAGAACCAAGGCAGTGGCTCCAAACTGCAGTCCCATTTAAGAATGCCTTTGATGGAGCAGTAAAATATTTATGTTCATTAAATTTTGATCCTTGAGTACATGTCTTTAATATTCTTTGTGAGAAAATGGGAGATATGCAAAGAGAAGCAGGATAGTAGTCTTGAGAAAGGGCACTTGTGTAGACTCAGTTATGAGTTCAACCAGCAGATCTCCTTCACCCACTGAAAGACAATTGCATTATTTCCAGTTTATGGAAGTAATTATGAATAATTACTTCCAGGAGTATTATGAATAAAGCTGCAAGAGTATTTGTATACAGGTTTTTCATGAACATAAAGTTTTCCCTTGTTTGAAATAAGTGCCTAGGAGGGCAATTGCTAGTCATATGGTAAATTGCATGTTCAGTTTGAAGAAAACTGCAATATCCATTTCCAGAGTGGCTGTACCATTTTAAAATCCATTCCTACCAGCAATATGAATGATCCAGTTTCTCTGTAACCTTGCCAGCATCTGTTGCTACCTTTATTCTGTATTTCAGCCATTCTCATCACTGCAGTTTTAATTTGTATTTTCCTACTGGATAGTGATGTTGAGTGTCTTTTCATCTGCTTGTTAGCCTGGTGTTTATCCTCTTCAGTGAAACGTCTGTTCATGTCTTGCTCATTGCCTATTGTTTATTTGGATTTCATTTTTACTGTTGAGTTTTTACATTTCTTCATATATTGTGAATGCAAGTCTTTATTGAATATGTGGTTTGCAAATATCTTCTCTCATTCTGTAGCTTGTCTTTTTATGCTCTTCATAGGTCTCTCACAGAGCAACAGTTTTAATTTTGATAAGATCCAGTTTAGTAACTTTTTCTTTTACAGATCATACTTTTGGTGTTATGTGTAAGAACTCTTTGTCTAGTCTTAGTTCTGATGGCTTTTTGTTAAAAGATTTGTAATTTTAATTTTTTAATGTATTTGTTATTTATTTAAAAAAAAATCTTGCCTAGGCTGGCCTTGAACTCCTGGGCTCAAGGGATCCTCCCACCTCAGTCTCCTGAGTAGGTGAGAGTACAGGCCTGTGACACCACACCTGGCTCAATGTTTGTAATTTTAACTGTGTGTTTTACATTAAAGCCTGTGATTCATTTTGAGTTTTTTTTTTTTTTTTTTTTTTTTGTTTAAAGCGTGAGGTTTGGGCTCAGCCTATTTTTTTCCACTGTGGTTGTCCAGTTGCTCCAGCACCGTTTGTTGGGAAAGCTCTCCTTCCTTCATTGAATTGTGTTTGTGCTTTTGTAAATGTCAGTTGAGCATATTTGTGTGTTTTGCTCATTTTCAGTTGAGTTGCTCATCTTCTTACACATTGAGTTTAAGAACTTGCCACATTATTCTGGAAACATGTTCTTCAACACAAATGTAATTTGTGATAAATTGTGAAATATTTTCTCCCTGTCTATGGCTTGTCTTCTCATTCTCTCAATGTCTTTTGGAGCACTCAAGTTTTAAATTTTAACTAAGCCCAATTTCTCTCTCTCTTTTTTTTTTATTTGTAGATCATGCTTTTGGTATTTTATCTAAGAATCTTTTGCCTAACTACCCAAAGTAATAAAAATTTTCTCCTGTGTTTTCTTTTAGAAATTTTATAGTTTTAACTCATAAATTTTAGCTGTTTAGGTCTCTAATTTGTTTGAGCTGATATTTTATATGGTGTTAAATGTAACATTGTGTTACCTATGCAACTTCATTGAAAATCAATTGACAAAGAAAGTAAGAATATCTTTCTAGATTCTCACTTCTGTTCATTGATCTCTATGTCTCTCAGTTTCACACTGTCTGGATTATTGTAGTTTCATATGACATTCCATTTTTTTTTTTTTCAAATTTGTGTTGGCCCTTCTGCATCCTCTGCATTTTAATATACATTTTTAGGATTATTTTGTCAATTTTCTTTTCTTTTTTTCTTTTTTTTTTTTTTTTTTTGAGACGGAGTCTCGCTCTGTCACCCAGGCTGGAGTGCAGTGGCATGATCTCCGCTCACTGCAACCTCCGCCTACCGGGTTCATGCCATTTTTCTGCCTCAGCCTCCCGAGGAGCCCGCCACCACGCCCGGCTAGTTTTTTGTATTTTTAGTAGAGATGGGGTTTCACCGTGTTAGCCAGGATGGTCTGGATCTCCTGACCTCATGATCCGCCTGCCTCAGCCTCCCAAAGTGCTGGGATTACCAGCATAAGCCACCGCGCCCGGCCTATTTTGTCAATTTTCTATAAAATCCCTGCTGGGATTTTGATAGGGATTGTGTTGAACCTATAGATCTACTGGGGGAGAATTGCCATCTTAACAGTATTATCGAGCTTTCCAACTCGCATCTCTCCATTTATTTAGACCTTTAATTTCTCTGAGGAATGTTTTTTTATTTTCAGTGAACAAACACTGCTGTCTTCCTAAATTTATTCCTATTTCGCTCTTCTGGTAACTACTGTGATAGGAAAGTTGAGATTTTCATTGCTTCTATAGAGAAATATGTTAATAATTAATTTTTATATTGATTTGATATCCTATGGGCCCTTCTGGATTCATTTATTAGTGCTAGCCAGTTTTTATCTGCTTGTGAATTCTACAGACAGGGTCATGTTATCTGTGAATAGAATTGTATGTTTTCCTTTTTATCTGGATGCCTTTAATTTTTAATTTTCTGCCTTATTGCACTGGCTACAATCTCCAGTATAATATTAAATAAAAGTGGTGGGATTGGACATCCTTGCATTGATCCCCATCTTAGGAGAAAAGCATTCAGTCTTCAGTCTTTCTTCATTAAGTTTGATTTTAGCTGTGGGTTTTTTATAGATGCCCTTTATCAGAGTGAAGAAGGTCTCCTCCATTCCTATTTTGTTGAAACTTATGAACATGAGTGATGTTAACATTTTTGTCAACTGTTTCTTCTGCATCTTTTGAGATAATTATGTCTTTTTTTCCATCAATACAGTGCATTCCATGAATTGATTTTCAAATGTTAATCCAACCATATGTTCCTGGGATGAATCCCATTGGTCATGGAGTGTAATCCTTTTTTATGTGGCTTTGTATTATCTGCCAATGTTTGTTAAGGATGTTTTCATTTATGTTTATTGGTGACACTGGTGTATGGCACTCTTTTCCTGTGAGTCTTGCTGTGACTTTGATATGAGGGTAATGCCAGTTCTGTAAATGGGCTGGAAAGTCTTCCCTCCTCTCTTCTTGTCTGAAAGAGCTTTCAAAATATTTGATAGAATTCACCAGTGATGATATCTGGGCTTTGGCATTTCTTTTTGAGAAGGCTTTTCAATTTCTGACTTAGTTCACAGTTCTCTTCAGGTTTTCCAGTTAATTTGGGTCAGTTTTGGCAATTTCTATCTCTGCACGAATTGGTCCTTTTTATCTAAGTGGTCTAACTTATTGGCTTCAGGTTTTTCAGAGTATTCACTTATAGTGTTTTTTAACTTCCTAAGGGTCATTAGTGATAATCTCTTTTGTTCACAATTTTGGTAATTTATCTTATTTCTCATAATCTCTTTTTTCACTGTTGGTCAAGAAAACAGACAGAGGCAGCAGATGGAGATGTGACAGATTCTCTAGTGGGAAGGCTTTGATCATAATACCTGGCAAGCCAGAATGATGCCAGCAACCCCAAAGGAGCTGCCAATGGATCTTGACAGGAAAATCACTGACTCTGGATTGGGCTATGCTCAACCAGGGGTAGATGTCAAAGCTTCAAGGGCTATACAAGAACCAGAAAAGAAGAGGTTGCACCAATTTGGACTGCCGAGTCACACTTCTTTACACAAGAAAACACACTTTACAGCCTCAAACGGCCAACAATGCAGAGGGACATGTCCTCCTCAGGGGAAAATTTGATAGAAAATTGAAATGGTCAATTGAAACATTGTTTGTCTAAAAACTGCCAATCTAATTGTTGGGCAATATAAACATGAAGGACTGGCTTTTATATCTTCATGAATGTGCTCGCTGTCAACATGAGTGGGGCTGCAAGAATAACTCCACTAGGTAGCATCCTCTCTTTTACCTGATGGATCAGGACGATGCTGTTACGATGATACATACAATTCTTCTGAAGGGGAGAGGATGCTGGAATAAAGACTACACTTCACCTCAAATTTATTTTTTCATATGTTATGCCATAGTACCAGGAATAGGGATGTAAATAAAAGTGCCAGAAACAGGAATTATCCCTAAGCGAAAAACCATAACTATATTTTTACACCTTTATGTAAGAATTCTCAAGTATTCATTTCATCTGAAAAGTTAGGATTAACAGTAAGTAGAGTTATATAGCCTGGTGGTCTGATAGCCCCCACTAGTTCCTTACCTATATAACCTACCCTCTATGATCAAGACTAGACTGAGGGAAGACATGCTAGAATACTATTGCTGCCTGCAGTCTAGGCCAGCCCAGCAGACAAACCTAATGTCACTCCCAAACCTGGAAACGACTGATATAAAGGGACAGAGGGAGGAATAGTGGCTGAGGGTAAGTGAATAAATCAAAGGGTTATATAATGAGAAAAATTCAATATTAGCTTAACTCCTCAAAGGTGGTGTGAGCAAGAGAAGATATTGTCACTTAGGTCAATTATACTGGATGCCTAAAAGAGTGAAGCTGTATGTCCCTGAGACCATCCTTGTTTTTGGAACCTGGTAAGATTGAGTGTTGTCAGCAAAGCTGAGTGATTTCATTCTGGGAGACATATTCATACAAGAGGATGATAAACTGGCCTAATTTTGAATGAATGGATGAGACTCTGATAATATGCCAATACCTCTTTACTGTTACAATCCTTTTTCTTGTAAAAGATATGTGGTCAAAGAAAAGTGGGCAATCTGAGTTATCACAAAAACATTTAGTCTTTGTCCCTGGTTTCTCCTAAAAACCTTAGACTCTCTTGAGTGATAAGAGCGTCTTTAGAGTACTGATGAGAAGACTCTTGGCTGAGTGGATCCTGGATATCTTAAGAACGGTGGCTAGCTGCCAGAGACACATACCTGTGATGCGAGGGTTATCTTTTTCCATTTTGTGTTGCTATAAAGAAATGTCTGAGACTGACTAATTTATATAAACGAGGTTCATGTGGCTCAAGATTCTGATGTCTGGAAATGTTTGCGCATTTAGTGAGGGCCTCAGGCTGCTTCCACTCATGGCAGAAGACAAAAAGGGGAGCTGGTATATGCAGAGATCACATGGTAACAGAGGAACACAGAGAGTAGGAAGTTGCCAGGGTCTTTTTTACAACTAGCTCTCTTGGAAAATAATAGAGCAACAATTCATTCATTCCCGAGAGAGGGCAGTATCTCTCGATTCATAAAAGATTGGTCACCATGACCCAAATGGTGGCCATTAGGCCCCAAGTCCCACAGTGGGCGTTAGATTTTAACATGAGGTATCAGGGGATAAATGTTTATATCATTGCATCCCCTCCCTAGCCAGCCAAAGGTCATGTTCTTCTCACATTGCAAAATATAATAATCTACTCCCAATTGTCCCAAATGTGTTAGGTTGTTCCAGCATCAACTCAAAATTCTAGAGTCTCATCTGAGACTCAAGGTAAATTCTTATAGCTTTGAGCCTGTAAAATTTTTTAAAAAAATGTTATTTGCATCTAAAATATTAATAAAACAGTGGAAGAGACATTTCTTGTACATTTCCATTCCAAAAGGTATATAAATGGGCCAAAAGAAATGAATGCAGTTTCCTCATAAGATTGAAACTCATCATGGCAGACATTAAAACTTAAAGGTCTAAAAGAATCTCCTTTGACTCTATATTTTGAATCCAGAGCACAGTGGCTGGTGCAACTGCTGGGCTCCTAATGCCATTTGCAGCTCCACATTTATGGCTTTGCTGAACATAACCCATATAGCTGCTGTCATGGGAGAAAATTGAATGCCTATGGCTTTTCCAGGCTGAGGTTGCACATAGCCAGTGGCTCTACCATTTAGTAGTCCTGGCAGGGGTCCTGTTGCTGCAGCTCCGCTAAGAATTTTCCTGGGTATTAAATTTCCCCATTTAAATATCAGTTCCAGTTTCGGGTCATTTCTTTGCTCAAACATATGCACATAGGCTATTACAGGCAGCCAGACCAAATCCTGAATTCTATGCTACTGAGAAATTTCTTCCATCAGATACCCTTAATCATCACTCTCAAGTTTAAAGTTCCACAGATCCCTAGGGAGGTGGCACAATGCCTCCAAGAACTATCACAAGAACAGCATGAAAGAGATGATTCTAAACCATTCATGAATCATCCATCCTCATGAGCCAATCACGTCCCACCAAGCACCACCTCCAACATTAGGGATTACAAGTGAGCATGAGATTTGGGTGGGGACACAGATCCAAACAATATCAGGGGTCATGGTGGACATGAGGGTGGGCTGGTCTCTCCACTTCTCACATGTTACCAGGGACATAGACACATTCAGATGCCTTGGCAGAAAGAGAAAACAGAGGCCCTTGAAGTCTCAAAGTGGAGCCATGAACAAATCTTGCATCTCAGTCCCTCACAAGGCAGTCTTGGAAAGAAAATAGTCGTGAACAAATTCAAGTCAGTCATGGTAAGTGGTGACACTGAACAGCCCACCACACATTGAAAAATTCCAAATCAAAGACTCTCTAGAGCCTAGTTGTGTCCCATCTGCCCCAACTCCTCCTTCACTTCAGGCCCTCTAAGGTGTCACTTTTACAAGACTTGAGAGACACATCAGAGCCCTGGGTACTGTTCCTGTTTGGGGTGGAACAAAAACAAAGTCTGGTCAGAGCCCACAGGTGATGTGACTAAAGGAGGAATTGTGGGGTGGTGACCTCCCCCATGGGCTCCTGTCTACACTGTTCCAAGGATCTCAGGAATCACTCTCCCACCCCTACCACACTTACTTGAAGCCTGAGCATAGCTGACTCCTTTTCCATATGAGGAAAGAAAACAAACTGTGAGAGGCCAGGGAAGAGGCAGGGCCATGAGATCCTAGAGGAGTTTCCAGAACTGTGACTGCAGACCCAGGTCAGGATCAGAAAACCCGAGGGAAGAGGATGTGTTGAAGCTGAACCAAATGTCCTTTTGACATCTGTCCTCAGCAGGAACATTCTCCTGACTTGTGACTGCTGGGAGTCAGGTTCCCATGATCACAATCAAGGTGATAAATTTGTCCTTCAATTTCACAGGTGCTTTACAAAAGAGTGAGAGTTGACAGGGCATCTGAACAGGGTAAATGTGTGTGGAGATGGTGTCTCACAACTAGGCAGGAAATGAGCCAACTTCCATCTGGAGCTTGAAATCCACGAATGGAAGAAGAAATCTTGGAACTCACCCCTTTCCTACCTGGGGTCTTATTCTTCCACATCACAGCAGTGACCACAGCACCTAGAACAACCAGGACGGTAACGATGCCCATGATGAGGAATGTGGGCTGGGAAGATGGCCCTAAGAAAGGAGGGGAACGTGAGGGGTCCTGACCCCCAGGCCTCAGCCCTGACCCTGCTGAAGGCCTCCAGAAGGGCTCCTGTTTTCCCTGAGAAGAGACATGGCCCCTCATTCATCTCCTTAGCCCATCTCAGTGTGAGGGGCTCTGGCAGTGCCTCCTGCTGCACATGGCATGTGGATCTCTACTTGTCTCTAGAAGACAGCACCACAGCTGCCCACTTCTGGAAGGTTCTATACCCTGCAGGTCTGGTCCCCACAAGCTCTGCGTCCTAAATTTGGTCCTCCCCATCCCACAGTTGGGTCACTGTGATTTCCACATGGTAGAAGCCCGGGACCCAGCACCTCAGGGCGGCCTCATGGTCCGAGATGGGGTAGTGGATCACACATGCATTCTGGGATTCTGAAGGGAAGAGTAAGAAAATTGAGGCACTTTGCATTCCTCATGGGACACTCCAGCAGCACCCATGTGACCATCCTGAGAATGGATAGGACATCTGGGGTGGGGAAGGGAGCACAGAACCCAGACACCTCCTGGCCACAGGCACCTGGGATAATCTCCTATTCCTTGGAAAGTTAGTGTCTGAGGCGTTGAATAATTTAGAGTCTGCAGAGTGCCTGGGATTGCAGGCGCGCACCACCATGCCTGACTGGTTTTCGTATTTTTTTGGTGGAGACGGGGTTTCACTGTGTTGGCCAGGCTGGTCTCCAGCTCCTAACTGGGAGTGATCTGCCAGCCTTGGCCTCCTGAGGTGCCGGGATTGCAGACGGAGTCTCTCTCACTCAGTGCTCAATGTTGCCCAGGCTGGAGTGCAGTGGCGTGATCTCGGCTCGCTACAACCTCTGCCTCCCAGCTGCCTGCCTTGGCCTCCCAAAGTGCCAAGATCGCAGCCTCTGCCCGGCCGCCATCCGGTCTAGGAAGTGAGGAGCGTCTCTGCCCAGCCGCCCATCATCTGAGAGGTGGGGAGCGCCTCTGCCCCGCCGCCCTGTCTGGGATGTGAGGAGCCCCTCTGCCCAGCAGCCACCCCGTCTGGGAGGTAAGGAGCGTCTCTCCCCAGCCGCCCCGTCTGAGAGGTGAGGAGCCCCTCCGCCCAGCAGCCACCCCATCTGGCAAGTGAGGAGCGTCTCTGCCCGGCAGCCGCCCCGTCCAGGAGGGAGGTGGGGGGCAGCCCCCGCCCGGCCAGCCACCTCGTCCAGGAGGTGGGGGGCGCCTCTGCCCGGCCACCCCGTCTGGGAAGTGAGGAGCCCCTCTGCCCGGCCGCCACCCCGTCTGGGAGGTGTACCCAACAGCTCATTGAGAAGGGGCCATGATGACGATGGCGGTTTTGTCGAATAGAAAGGGGGGAAATGTGGGGAAAAGACAGAGAAATCAGATTGTTGCTGTGTCTGTGTAGAAAGAAGCAGACATAGGAGACTCCATTTTGTTCTGTACTAAGAAAAATTCTTCTGCCTTGGGATGCTGTTAATCTATAACCTTACCCGCAACCCCGTGCTCTCTGAAACATGTGCTGTGTCCACTCAGGGTTAAATGGATTAAGGGCGGTGCAAGATGTGCTTTGTTAAACAGATGCTTGAAGGCAAAAAAAAAAAAAAAAAAAAAAGAATGCCCAAAATGACAATTTTCTGACTCAAGCATCTACAAAAATATTTGCCTAATCAGGGTGCTTTGCAATTAGAAAAATGTGAGTCTCACATCTTTGTCTGTACAACTGGCTTAGCATCATGACAATGATTTGGTTTGATGTGGTAGGTGGAAATGGTTAAATTCAATCTAGGAACAAGATTTTTCAGTAACTGGCTATTCAGTGGGCATCCTGTGATCAGTTTAACATCTTTCACTGTGGCTTTTAATTAGATGTGGTAGAAGTGATTTGGACTCCAGTATGATTCTGAAAAACACTGTTATTTTGTGCTTCTAATGTTGCTTTAAAAGCAGCTCTTTCGTGTTTTCCATTCTTATTGCTATTTCATCACTAGTTATTCATTTATGTCTTTTCATTTAATTTATTTTGCTCAACAATGCTTTTTTTCTATTCTGTAAAAGTTTAATTCACTTGTATGTGTGGTAAAATGTGAGCAACATATCAAATTCTCAAATTCTTTGCAAGATACTATTGCCTTACCTATCAGATTGAACACTGTGTATCAGAAAATGTAGAGAGTTGCCAGCTAGCCAAGGATCAAATGACCTATTTGTAGCCAAGGCTGTTTTTCATGGCATCCTGGTCCTCTCACATGGCTCCTTAAAATTGGCTGTGGCTTGTTTTTTGTGGTTGTTTGTTTGTTTTGAGATGGAGTATGGCTCTGTCACCCAGGCTGGAGTGCGATGGCAGGATCTCAGCTCACTGCAACTTCTGCCTTCCAGGTTCAAGCGATTCTCCTGCATCAGCCTTCTGAGTAGCTTGGATTACAGACACGCACCAACACGCCCAGCTAATTTTTGTATTTTTAGTAAAGACGAGGTTTCACCATGTTGGTCAGGCTCGTCTCGAACTCCTGATCTCGTGATCCACAGGCCTCGACTTCCCAAAGTGCTAGGATCACAGAAGTGAGCCACCGTGCCCGGCCAGCTGTGGCTTTGTTTTACTACGAGTAGTTATCGCAAAGGATGCTTGTGATGAACTTTGGCATTTTCTTTTCTCTTTCATTTCCAAATAATCAATCAGGAATGGCACACAAGGTGCATTTTGAAAAATACCACTTTAAAGATTTGTGGGCCAGGAGTGGTGGCTCATGCCTGTAATCTCAGCAATTTGGTAGGCTGAAGTGGGTGGATCACCTGAGGTCAGGAGTTCCAGACCAACCTGGTCAACATGGTGAAGCCCGTCTCTACTAAAAATACAAAAATTAGCTGGGAGTGGTGGCATTTGCCTGCAATCCCAGCTGCTCAGGAGGCTGAGGCAGGAGAATCCCTTGAACCTGGGAGGCGGAGGTTGCAGTGAACTGAGATCATGCCACTGTACTCCAGCCTGGGCAACAAGAGCGAGACTCAAAATATATAAATAAATAAATAAATAAATAAAGTTTTATGATCAAGTAACTAACTACCTGGATATCCCCTCCTGGCATAAGAAACAGAACCTATGAAGCCACCCTAGGCTGTTGTCCAATCCTATCCCCTAAAAGGAACCTATGTCTTGAGTCTTGTATTTGCTATTCCTTGGCATTGTCACTGAAGATTTTTACAATAATACCCAAATCACAGTTTGACCTGTATTTTTTTAACTTCCCCATACAGAGAACTCACACTGTATGTATATTATGTGTTGGGGAGTTATCTCTGATGTGGGAGGGTGCTTATCCTTTTAATTTTTTTTTCTTTTTGAGATGGAGTTTCACTCTTGTTGCTCAGGCTGGAGTGTAGGGGCGGGATCTCAGCTCACTTGATCTCAGCTGCTTGGTTCAGCTCCATCTAGCATCTTTCCCCACACTGTCACCCCCAGCACCAGGGGACTGAGAGTTGATGACCTGGTACACCACCGCCTGGATCTGCTGCAGTGTCCTTTCCTGTCTAGTCCGCACTCAAAGCTGACCTCTTCCTATATTATACCCAGACAGTGGGCCAAACAATATACTTAGATGTGGAATGTGGTGTTGCCAGGACCCAGAGAAGCTCACCAAATAGTGTGCTTCCTTCCTTCTGTTGAGGATGCAAGATGCAAGTTTGTCTTTTACTTTGGAGGGGACAGCCCTGCATGCCCCTAACCACTGGACCCATAACACTTCACTGCAGTGGCCACTCTTGAAGCTCTGTAAGGTTAATCTTCACCTTCTGTAGTGCACACGTTTTGCCAAAGAATTCAGCGTACTTTCCTCCTCTTACTCATCCATCCCAATCTATGTGATATTGCCAATGAAATGAAGAGATTTAGTATTCTGTGAGATGTCTGATTTGTCCAGATCTCTTAAGGTGATATTTATAGAAGGTTGAGGAGTTAAAGTAGCCCTGAGGCAAGCTATCAATAAATGTATTATAAATCCCATGTGAATGTGAATCATTCCATATCCATTTTCTAAATGGAATGGGAAAGAATGCACTCACCAAATGCATGGCTGTTTGCCATGTGCCTGAGGCCTTATTAATCTCCCCAAGCAGTGATATCCAGCCAGCATGGCAGCTGCAATCAGGACTCCTACTTGGTCAAGTCTGGAGTAATTCCATTCATTCTTTATCAGGCTTCTTCAGGGACAGACTGCTGAATTATATGGAGATAATAGGCAATCCCAACACCACCCCCCATCCTTCAGCTCTCTAATGGCAGTGCCACCCCTACAATACCTGCAGTACCCTCCTGAAGTCCCACCTGGGGCGCAATATTGCTTCTGGCTTGGCTGGGATGAGGGAAGTTTTAGATGATTCCCTTTGGGCTTCAGCACAATGAAAGCCCTTACTCTCCAGACTAGGGATGTAGTATGGGGGTGACTCCCTTTGCCAGTGCATCAAGGCCAATTATGCATGTGGAGAATGGGGAGATAACCAGGACTGGGTTTATGAACCCAGTGGTCCCACAGTGGGCCATAATGTGTCCAGGTTTATTTCCTGGCCTCCTTAAGCCCCACTGTAGATTCTGAATCTGAAGCTTGGCTGAAGTCTAGGAATTGAGACTGGGATCATGACTTTGTATTTGATCAAACGCCCTCAGTCTCCTGCTCCTCAATTCTTGCATTCCCATCATAGATATGAAGCAGTGCCCTCGCTGGCTGCCCATCTGTTCTGACGCTGGGACACCACCTTTTACTAACCTTTCCCAAAACTCCATGAAGGTTGAGCCCCTTTGGCTGCTACTCTGGGTTCTCACAGTAACCGTGCCCTCTATCTTTTGCAGGTCACTGCAAAGGAGGGTTCCTAAAGCATTCACTCCTGATCCTGAGGGAGGTGGGTGCACTCACTCCAGGTCTCAGGTCCGCCACAGAAAAGCAAAAACTCCTCACATTCAAAACTGTCCTGGGCCACATTCAGCCTGCGAGCTACGGGTTAGACAAGCTAGCATCTAGAACATATGTACCACAACACCAGAAATTTTTCTGTTTTCACCTTAATGATGCTTTCTAAACGCAAAAGCAGTCATATCCCTAGCAGACAACAAATGTCAGTTGAATGAATGATCACTGTAGAGCACTTCTCTATTCTAAAGCCAATATCTTTGTTAAGGTAGCCTCAGGGCAAATGCTGTTTTGTGGCAGCTAAAGAACAACATCATCTCATGTGGACATCGATACCGCCAGTGCTTTTCTCACCAGGACTGCTTGTGTGTCCTCCCTCCCTCCCTCCCTCCCCCCACACCAACCCTCCTGCACACTGCAGCACACAACCATATTTTTCTCTTCAGGAAAGATAACCCTAGGCTTATGGGTACAATTTTCCAACCACGTATGAATCTAAATTAGACTCTGCTTTGTAAATCCATGAGTTTGGATTGGAGCCAGCACTAGGATTACTACAACTCAGGGCAGGAAGAAGAGTAGGAGAGCAGAAGAGGAGCTCCAACAGAAAGTTCACTATGATGAGAAACTATGGGACCCCTCCTCTCTGCAAATTTCAGAATCTGCTTCCTTTAAAAAGATTGGAGACAAGATGAAAACTACAATCCAGGAAAGAGTCCTGGGAGGAGGGCAAGAGCTGGACAGGTCTGAAAATTAGTCTCTTGATACCACAATGAGATTTGTATGCAGGGACCACCGTAGGTGACATCCAAGTCCCTGTGATCACAGGTGGTGGTGGGACAAGGTTCTACTGAAGGGCCAAGGAGAATGAAGGAGCAAAGATGACCCAGCTGAGCAGTGACCACATAAAGTCCATACTGGCCTGAGCACCCACTAGGCACAGCCCCATCTATTCTCCTCCCCTGCAACAAATCAGCACAAGAAACACATGGACTCTGGAAGGTTCTCATGTGTTCCATTTATTTTGTCTCTCAAATTTTAGGAATCTTCTCCTTTAATTAAGTCATCAACCTCTCATGGCAAGAATTTGAAAAAGTAAATGTTTACTCAGATTCTAATTTTAAGAGGGAAGTAAGAAGTTACAGCTCAGTGCACATAAAGTTGAGAAAAAGATGGAGACATCTCAGCCCCGCCTCTCTGGAACAGGAAAGATGATTGGGGAGGGAACACAGATCAGCGTGGGGAAGAGGGTCATGGTGGACATGAGGGTGGGTTGGTCTCCCCTCCTCCACACATTATGCCTACAGGAACACAGACACATTCAGGTGCCTTTGCAGAAAGTCAGGGTTCTTCAAGTCACAAAGGGAAGGTGTGAACAAATCTTGCCTCTCAGTCCCACACAAGGCAGCTGTCTCACACTATAGAAAAAATATTCATGAACAAATTCATATCTGTCCCAGTAATGGATGACACTTTGGCAGCCCATCGCATGCTCAAAACATCAAATTCAAAGAACCCCATAGCACAGCTGTGTCCACTGTTCCCCCCCAACACCCCCCACACATCAGGCCCCCCAAGGTCTCACCTTTCACGCCGTGAGAGACACATCAGAGCCCTGGGCACTGTTGCCGCCTGGAGTAGAATAAAAACAGGACCTGGTCAGATCCCACAGTAGATGTGGCTAGAGGAAGAATTGTGGGGTGGGTGAGCTCCCCCATGGGCTCCCAAACACAATATCCAAAGGATTTCAGGGATCAGCCTCCTTCATACTTACTTGCAGCCTGAGAGTAGCTCCCTCCTTTTCAATCTGTGGGAAGAAAATGTCCTGTGAGATGCCAGAAAGAAGCCAGGGCCATAAGGTCCTAGAGGAACCTCCAAGTCTTGGACCCCAGAGAAGTTTCCAGAAATGTGCAACTGCAGACCCAGGGCGGGATCAGGAAACATGAGGAAAGCAGATGTGGGTCCTGGACCAACCGCCCTTCTGAGGTCTGTCCTCGGGGACCTTCCCCTGTGACTTGTGACTGCTGGGATCAGGTCCCATCACCACAGTCATCAAGGTGATAAATCTGTCCCTCGTTGTAACAGGTGCTTTACAAAAGAGTAAGTGCTGGCACACAGGGCCCAGGCTGGGTAGGCCCATGAGTGTGGATGGTGCTTCCCAGTAACCAGGCAGGGCCCTTCTACCTGGGGCTTGGAACTCTCAGTGAGACAAGAAATCTCAGACCACACTCCTCACCCCTTCCTTACCTGAGCTCTTCTTCCTCCACATTACAGCAGTGACCACAGCTCCAGTGACCACAGCTACAAGTAGAACCAGGCCAGCAATGATGCCCACGATGGGGATGGTGGGCTGGGAAGATGGCTCTGGGAAAAGGGGGGAAGGTGAGGGACCCTGACCCTGCTAAAGCTCTCCAGAGAGGCTCCGGCTTTCCCTAAGGGACATGACACCCCCATCTCCCTCCTTACCCCATCTCAGGGTGAGGGGCTCGGGCAGACCCTCATGCTGCACATGGCAGGTGTATCTCTGCTCCTCTCCAGAAGGCACCACCACAGCCGCCCACTTCTGGAAGGTTCCATCCCCTGCAGGCCTGGTCTCCACGAGCTCCGTGTGTGGGTCTGGTCCTCCCCATCCCGCTGCCAGGTCAGTGTGATCTCCGCAGGGTAGAAGCCCAGGGCCCAGCACCTCAGGGTGGCCTCATGGTCAGAGATGGGGTAGTGGGTCATATGTGTCTTGGGGGGGTCTGACGGGAAGAGTCAGAAAATTCAGGCATTTTGCATCTGTCATGGGACACTCCACCAGCACGCATGTGGCCATCTTGAGAATGGACAGGACGCCTGGGGTGGGGAAGGGAGCACAGAACCCAGACAACAGCCTGGACACAGGCACCTGGGATAATCTCCTATTCCGTGGAAAACTCTAGTCCCTGAGGAGGGAACAGCGACTTCTGGTCCTGACCTGAGTGGAGGCTGAGGGACTCAGAAGAGCTGGACTCAGACCCCCACACACATTGAGTGTGAAGCAGAGAACAAGGCCTGAGAGGAAAAGTCACGGGGCCCAAGGCTGCTGCCAGTGTCAAAGAGAACCACTCATCAGTATTCCAGGGATTGTCTTCCCTTCATTTCCTCAGAGATTTCATCCCTTAATTGTGTCAGAGAGCACGGCGGACCCTCAGAGTCACTCTCTGGAAACCCAGGAGGATTCTTCTCCCTCAGGACCAGAGGGAGGGCGATATTATAGTGTTGGTCCCATTTGTCTCCCTTTCTTGTGGGAGGCCAGCCCCGGAGATCTACAGGCGATCCGGGAGGCGCCCTGTGGCCCCTGGTACCCGCGCGCTGCAGCGTCTCCTTCCCGTTCTCCAGGTATCTGCGGAGCCACTCCACGAACTCGCCCTCCAGGTAGGCTCTCAGCTGCTCCGCCCGACGGGCCGCCTCCCACTTGCGCTTGGTGATCTGAGCTGCCATGTCCGCCGCGGTCCAGGAGCGCAGGTCCTCGTTCAGAGCGATGTAATCCTTGCCGTCGTAGGCGTGCTGTTCATACCCGCGGAGGAAGCGCCCGTCGGGCCCCACGTCGCAGCCATACATCACCTGCATGGTGTGAGAACCTGGCCCCGCCCCCGCGGTCAGCCCGGTCCCCCGAGCCCCGCCCTGCCCCGACCAACCCGCGGGGATTTTGGCCTAAACTGAAAATGAAACCGGGTAAAGGCGCCTGGGCCTCTCCCAGGTCAAGGGTCTCGGGGTCCCGCGGTTTCGGGGAGGATCTCGGACCCAGAGACTCGAGGCGACCCGGCCCTCCGTGGGGGATGGGGAGGGGTCGTGACCTGCGTCCCGGGCCGGGGTCACTCACCGCCCTCGCTCTGGTTGTAGTAGCGGAGCGCGATCCGCAGGTTCTCTCGTTCAGTCCGTGCTTGGGCCTTGCAGATCTGTGTGTTCCGGTCCCAATACTCCGGCCCCTCCCGCTCCATCCACGGCGCCCGCGGCTCCTCTCTCGGACTCGCGTCGTCGCTGTCGAACCGCACGAACTGCGTATCGTCCACGTAGCCGACGGAGATGAAGCGGGGCTCCCCGCGGCCGGGCCGGGACATGGTGGTGTAGAAATACCTCATGGAGTGGGAGCCTGGGAGCGAGGAGGAGCTGAGACCCGCCCGACCCTCCTCCCTGCGCGGCTCCCTGGGTCCTGCGCCCCCGCCGGGCGGGCCCCTCGCTCCTCCCGACCATTTCCCTGCAGACCCTGCACTCACGCGCCCAGGTCTGGGTCAGGGCCCCTGAGAGCAGCAGGAGGAGGGTTCGGGGCGCCATGAGCACCATCCTCGGCGTCTGGGGAGAATCTGAGTCCCGGTGGGTGCGTGGGGACTTTAGAACCGGGACCGCGGCGGCACCGATTGGCTTCTCTAGAAACCCGACACCTAGTGGGAATGAGAACTGTGCCCGCTTCGTGAGTATCCAGGAAAAAGGACCCGTCGCAGGTTGTGAGAAGAAGAGAAACTGCGGAGGTGGCGAATCCCCAAGGCGGGGCCTCCCCAATCCATACACCGCCTTCGGGGCCTGAGACCCTGAGAGCCACGCCTGGGGCCCTGGGACTTCGCCCTGACCCCGCTCCTCCTGTGCCAAGCGCTCTGTCTCAGTGTTTCCCTGAGTCTTGGCCCAGGAGCTGTCTGAGAAACCAGGAAGAAACCCTCGGCATGGGCCCTGTCCCTCTCCCTTCACTTTTCATCCAGGAATCTCCGTCCCTGAACTGGACTCCCTGTCCATCTGGACTCTTCTAGAAGAAAAGTCACCCACGGAGTTTGGTGACAGAGAGTGAGCTTGCTTTGGGAATGGAGGTGTAGAAACTGTTTTTTGTTTTCCTTTTTTTTTTTTTTTTATTGGGAAAAGTTGTGTCTGAGTGCATGAGACAGAATAGAGACCAGTTTATTTATTTATTTGTTTATTAAATACATTGGATAGCAGAACCTTGGTAACCCCTGAATGATCAGGAATCTAATAGGTAAAAAATGTGACTTTGGCCCCATGATGTATAAATGTGCCCAAAAGCGTTACAACAGGACTCACAAAGCTTCTAAGTTTCACTTTTGCAGTGTACCTGTGACTCCCGCTTGTCATATTTTAAATTTGCCATCATTCCATAGCTCTGAGTTTCTGTGTGAGTCCAGGATATCTCCTCAATACAAAGTAGCACACTGTGTACTTTGCAACCAGGTACGTTGCAACCAGGAGTCAGTACAGGCTTTATTCACCTCAAAGTTGCAACTGTTCAGTGTAGTCACAATGCCCCTCACTAGTGCTCATGCACTGCCTGTTTTTAGGAAGTATCCGCTGCTAAGTGTTGTGTATATTTTATAGGAACACTTAGTAATTTTTAAACCTGATTAACATTAAAAAATTAGTTTTTAGGCAGACCCACATGAGGTATTAAAGACCAACTGCCAAGGACACCCTGCTAGGCTCTGTAGATGGATGTATTAAAATCCATAAAACAATGTATTTAAACCTAAGAATTCTGCTGCTTTCGAATTCTTTCCTCTGCTCCTTTTCTTCACCTCCTGCTTCTCCAGCCCTTCTCTCCGTCCTTTTCATCCTTCAGGCCCTCCTGTCCCCTTAGTCCCCACCACACTGTCACTTGTGAGTTGTGACACTAGCACTGTCCCATGACCTGTTACGTGACTGTTCTTTTCACAGTGGTCCTGCTCCTGGGAGTCGGAGTGTGTCATCTCTCCACTTAAAACACTCCAGTGTCTCCACCTCGGTCTTGAGAAACTTCTGGAGTGTCAGGCACGTGAGCATATGAGGGGATATCTGGTTTATCGTAGGGACTAAATTAATTTTTGTCGACTGAATGAATGAAATATGAGTGTATTAAATTGCATTACAGATAATTATAAAGTGCAAAACACGGAAAAAGTTCAGAAAATTTTTATTTTATGTAACTAGTGTGCATATCAATTCATCAATTCATTCGTGCACTACCATGCCTGGCGAAACAACACCCATTTATCTGCTTATAGTTCCTTGATCAGAAATCTGGGCAAAATTGTGGATGGAATCTCTCTTCTGGGCTTCCAAAAGCTGTGTTTTCATTTTGAATCCTCCTTCAGGCTTATACAGAGGTGGCAGAATGCAGTTTCTGGCAGTTGTAAGACTGAGGTCCCTGTTCCTTGCTGGCTGTCAATGTAGAGAACAGGGAGGGCTGTGCTCGATTCCTGGTCCTCACCAGCATTCTTTCCTACACAGCCCCTTCATTTTTTATTTTATTTATTTATTTTTTGGAGATGGAGTCTTGCTCTGTAGCCCAGGCTTGGGTGCAGTGGCCGGATCTCGGCTCACTGCCAGCTATGGCTCCCAGGTTCACGCCATTCTCCTGTCTCAGCCTCCCAAGCAGCTGGGACTACAGGCACCCGCCACTACGCTTGGCTAATTTTTTTTTTTTTTTTTTTTTTGTATTCTTAGTAGAGACAGGGTTTCACCATGTTAGCCAGGATGGTCTCGATCTCCTGACCTCATGATCCGCCCGCCTCAGCCTCCCAAAGTGCTGGGATTACAGGCGTGAGGCACCGCACCTGGCCCACAGCCCTTTCATTTTCAAAGCCCATGCTGGAGGAAACCCCTCATGCTGAGTCCCTCTCACACTGTGAGTCTCTATGCTCAGGAAGAACCCAGTCCTTTCAAGGTCTCACCTGATTAGGACAGTCCAAGCAGGATAAACCCAGCCTAAAGTCAACTAATTGAGACCCTTAATTATATCCACTAACTCCCTTCACAGCAGCACCTACATTAGAGTTGATTGAATAACTGGAGGATGGTGAATGACCAGGAGCTGGTTGTTGAGGGCATAATAGAATCAGCCTAGCAAGGGTTGGATCTTCCTTTTGTGTTTACTTCGGACACAGTTGGAAATTGAAGTTCAAGTAAAGTGATCATTGTGAATGGTCATAAAATACATCCTCTTCAGCCATGGAAATTCTCCTTACCTTTTAAAACTAAGTTACATGTTTAATATCTTATAATTAATTTACGCCAGGTATGGTGGCTCACGCCTGCCATCCTAGCACTGTGGAAGGCAGAGGAAGGCAGATTTGTTGACTCCAGAAGTTCAAGATCAGCCTGGGCAAAACCCCCATCTATACAAAAAATTAGAAAATTAGCCAGGCATAGTAGTTCATGATGGTAGTCCCAGCTACTCAGGAGGCTGAGATCAGTGGGTCCCTTGAACCCAGGAGGTCGACACTGCAGTGCATGGTGATCATGCCACTGCACTCCAGCCTGGGTGACAGAGCGAGACTGTGTCTCAAAAATAATAATGATGACGATGATACATTTAAAGCAAATGCAATTTAATGTGTAATAATACATCCTCTCTTGTGAAAATGTGTTATTTATTTACTATTGCATAACAAATTATGTAAAACTTAGCTTAAAACAACAAATATTCCTCATCTGCCACAGTTTCCAATGGTCAGGAGTCCAGGAGAGGTTTCCCTGAGTGCTTCTTGCTCGGGGCCTCTCACAAGGTTGCAGTCCAATTGTCAGCCAAGGGCTGCATCATCTGAGGGCTTCACTGGGGCTGAGGATTCACATGAAACATGGATCAGTCACATGGCTGTTGGAAAAGGCCTAGTTCTTTGTTGTCTGGTCCCGGAAGGCCTCAGTTCTCAGCCACATGGACCTTCCTGCAGGGCTGCTTGTGGCACAGCAGCTGGCTTCCCCCAGAGCTCATGATCCCAGAGACAGAGAGAGAGAAGGTGGAAGCCGCAGTGAGTTTTAGGTTCTACACCCAGAGTTACAAACCATTATGTCAGCATTATTCTATAAGTTAGAAGTTATATTAGTCCATTCTCACACTGCTATGAAGAAGTACCTGAGACTGGGTAATTTATAAAGGAAAGAGGTTTAATTGACTCACAGTTCTGCATGGCTGAGGAGCCTGCCCCAGGAAACTTACAGTCATGGCAGAAGTGGAAGCAAACACATCCTTCTTCACATGATGACAGGAGAGAGAAGTGCAGAATGAAGCAGGGAAAAGCCCCTTATAAAACCATCAGATCTCATGAGAATTCCCTCAGTATCACGAGAACAGCATGGGGGCACCACCCCCATTATCCAATCACCTCCCATGTGGTCCCTCCCCCAATAGGTAGCGATTACAATTCGCATAACAATTCAAGATGAGATTTGGGTGGGAACACAGAACCAGGCCATATCAGAAGTGCCTCATTAAGTCCAAGCCACACTCAGGAGAGGGAATTAAGATGCACCTCTGGAAGGGAACAGTATCAAATGTTTTGAATATATGTTAAAAGCAAAATTATAACTATTGTTTCAGGTTTTTGAAAATCAAAGACTTCTTTTATCTAATTATTTTTCATTAACTCTTTCAGCTTGTCTTTTTCTTTAAGCTTGTCTTTTAATTTAATTTTTTTTAAGTTCCAGGGTACACGTGCAGGATGTGCAGGTTTGTTACATAGGTAAACATGTGCCATGTTGGTTTGCTGCACCTGTCAACTCATCACCTAGGTATTAACCCTGGCATGCATTAGCTATTTTTGCTAATGATCCTCCCACCACCACCCTGCCCCAATAGGCCCCAGTGTGTGTTGTTCCTCTCCCTGTGTCCATGTGTTCTCATTACTCAGTTCCCAATTATAAATGAGAACATGTGGTGTTTGGTTTTCCGTTCCTGTGTGAGTTTGCTGAGGATAATGGCTTCCAGCTTCATCCATATCCCTGCAAAGGACTTGATCTCCTTCCTTTTTATGGCTGCATAATATTCCATGGTGTATATGTACCACATTTTCTTTATCCAGTTCATCATTGATGGGCATTTGGGTTGATTCCATGTGTTTGCTATTGTGAATAGTGCTGCCATGAATGTAAACATGCATGTATCTTTATAATAGAATGATTTGTATTCCTTTGGGTATATACCCTGTAATGCGATTGCTGGATCAAATGGTATTTCTGATTCTAAATCTCTGAGGAATCACCACACTGTCACTGTCTTCCACAATGGATTAACCGATTGACTTTTCCACCAACAGTGTAAAAGCATTCCTATTTCTCTGCAACCTCGCCAGCATCTGTTGTTTCTTGACTTTTTAATAATTGCCATTCTGACTGACATGAGATGGTATCTCATTTGTGGTTTTGATTTGCATTTCTCTAATGATCAGCGATGTTGAGCTTTTTTTCATATTTTTGTTGGCCACATGTATGTCTTCTTTAGAAGTGTCTGTTCAAGTTCTTTGTCTACTTTTTAATGAAGTTTTTTTTTCATGTAAATTTGCTTAAGTTCTTTGTGGATTCTGAATACTAGACTTTTGTCAGATGGATAGACTGCAAAATTTTTCTCCCATTCTGTAGGATGTCTGTTCACTGTGATTGATGATAGTTTCTTTTGCTGTGCAGAAAAAAATGCCTATCAAATTGCTTTTCATTTACAAAAATGTGAATCTCATACTTCAGTAAACTTTATTTTACTTTAGTAAAAATTATTAGCATGATGCCAATAATTTTGGCTTGATGCTGTAGCCGGAAATGGTTAGTTCTAATTGAGAAACAAGTTTTTTTCAAAAACTGGCTATTTGATGGGCATTCTATAATAAACTTAACATCTTTTGTTGTGGTATTGAATGAGATGTGATAGAAGTGATTTGGACACCACTATGATTCTAAATAGTGCTGCTATTACATGCTTCTGAATTTTTTTTTCTTTTTAGCAGTCCTATTCTGTTTTCCATTCATATTTGCTATTCCATCACTGGGTATTCCTCCCTACTCTTTTCATGTTTCATTTATTTTGATCAATGATGTGCATTTCCAATCTGTAAAAGTTTATTTCAGTTTAATGTGTGGTAAAATGTAACATCAAATCTTTGGAAGATGAAATTATCTTGCACAGCAGATTGAACATTGTATCATTGAAAATCTAGAGAGATGCCAGGGAGCCAAGGATCAAATGACCTATTTGTAGCCAATGCCATTTTCATGGCATCCTGGTCCTCTCTGTCACATGGCTCCTTACAATTCTCTGTGGTTTTCTTCCAATGTAAGTAGTTCTTGTTAAGAATCTTTGCAATGAACTTTGAAATTCTTTTCTTTTTCATTTCTATAAAAAACAGGTATATTTTAATTTGGAAAACTCTGTTTAAGGAATTATAATCAAGTATCTACCAGGGTGCCCAGCACTGGTGTAAAACACAAACCTGTAAAGCTACCCTGGGCTGCTACCCAGTCACCCCATAGAAGGAGACCGTTGGGAGCAAGTCCCCCAAAATCTGGCCATAAACTGGCCCCAAGACTGGCCATAAACAAAATCTCTGCAGCACCGTAACATGTTCATAATGGCCCTAATGTCCAAGCTGGAAGGTTGCGGGTTTACAAGAATGAGGGAAAGGAACACCTGGCCTGTCCAGGGCGGAAAACCGCTTAAAGGCATTCTTAAGCCACAAACAATAGCATGAGCGATCTGTGTCTTAAGGGTGTGTTCCTGCTGCAGTTAACTAGCCCAACCTATTCCTTTAATTCGGCCCATCCCTTTGCTTCCTATAAGGGATACTTTTAGTTAATTTAATACCTATAGAAACAACACTAATGACCGGTTTGCTGTTAATAAATATGTGGGTAAATATCTGTTTGGGGATCTCAGCTCTGAAGACTGTGAGACCCCCGATTTCCCACTTCACACCTCTATATTTCTGTGTGTGTGTCTTTAAGTCCTCTAGCACCACTGGGTTAGGGTCTTCCTGACCGAGCTGGTCTCGGCAGGAGACTCCATCCTGAGTCTTCTGATACGTATTCCTTTGTATTCCTTCAAAGATTTGTGCAATAAGTATATCTATATCTCCCCAAAACAAACCTCAGTTAGTTTTGCTGGTTTTTAAGCTTCCTGTACAGCAAATTCCTACTGCATGTATTTTCCCATGATACACATTATGTGTAGGAGTTATCTGTGGTGTGGGAGGCTGTCATTCATTCATTTTTACGGCTGAAGGCTTACATATCGTTTTACCACAATTTCACCAGTTTCCTATTGATGTACATGTGGCCGATTCCAGTTTTTGCCATAAATATTAGTGTGCATGTCTCCTGTGCACATAGGCAAGAAAGCCCCAAAGCCCCCAGAGTGGATGATTAGGAATGGGTTGGTTGCATGATACATTGTATGGACTTTAACCATACTAGATAATGATAATATGATTTCCAAAGTAATTGTGGCTACTTAAACTTTTACAATAAATGTGTAATACTTGATGTTGATGATGTGTTCTGAAAACACTGAGTTGAAGGAATTGTGTTAAAAGTCACCGTCTTGGTGGTAGAATTATAGCAAGCATTTTTATTCTGTTAATAACTTCCTGTTGTTTACTTGTTTCTCATATAAAAGACATTATGCTTTTGACATATAGATTCAGAAAATGCTTACTTACAGCCCAATCACATAGGGTTATTTTATATTTTAGGAAAATTTTATAATAAAAAGGAAAAAATGGAGGAAGGGAGGGAAAGAAGGAGGAATGGAGGAAAAAGTGAAAGAAGAAAAGAAGGAAGGGGAAGGGGAAGGAAAGGGAGCAAGAAGGAGGGAAGGTGATAGGTTGAATGGAAATAGAGAAGAAAGAGAGGGAGGGAGGGTTAGAAGGAAGGAGAAAGGGAAGGAAGAGGCCAGGTGTGGTGGCTCATGCCTGCAATCCCAGCACTTTGGGAGGCTGAGGCAGGCAGATCATGAGGTCAGGAGATAGAGACCTTCCTGGCTAACATGGTGAAACCCCGTCTCTACTAAAAATACAAAAAAATTAGCTGGGCGTGGTGGCAGGTGCCTGTAGTCCCAGCTACTTGGGAAGCTGAATCAGGAGAATGGCATGAACCCAGGAGGCAGAGCTTGCAGTGAGCTGAGATTGAGCCACTGCACTTTAGCCTGGGCAAGAGTGAGACTCCATCTCAAAAAAAAAAAAAAAAAAAGGGAAGGAATAAAGGAGAAAAGAAACTAAAATAAAGAAAAGAATAGGTGTTGAGAAACTAGAAACCCTATGTGTGGCTAATATTATCAAAATAGGAGAAAATAAAAGAGATGTAGTTAACTTCTATAGAATAATGGAAATGTAAGAGGGCTTCATTAGTTATCCATTGCTGTGTAACAAACTACCCCCAAATTTAGTGATTAAACAATAAACATTGAGGAACTCAAAAGCATAATACAAATACCAGCAAAATGGAGCCAATGCAGGTAGAAGTTGAATAAACAAAAAGATTTTACACATTGGAATAAGTAAGAGATCACTAGTGGGCAGATGAAAATGATTTTATAGTCCAAATGCTCCAAAAAGCAAGTTCCATCATGGGATTAAAGTTATAGCATTTTATTAGGGGACACACCTGTCAGGTGATATGGCAAGGGAGGTAGGTTACCCTGGGAAAGGCAACAAGATGCAAAGGTGATCCCCAGTGATGGACAGAAGGAGACAAGGTTTACTGGATGTGCCATAGACCACAGGCAATCTAAGGAGAGTTAAGCAAGGCCATGGAGGAGTCCTTGAGCTACAGTTGGCCATCAGAGGAGTCCCTGGTCTCCCAGGAATGTCCTGCTTTCGTGTCACTGGTGTGATCTGTCACTGGTTGGGAACAGCCCATTGGAAGCAGGACCTCAGCACCAATGCTACTGAGGATGTCAGAGCACAGGTGCAGGGCCTTGGGAGATTACCGAGCATTACTCAAACCTTCTGCCCTGACGGGTCTGGGTCCTTGGAAATCAAGCTGTCTCAGGCTGAATTGCTGGATGATTCTGCTCACACTTACAATGAGGTAAGGGAAACCAGAAGGCCCCCAGGTGGATCTCTGGTTTCCACACACACTTCCGCCCTCATTGTGTGAAAGTAGCCATGCCTTCTCCTGAAGATGAGGATCTATTACCTGGGCCTGGAGAGGAGGAGAATCCTCTTTTCACCAGGTGGTCTCTGGGCACAAACTATCAAAACTTCTCTCGTGACAACCATAATGTGTAGTTCAGTGGGCTGTCTTTTGTCTCCTTTTAAGGGTACCCTCCTTGGAAACCAGGACCTCGTACCCTGCACAGCCCAGTGTTGGAAGATAAAACGTGCAAAATACCCCATTGAGTGAATCTAAGGGATTGGACGTGGAGCCAAACCTGCTTCCATCTTTTGATCCCTGGACACACATGTTCTTCCTATTGAGAACACAGCACTCTAGAGACATCTCTGATTCAAACAATGCACCGTGTCCTAAAAGATGGCACCCACCTCTCAGAGTGCTTCCTCCAGGCTGGCACTGAGTTTTGCCTGTAGAAGACCTGTCCAGCATTCCTTGTGGCTGGCAGCCTCTGGATGGTGCAGATGGTGATAGGATTAGTGGAACCCACAGCCATGGAAACACTGAAACTTTCCCAGCCAAGTGGGTCCTTCAGGCAGATAATGGGCTAGGAGCACCGCCTAGCCTGCAGATCAGGAATGTCAACAGCACCCGGAGAGGTGCTGGCTGAGTTTCTGAGAGCAGGACATGAAAACACCCATGGAATAGGAGCCTATCCCTGTGAAGATGAACCTCTGGCCCTTCCAGGATGGAAGTAGCTAAATGTAGTCAACTTGTTACTTAGTGGCTAGTCACCTAAAGAAATAGTGCCCCACTGGGGCACATCATGGGCCTCAATTGCTAATGAGTTGGACATTCAGAGGTGTCGGCAGCTGGATCTGCCTTGGTAGGGGGGAGTCAGTGCTGTTGGCCCCATACGTAGCCTCATGCCTGCCACTGTGGTTGCTCCATTCATGAACTCATCCTACCAAACCAGGGCTGACCCATGGTGAAGGCTGGCTAACTTCCATTTGTCTGTTTGGTTGTTCAGTGCCACTTCAGACTTGGGTATTTTCTCTGGGTGTAAACATGGGATTCAAGCTCAACCCAGGTGGACCATTTTCACCTCATGATGGATGCTGTTGGGCCTGTCTAATCTATGACTCTGTGGGTCACACAGGCACTCGGAACCACATAGTTGCTTGGTGTCCTGTGGTCAAGCATTCTGTCTAATCAGGACAAGGGACACTAAAAGTTGCTTCTAATAGGTGGCATATGTCTCTGCTGTGAATGACATGACCTTACTCCAGAATCCCAGGCCTTTCACTGTGACTTTCCCACTGGTGCTTGGTTCAGCTCCATCCTGCATCTTTCCCTACCAATGGCATCACCAGCACCAGGGGGTCTGAGAGATGGTGGCTGCTCGCACCATGGCCTGGATCTGCTGCAGGGTCCTTTTCTGTGTGGGCCCTACTTGAAGCTGGCCTCCTCCTATGTCACCTAGAGTGTGGGCCAAAGCAACATACCTAGATGTGGAAAGTGGTGTTGTCAGAACTGGAAGAGGCTCATCAGGCAGTGTGCTTCCTTCTTTCTGGTGAGGATGCAAGATGAAACAGTTTGTCTGTTACCTTGGAGGGGACACACCTGCATTCCCCTAAACACTTGGCCATTGTTCACCCATAAAACTTTACTTCAATGCCCACTATCTTTTTCTTTTTGAGATGGAATTTTGCTCTTGTTGCCCACTCTGGAGTGCAATGGCACGATCTTGGCTCACTGCAATCTCTGCCTCCTGGGTTCAAGTGATTCTCCTGCCTCAGCCTCCCAAGTAGCTGGGATTACCAGCATGGGCCACCATGCCTGGATAATTTTGTATTTTTAGTAGAGACGGGGTTTCTCCGTGTTGGTCAGGCTAGTCTCCAACTCCCAACCTCAGGTGATCCACCCACCTCAGCCTTCCAAAGTGCTGGGATTACAGGCGTGAGCCACTGCACCTGGCCGAGTGGCCACTCTGGAAGCTTTGTAAGGTTTATCTTCACCTTCTGGAGTGCCCGTGTTTTGCCAAGCACTACAGTGCACTTTCTACCTGCTGCTCATCCAGCCAGGTCAACAGGAAGTTGTCAATGATATGAGCTGATTTAATATCCTATTGGATATCCAGTATGTTTAGTATAGTCTTAAGACTATACTATAGAGGTCAGGGGAGTTACAATAGCCCTGAGACAAATGATAAATCAATGTTTTGAGGATCCCACATGAATGTGAATCACTCCATATCCACTTTCTAATTGGAGTGGAAAGAAATGCAGTCACCAAATCCACAGCTGCATGCTCTGTGTCCAAGGGTTTATTAATCTGCTCTACCAGTGATATCCAGACAGCACAAAAGCTGCAATTATAACTCCTACTTGGCCAGACCTGGAGTAATCTAGTTCATTCTTTAGGCTTCATCAGGCTTCTTCAGGGACAGGTTGCTGGATTACGTAGAGACAATAGACAGCCCCAACACCATCCCACATCCTTCAGCTCTGTAATGGTGATGTGATCCCCACAATACTTGAAGTATCTTACACAAGACCCACCCTGGGACACACTATGATTTTTGATTTGGCCAGGATGGGGGCAGTGTCAGAGGTTTCCCTTTGGCTTTCAGCACAATGAAAGTCCTTACTCCACAGACTAGGGACCCAGGGTGGGGGTAACTCCACTTAGCAGTGCATCAGTGTCAATTATGCACTCAGGGTATAGGAAGATAACCAGGGCTGGGTCTATGGATCCAGTAGTTCCATTGTGGGCCATAATGTGTCCAGGTTTACTCCCTGAGCTCCATAAGCCCCACTGTGATGAGAGACATGATAGTGCTGTGGGCATCTGAGCATCAATGTCAGTTCACACCCAGTGTCAATAATCTCCCCAGTTCTGCCTGTTTCCTTTCCCCAGTGTACAATCTCCTGAGTAAATGGCTATATGGTCCTTTGCCGAAGGACTGAGGGAATTGTCCCAGCATATACTTCCACGGGGTTGCAGAGTATTCCGCCTAGAGATATGGACTCTTCCTCTGTCACTGAGATCTGAATCTGCATCTTGGCTGAGGTCTAGGCATTGAGGATGGGATCATGATTTTGTATTGAGTCAAACACCTTCACCCTCCTGCTTCTCAATTCTTGCTTTCTTATCATAGATATCAACCAGCTGCCTGTCCTAACCCTGGGACACCACCCTCTATTATACTTCCCCACATTCCCTGCAGCTTGAGTCCTCTTGGCTTCTCCTCCGAGGTTGCCATAGTAACCGTGCCCTCTGGCTTTTGCAAGTCACTGCCACCACTTGGTCTTTGTCTCTTCAGGGCCACACTCTCCCCAGTGATATTAGAAATGAAACTCTGGGACTATCTTTACTACCATCACCCCCAGCCTACAAAGGACAATACCCTGACACTTCTTAGTGATGCAGGTCCCTCTCACCATCAAGTTCCTGAGGCTCTGGTGGAAGGTGTGTCCTCTGGGCCCTCTTGTAGAGCATGGTTTTGGTAGGCCTTCACCAAGCCCACTCCCCTCAGCTTGTTATTCCATCCTCTACATGTTCCAGGGCAACTAAGACATGTCTACCTTGTTGAGAGTTGGGCATGTTTTTTTCTAGACTATGTGGATACACCCCAGCAGTGGGTTTACTCCACTTATCAAAGTCCTGGAGTGTTTGATAAATCCATGCCCTGAGAAAGTGTCTTCAAGCCAAAGGATTATATTCATCCAGCCTGAAATTCTGGTTCCTTGATCAAACACCCTCAAATTCCAATCCCAGAAGTAGTCCCTGGGCTCCTATGGGGACGTGCTGGCTAGTTCCTGCAAACCTCCTGAGTGGGATTCCCGCGGCATCATAGGGGTGAGGATTGTGTAGCATCTTCCAGCAGTGAAAGTGGGAACCATTACTAGAGAAGGGTGAGCCTCCTCTGCATGCCCAGAAGATCCTGGAGGGCATGCATCGCATAATCCTGTTCCAGTTTGCAGAATCTCAGGTTTCCCCACCAAAGCCCTGACTTTCCTGTAACAGGCCTGCCTTGGCTGAGTGTCAAACATCTCTGGAGCACTGTGGCCCTCATAGTGATGTAGAGCTAACATTCCTTGCTATCTGCCCTTTTGCTACAGGAGATAAAGACCTGTCCATGAGACACTGCCGAGGGTGTCAAATGTAGCCAGTCATAGCTGTCAACAATCCGCAGATTCTCATTATCTTTTTACACAGCATCGATGCAGCTGAGAAGTAACTAGCCAAAGCCACTGTCTTTGTAGGTTTCTTCCAACCCTGTCCTTATTATGCAGGGCATTCTATCACTGCATGTGCCATAGCACTCCCTAACCAAGGCAACTTCTCAGCTCAGCACTGGTGAGACCCCCAGCTGCTCAGCTGCACCTTGTGCCATGGACTTTCTGTGTCTGCCACCAACCCGGGTGGCATCCTCTAGGCCTGCCAGGCAGTGGGAAGCTTATTTCAAATTCCCATTTTTGCCTGTTTTCATGGATGACCCTTCATGCCACTTGTGTTAGTTAGGGTCCCCTGAGAAGCGGACCCCAATACAGTAGTAAACATGTAAGGATTTATTAGAGGAAATACTTGTGAGAGAAATTCATGAGATAGAAAATGCTGGGAAAGCCACTGGACCACAAAGCAACTCTGAGCCTCAGTGATGTAGAGAGTGCAGGAAGGTCAGCTGGAAGCATCCTAGACCCTGTGCAGGCTAAGGGAAGTTCAGTAAGGGTGGCAGGGAGCCCTGGAGCTTCAGTCAGCCTTCAGAAGAGGAATGTCCTGCCTTAGTTTCTGCCCTACTTTCCTCAATCATTGGCTGGAAAAAGCCAGGGGTGGGCATAGTCTCAGAGCAAATGTGGCAATAGATTTCAGACTTCAAGAGCTGGGGCCATCATCAATTCTGCTTCTTCTAGATGAGGGGCTGGGATGTGCATTCTCATGACTGCCACAATGATCCAGTGGGGAGAGAGGAAAAAGGTTGACAATAAAGATAAAAATGGTATTAATTGATGAACTGACACCTTTAAGTAGATGATAAGGGATGGCAATTGGGGCACCAGAAGAGGGTCTGGCTCTGGCTGGGAGCAGAAGGGTTAACCCACAACAGTCCCTCACATGGTAAAACGCCTGACATGTGGTGCAGCTGCAAATGCATGAGCAGACAGTGGTGGAATCTGTGAAGTTGTCTTCTAATGTGTTCAGTTTTCTCAGTGAAGTGGGAAGCAAGGTCATCAGCTGAAGTAAGAATGGGGAAGGCAGGTTGGATGTGTGAGCACAAAGAAAAGGTGTGTAAGAGTCACCCAGGCCAGGAGGAGGCTGAGGGTGAGCCATGCAGGGAGAGGGTGATTGCTGGCCATGGTAGGGACTTCCTATGTGGTTTGGAATCCTAAATTTTAAGAGACCAGTCAGCGTACTGTGTGCTGCTCTCCAGCCTCCTGCAGCTCATGGGGGCAGGCTCAGCATAGGCAGAGGTGGAACCCACCAGCTGTGTAGTTTTGCCAGGTGAGTGTGACAATTCAAGGGAGAGGGAAGGGAGGGATGGAAATTATTTACCATAGAATTCAAAATGGGTGAGGAGGGAGGACAGGACACCCAGGGTGAGGGACAGTGAGTAGATGGCAGGATCACTGGATTGGGAATCCCAGGAGGGTGGAACGATTGTTGGAATTGATGTACTACAGGGTAGACTCCAAGCATGGAAAGCAAGCACATATGCAATGAGTGGTCCACTGATATTACATCACAGCATATGGTAAAATGATAGTATCTGTGTCCTCAGAGCCTGTGGCCACCTTGCAAGGGGATGAGTGGAAAGATGGTCAGAGAGTGGGAAGTGTGAGATAGAGAGTATGGAAGGGCTGGGGTTCTTAGCCATGATGAGGCCTAGGGGATAACAAGGGCATGAGATTCAGGCAGACAGGAGAAGATCATGGAGGAGAGGAGTTCCAGGATCTGAGAGGCCAGGAAGCGAGGGCATCTTCTCTGCTGTGTGGGTGTCTATTGCTGCCATAAAAATTACCACAAACCAAATGGCTTTAAACAGCACCTATGTATCATGGCACAGTCGTGTGGATTGCAAGTCCACCCAGTCTCATGGGGCTAAGATCAACATACGGGAAGGTCTGCATTCCTTTCCATAGACTCTGGGGAAGAATCCACTTCCAAGCTCATTCAGGTTCTTGCCTGAATTCACTTCCTTGCAGATAGAAAAGAGGTTTCCACTTCCTTGTTAAGAGCCACCCTTAGCTCCTAGAGCCTTCTCTCAGATACTCACACACGGTGCCTAAGGCACATTCAATCCTCCTGCTTGGAACTTCTGACCTCCCCTCTCCAGCTTCTCCTCTGCCTTCCTCCTCTGCAGAATCTGACTCCAACCAGGGCAGGCTCTCTGCTTTTAATGGCTCTTGTGATTTGATTGGGCCCACACAGAGAGTCCAGCAGAATCTCCCTATTTTAAGGTCCTTAATCTTCATTACATGAGTAATATCCCTTTTGCCACGCAATGCAACCTGTTCACAGGTTCCAACGATTAAGACTGGACATCTTTGGGGACCATTACTCAGCCCACCACATCTGCGTATGTTGAAGTCACCAAGAGTCAAGGAGACAGCAATGCTGGAGAGGGTGACAGTGAACCAGGAGCTACAAGACTCAGGATTGAGAAGAACAGCCTGGGGCCCACAGGGAATGGTTACAGTGAGGCAAATGGGGCTCTAATCTGATGACAGCCTAGGGGTTTTAGGGAGGAGGGAGGCAGAAAGTTCTGAGAACCACAATGAGGAGCAAGGACCCCACCTCACCTCTGAACCCAGGGGTACAAGTCCCTGGGGAAACTCCCCCATGTGGGAGGACTTCGGAGGGGGTCATGTCCTCAGGGAGACCCAGGTTGCTGCTGGAGCTGCGAGATGCAGGAACATCCTGAGAGAGGATGAGGAGGTTTTGCTGATGTGGACTGAGAAATCCAGGGGGTGCACTGGGAAGATTTCTGTGGCTGGGGAGGTCGGGGAGACAGAATAGAGGTGTGCAGAGCCTTGTGGGGATGCAAGTGCAGAGTATGTGGGGGACCCAGTGTGACTGACACAAACAGGGACAGAGCATGATGAGCTCAGTCCAGGTGCACTCCAGGCCGACGATGGTGCTGAGCCTGTGGGAGATGCGGGAGGAGGAGCAGGGGTGGCTTTCACCTGGGCTCTGTCCATGGAGGTGAGGACAGTGAGGTGGTTGGGTCTTAGTGCTGTGGGGAACTTTTCTTGACCTCCTGATGACTGGATGGAGTGTCTGAGGGAGGAAGGGTCTTACAGGATTGACTCATGACCCTGAGGGATGTGCTCACTCCAGGTCTCAGGTCTGTCCTGACACCTTTATTTGTGGCTTAGAGCTCCCTACTGTAAATTATTAGGAGTTAGTTCATTTTGGAGTTTATAACTTAAAGCAGAAATTCAGATGGTTGAAATGTCATTTTCATGAAGGTTTGTTATTAGTGTATCATTTAGATTGTTTTGCAAAAGTCTCATTTTTTTTCTAAAGGGTTGCCAATCTTGTTTTAAATTTTACAAAGGTTGTTAATTTATCTTCACTGTTAATTGGTTGTGGGTTGTTTAAACTTATACTGTGTAGTTTTACATATCTGTAACAGCAGTAGTTTGGGCCTCTTATATTCTAATAATTAAGACTTTCAGCTGTGTACACACTGTAATTCAAGCACGAGTCATGCATAACCCTAGCACTAAGAGACAAGAGGGGAATCCCTCTCTCTGAAAATTTTGCAAAATTCTGGGTTCTTTTTCCACTGAGTGGGCACAAGTCGGCTAATCATGAACATGAGGTATTTGTCCTCATTTAAAGGTGCTTCAGAAGCACTGACCCCTAGGAAGGCCTCCTTGTCTGGGTCAGGCACCCTACACCATGGCAGAGGCCATCTTCCCTCCCAGTGTACAGTGATATCCCAGATAGCTTACTGGTTAGCTGCTGTCCACTCTTGGGCAGTTTTGTCTTCTAAAACATGGGTTTTTATCTGAGAATCTTCCTGTTCCCAGATGATCAAAACTGGGGCCATCCATTCCATTCTGAGCCACTTCTGCCCAGGGGCCCATTGCTATTTCCTCCAGTCACAACAGAACACCCCTTCAGAACAGCCTGCAGGAAGGCACCGTCTCCTCACAGGCTCACACATGCACGGTGTGTGCACAGAGCTTTTGCTCTAGTTCAGGAGGTGTGTAGGGAGCCTCACTAGTCCAACAGAGCTTGGTACCAGTGTCATATGCCAGGAACCAAGGTTATAAGGGATACAATGTCCCCAGACCTACCAGAGAAGGCAAACTCATACAGCTTGCAGGACCAGACAAGGACAAGAACAAGTTCAAAAGAGGGAAAGGGAAACTACAGACATACCTCAGAGATACTGCAGATTTGGTTTCAGACCATGGTAACAAACAAGTCACACAAATTTTTGTTTTTCCAGTACATATAAAAGTTATATTCACACTCTACTGTAGCCTAGTAAGTGTACAATAGCATTATGTATGAAAGAACTATGTACATACCTTAATTTAAAATTACTCTATTGCTAAAAAATGCTAACAGTCGTCTGAGGCTTCAGCTAATTTTAATCTTTTTGCTGGGGGAGGGTCTTGCCTCAATGTTGATGACTACCGGCTGTTCAAGAGGGTGGTTGCTAAAGGCTGCTGTGGCAATTTCTTAAAATAAGACAATGAAGTTTATGGCATGGATTATAAAGGGGGAATCGGTACTTAAGTAAGGTCAATATGAGTTTTCAAGTCAGGTGGACTTGAATATGAACCCTCCAGGCCTTTCCACCAGCTAGCTATAGAGCCTTGGGCACATCTGGCCCAGAGCTGGCCCCAGCAGACACTTGCCCAGTGGGTGAGTGCTCAATGAACCCATCTGAGCCAATTGTCTCATCCAACCAGTGATATAATTCCTTCCTTGCAGAAGAATAAGTGAAAAAAGGCACAGTGCCAAGAAATTCAGACACAAGACCTGCGGAAGTCTGCGCCAGTGCTCTAAAGCAAGTTCTGCCTAAAGCGGCAGAAACATTTTTCACATTAGGAACAGGAGTTGTTTGGGATCCTGTCTGGGGCCAGGTTGAGAGCAGAGTAAGAGTGGGGGCCTGGGTAGGGCCAGGCACGGGAGTGAAGACAGGCCTGGAGAGAGCCGACTCCTGGAGGCTGCTGAGCGGCTCAGACAGCTCCTTGCCTCACCTGCCACAGTCCTCCCTCTCCCCTGGCCTCCAAGTACCCAGGAGTGCGAGCCTGGGCCCCGGGAACCGGCACCTTGAGAGCGGGAGAGGGACCCCGCCCGCTCCCTGTTTCCCTGACGCGCTCTCTCCGCCTCCCCGTGGGGACCCAGCCTCCCGGGCTCCCTCCTGCCTACCGCCCGGCCCTGGAGCCGCTTACCTGGGAGCTTCTTACGGTGTAGGGGGAGCTGGGGAGGGGACAGAGGGACAGGGACCACGGGAGGGTGGCGTGGGGCGGCGTACTTGGAGATATGACCTGAGGAGTCTGCAGACCCCAGACCGGGGCAGAAGCGCCGTGGGAGGAGCTGCTGAGCTCTCCAGGCCGCCCTTTACCTCCTGCCTCCCCAGCCCAGTTCATCTTGATCCTCTCCTCACTAGCCCAGGTCTCCCCAAGGTCAGGGCTCATAGAGCAGCAGGAGTTGGGTTCCGGGACGCGGGATCCGGCTTCTCTGGGAATCTTGGATTCCAGGAAGGATCCTGGAGATCTCCCACTTTATGAAGCCCAATCTCCACTCACTCTGATGGCGTCTTTAGACCCCACTGGAAACCAGATACGAAGCCCTCATCGGCCCTGGGGAAAAAACAAGAGCAAAGTATGAGAGGTGGCCATGAGGTCAGGGAAACTCCTGCAGAATTCTCAGGAAAGGAAACTCTTCCGAGCTGGGCCCTTGGCTTAGTTTGTCTTCCCTGCCCAGCCACCTGTCCCAGAGCTGGAGATGCCCAGGTTTAAGCCAGAGACTTTGGATACTTTCCTTGATGGTGACATAATTTTTGTCTTCTTCTCTCCTGGAAGAGAAGCCCCAGAACCATCAGAGTGATCCAGTCTGCCCACTCTTCTTATTATTCTGTCTCTCCAATCACTCTCCCTGAGCTGGACTCTCCACCCACCCTCACATTCTGGATAGTGCAGAGATGTGAGCATGGCCCTGGGGCAGGATTGTCTGCGTGCAAGCCCAGCTCCACCACGACTTGTAGGCGACCTTCTTTCCTATTGTATCACCTGAAAACGGAAAATTAGCAGGCACACCCCATAGTTGTATAGTGACAATTAAATGAATTCATATTTTGAAAGTGCTAAGGACACAGATTAACACATAGCACCATGACAGTGTATGATATTATCGCTGTTGGTTTTTTTTTTTTTTTTAGATGGAGTTTTGCTCTCGTTGCCCATGCTGGAGTGCAGTGGCACCATCTCGGCTCACTGCAACCTCCACCTCCTGAGTTCAAGCGATTCTCCTGCCTCAGCCTCCAGAGTAGCTGAGATTACAGGCGCCCGCTACTACGCCCAGCTAATTTTTTGTATTTTTAGTAGAAAGGGAGTTTCCCCATGTTGGGCAGTCTGGTCTTGAACTCCTGACCTCAGGTGATCCACCCTCTTCGGCCTCCCAAAGTGCTGGGATTACAGGTGTGAGCCACCATGCCCGGCCGTTGCTGCTATTTCTTTCATCCTTTTTGCTTGAGCCTCTTCTCTTCTTTCTAGGTTCCCAGGGAAATTCTCTGTTGGAAGATTATGTCTGCAAGAGGCCTCCACCTGGGAAATGCTGGCCCATGGAGGGATCTCCCTTTTATTAAATGGAATGATTGTTGGTGAAGTGACAGCTAGTGAGCCAGTGACAGTACGGTTCATGTAAAAAAGACCACATACCTAGGATTACCTCCATTTTAATAAAGATACATCCCACACATTATAAGTCCAATGTGATTTGTGAGGAGATTGCTTTGATTTGCTCACGAAAAATATTACTCTACTTTCTTTGAGAGAGTTTTGCAACACATTTCAAATCTCTGCTTCTCATTTCACACTATCTGGCTCATGAGTGAAGGTGATAAGTGTCGTCGTACTATGCTCTCAGGTTTGTCTGTCAGAGTCATAGTCATGTATTACACATAAAGATTATTTTCTTGTTTTCATTTATTTATATATATTATACTCATGGGATATAGATAGATATTATTACAGTGCTTAAATGGCTACTACTGATATCTATACATTTTCTCTCTTGGTATATGATATTAACACATAGAATTGTATACTGTTACTTTGGTTTCCAGCAATTGCTGATTAGGTCATTTGGACCACTTCTCCCATTGACTACAACTGGAAAAATGGGAGGAAAATACATATTTGAAAAGTCTGGTTGAATTTATAGATGGGCTAGCAAAGCAGTGAAGATTTGCTTGGCCAGGAACCAGGAAGAGGCAGAAATCCAGAAGAGCATCTTGAGCTATGGGGCTGCTTTTTTGGATCAGATGCAGTGACACCTGCCTCCCAGGCAAGAAGCCAACTTCTGGGATTCAGAACTAAAGTGTCCCAATATTTAGAAGGTCTCTTGGTCTCTCTAGAGTTCAGTGCTCATTGGCCAGGGCTATGATACTCACACTCATTCCTTGGAGGAGCCAAGCTTCGGGTTTGGCTGCCTCTGGGACATTTTATGCTAGAAAAACCCCAACATGTGTAGATAAATGGTATAGAGGACACCAGCCACCCTTCGATGGAGCTCTGCCCAGTGGTGTCCCCTCACTTCCACTCAGAGACAACATGCCCATTTCACTAAATTCATGAGGACATGGCCAACATAAGTAAGAGAACACCGGGAGGTACATTGGACAGAGTTCCATGCAGTCACAGCTTTTGCGTCTCTGTGTCTTTTCCCTTCATCTCAACCAGAGAGCATTTGCCGAGGCCGAAGAACAAAAAACTTCAAATATTGGAGCGGAATCTAAGACCACTGATCCATTGTGATCAGGAGGCTGGAGCCATGTGGTCCAGGAATAATGAAGTCTGTGAGGCCTTGGTCACCCCAAGGCTCTCTCCCATTAGGAGCTGCCTCTCACTGCTATCAGGGAGGACCCAGGAGCTGGACATGGCTTTTTTTTTTTTTTTTTTTCATTTCTGATGAGAACCTGGAGAGGTCCCAGAGCATATAGACCTTGATTGAAATGGGGCCAGAGTGGAGTCAGGCAAAAAACTCTAATGATTCAGAGGCACCTAAGTATAAAATAAAATCTCAACTCAGAGCTTCCATCAGAGCATCAGGCTCAGTATCTCCTGTGTTTGCACTGTGAGTACTGGAGCTTGATGAGAAGAAAAATAGCTACATGTGCAGAAAAACACATGTAGTTAGAAAGCTGGGTCATGGTTCAAGGTAAGAGGGACCCTTGTCTTTTCCATGGTAGATAGTGGGGCTTTCTGCCATCTTGGTTCTGATGGACCAAGTGCAGAAGATAAACTTTCCTGCTTTCAGCTTAGTGACTGGTAATAGAAGCTGGAGTTAAGAGAATCAGTGGCAGCCTCTCTCTCCATGCCCCAGCCCAGTAAATCTAAGCCAGGACTTGGGGCTCCGGCACTTTCTTCTCACTGTGCGTCCTCCTTCTCTGGCTCAAAAGAGAACCACATGTAACAGAAACCAAGGGCTATAATTCTCATAGAACCCAGAAAACTGGACTAGGGGCCTAGAGAGTCATGTGCCTGCCATTGTTCCACCGCTTACGTGCTGTGTGACCTCAGGAGAAGCTCTCTGCTCTTTGAATCATCTGTGAATCATGGACAAACACCTCCATGCTAGCAACATTACTGAAATGCAGGGAGGAACCAGTGATTCAATTGGGAGGAAAAAAAGCAAAGTGATGACATTTACTCCTAGACAAAACTTTTTAGGAAAATGTATCTTAAAAGTAGGAGAAAAACATATAATACCTGCAATCCCCTGCAAAAGAAGCCTCTTTAGCTTACTACTTGTTCATCGTCTTTCTGTGAAATTTGGGCAAAACTAGCTCCCTCATTATCTCAAATAAATTAATGCAGTTGGCGATTCTATGTCAGTTTAGGTCTACAACTTTTGCTTTGTGTGAAACTGAAAGGGAATGGGAACATCTTCATTTTTCTGTGGTGGCCAGGGGACACTCAGAGGCTTGGAAATGACCCTATATCATCTATTTTCAATTGCCTCACTCTATCTTTTGAAATCTCAGGTAATTCATACTCCTAAAAAAATCTCATGTTCATACATAGGACAAGGTAGAAAAGGTAATATTTCTGTTTTAATTTGCTAGGGCTGCCATAACAAAGTACCAAAGGCTGGGTGACTTAAATAATAAATATGTGTTGTCTCACAGTTCCAGAGGCCACAGGTGCAAGGTCAAGGTGCTGCAGGGTTGATCTCTTCTGAGGCCTCTTTCCTTTGCTTATAGATGGCCACTTCTTCTGCCTTCTCAACATAGGGCTTCAACATGTGGATTTTGGTGGCGTAGGAACACAATTCCTCTTGTAACAGTCTGGATCGTCTTTGACAATGGATATTCTAAAAAATAAAAGAGAGTAATAGACAGTACATCCCTTTGGCTGAAATCTTTCTCTTGGTTTTCTAAAATTTTGGTCTTGCAATAGAAAAAACAAGAAAGAGAACCAAAGTTTAGTTCTTCCTGGAAGGTGAGGCCTCCTCCCTAAGTCTGTGTAATCCCAGACACTAAGACATGGTGCTGTGCAGTTCTCCAAAGTCCTACTCACTCCAGTGATTCTGTTTCTGTCTTTTTAACTGAGCAGAAGAGTCTCTTTCAGGAGAGCAACTTCTTCTGATGCTTTATGGGCTTTATTCTCCTTAAACTTATGGAATGAAAAAGATCTTAATAAAAAGGAAAATATTTGCCAAATTTTTATCATGCTCATAATTTTTGTACCTTTTTAAATGCCCCATATGGTGTTGTTTATTTTTTAAATTTTTTAAAATTGGTACATAATATTTGTACATATTTATGGAATACATGTGACATTTTGATACATGCATAGAATGTGTGTATCAGTCAAGATATTTAGGGTATCCATGACCTCAAGCATTTATCATTTCTTTCTGTTGAGAACATTTTAAATTCACTCTTTTTTGTTTTGTTTTGTTTTTTGAGATGGAGTCTAACACCATCACCCAGACTGGAGTGCAGTGGCACGATCTCGGCTCACTGCAAGCTTCGCCTCCCGGGTTCACACCATTCTCCTGCCTCAGCCTCCCGAGTAGCTGGGACTACAGGCACCCACCAGCACGCCCGGCTAATTTTTTTTTTTTTTTTTGTATTTTTAGTAGAGACGGGGTTTCACCATGTTAGCCAGGATGGTCTCGATCTCCTGACCTCGTGATCCACCCTCCTCGGCCTCCCAAAGTGCTGGGATCACAGGCATGAGCCACCACGCCCAGCCAAATCCACTCTTATAGCTATTTTGAAATATACATTTTTGTTAACTTTAGTCAGTCTGCTGTGCTATCAAACATTAGAACTTATTTTCTTTATATAATTGGACATTTGCATCCATTAACCTGCATCTCTATATTTTCCCACCCCTACATTCTTCCCAGTTCCTGGGAACTGTCATTCTACTCTCTCTACCTCCCTAAGATTAACCTTTTTGGCTCGCACATATTAGTGACAACATGTGGTATTTGTCTTTCCTTGCTTGGCTTATTTCACCTAACGTAATGACCTTTGGTTACATCCATGTTTCTGCAACTGACAGGATTTCATTCTTTTTTATGGCTGAATTGCATTCCATTGTGTATATATATATACCACCATTTATTCATTCCCCATTGATGAATTCACCCATTGATTTAATAACTTTGCTACTGTGAATAGTGCTTCAATAAACCTGGGGGTGCAGGTAGTCTTTTGATATATTGATTTCTTTTCCTTTATATAAATACCCATGAGTGGAGTTGTTGGATCCAATAGTAGTTCTATTTTTTGTTTTTTGAGAAATCATTACACTGATTTCCATAATTGCTGTACTTACTTTCCCAAGAGTGTACAACAGTTCCCATTTCTCCACATGCTCACCACTATCCATTATTTTTTATTTCCTATTAGTAGCCATTCTAAATAGGATAGGATGATATTTCATTATAGTTTTGATATGCATTTTCCTGATATTTAATAAGGTTGAGTGTTTTTCGTATACCTGTTGACCATTTGTATGTCTCCTTTTGAGAAACATCTATTCAGACACTTTGTCCATTTTTTAATTGGATTATTTGTATTTTTACTGCTGAGTTTTTTAAGTTCCTTGTATATTCTAGATGTTAGTTCCTTGTTGGATGAATACATAGCAAATATTTTCTCTATTCAACAGGTTGCCTCTTCATTCTGTTGATTGTTTCATTTGCTGTGCTGAAGCTATTTAGTTTAATATAGTCCCACTTGTCTATTTTATTTTTGTTGCCTGTGCTTTTGAGGTCTTAGCCATAAAGTCTTTGCCTAGACCCATGTCTGGAGTGTTTCCTGTAAGCATTCTTCTAGTAGTTTTATAGTTTTGGGACTTACATTTAAATCTTTAATCCATTTTGAGTTGATTTCTGTATATGGTGAGAGACGGTTCTAGTGGTATTCTTCTGCATCTGGTAGCATTTTCCCAGCTCCATTTATTCTCCATTGTTGCTTTTGTTCTTTCTCCATTGTATATTCTCAGTTCCTTTACCAAAAATGAGTTGGCTATCAATGCATGGATTTATTGTGAGTTCTCTTTTGTATTCCATTAGTCTATGTGTCTGTTTTTATGCTAGCACCATGCTGATTTGGTTACTATAACTTTATATTGTATTCTGAATTCAGTAAGTGTGATGCCTCTAGCTTTGTTCTTCTTGCTCATGATTGCTTTGGCTATTTGGGATATTTTACGATTCCATATGAATTTCATGATTTTTTCTATTTCTGTGAATAATGATATTGGTATTTTGATAGGGATTGAATTGAATCTGTAAACTGCTTTGGGTAGTATGAACATTTTAACAATATTCTCCCAATTTATGTGCATGAAATTTATGTGTCTCATTTTTAAAATTAATATTTAACAATATTAATTCTCCCAATTTATGTGTTTTATTTTTTTTCCTTAGAGACAAGGTCTCACTATGTTTCCCAGGCTAGTCTTGAACTCCCAGGCTCAAACAATTCTCCTGTCTCATCATCCCAAAGTGCCAGGATTACAGGTATGTGCCACTGTGCCTGGCTCTTCCAGTTTTGTGTACTCTTCAATTTCCTTCATCAGTGCCTTATAGTTTTTGTTTTACTTCCTGGGGTAAATTGATTCTTAGTTATTTTATCCTCTTTATGATTTGTAAATAGTTTTGCTTTCTTGATTTCTTCTTCAGATTATATGGTGCTTGTATATATAAATGCTCTGAAAGTTTGCACATTGATTTTGTATTCTGTAATTTTACTGAATTTGCTTATTAGTTCTCACCATTTATTTGGTGGAATATTTAGTTTTTTCTTTTTTTCTTTTTTTGAGATGGAGTCTCGCTCTGTCATCCAGGCTGGAGTGCAGTGGCGCGATCTCGGCTCACTGCAAGCTCCACCCCCTGGGTTCACGCCATTCTCCCGTCTCAGCCTCCTGAGTAGCTGGGACTACAGGCGCCCGCCACCACGACCAGCTAATTTTTTTTTTTCGTATTTTTAGTAGAGACGGGGTTTCACCATGTTAGCCAGGATGGTCTCGATCTCCTGACCTCGTGATACGCCTGCCTCGGCCTCCCAAAGTGCTGGGATTACAGGCGTGAGCCACCGCACCCGGCCAATATTTAGTTTTTTCTAAGTAAAAGATTATGCCATTTGCGAATAAGGCTAAGTTGGCTTTCTCCTTTCCAATTTGGATGCCCTTTACTTCCTCCTCTTGGCTGATTGCTCTTGCTAGGACTTCTAGTGCTGTGTAGAATAAAAGTGATGAAAGTGGGAGTCTTAGCCTTCTTCCAGATCTTGGAGGAGAGGCTATAAGCTTGTCCCTATTCAGTATAATGTTAGCTCTGTGTTTGCCATATATGGACATATCATGGTGTATTATTCTTTTGGTATACTCTTGGATTTTGTTGCTAATATTTTTAATTATTATTTTTATCAGCAACATTATAATTTTTATTACAAGATTTTTAAACTTATAAAATGTACATATACCAAAATAATCAGATCTTCATCAAATTTATCAATGAATTTTGACAAATGCAGCATATTACTCTTGCCACTATCAATGTACACAAAGATCCCTTTTTCTCCCTTCAACTCAGCTTCCATGCCTCCAGCAGCCATTGATCTGACGGCTATCAGGATAGCACAGTTCTTCCTGTTTTAAAACTTCATACAAATCTACTCATCCCATATGGCCTCCCTTGTATCTGGCTTTTTGCGCTTGTTGTAATACCTATGTGATCAATCCATGTTGGTGCACGTATCAGTAGTTCTTTCATTTTCATTGCTGATAATATTCCATTGTATGATTGAATCATGATTTTTGTACATTGGCAGTTATTTCTTATTTTTTACTATTATAAATAAAGAAACTATGAACATTTTTATGCAGGGATTATTGACAAAATCTTCATTTCTCTTGAGTATATACCTAGGAGTGGAAATGGTAGCTGTAGAGGACTAGCTTGTTTAACTTTATTAGATGATATGAAATTGATTTTCAAAATGGATGTTTTATATTCCTATAGGCAATGGAGGAGAGTACAGATTGTTCCACATCCTTGCTAGCATTTATAGTTATTAATCATTTTAATTTTAGCCATTCTAATGGTTGCTTAGTGGTTTCTCACTGTGGTTTTACTTTGCATTTTTCCCTGAACTGGCCATTCATATATCTTCTTTTGCAATGTTTCAGATTTCTCTACAGATTGTGGAAGGTGCTAAATAAAGATGAGTCCTCTTTCTCTAGTGCTGGACCTAAAGCAGAATGTTCAGAGTCCCTCCACATATCCCAATCCAGCCAACCACACACCATGTTTGCCTCCAGAAGCTGCTACTCCTTCATCCGTCTTTCACGGTCTATCACTTCATTCTGGCTTAAGCTCACACTCCTCCAGGAAGTCAGTTACTGTGAAGGTCACTAACATGCTCAGTATTGTCATGTCTCCACCTGTCTTTACTTCTCTGCAGCTTTCCTCACACTCAACGACTCCTTTTTATTTTGCTCAATTTCTGTGGATTCACTTCACAAATTTTATTATAAGGTAGTTCTAGCTAGAAGAAAAAATAGAGAATTATAAGAAATCTTTGTGAAGCTGCCATCCAGGTTTGTCAATTTGTGACATTTTAATATTATTGGCTGTATGCAGTATACATAGAAAATAACAGAAACACATGTAGATAGCCCTGATTTTCCACAGTTCTGATATGCATGTGTTTCAGTCAATACTGTACTGAGCAAAGCAAGAACTGTTGGTGAATGTGTGTCTTGAATTTGCTGTATGCCCCTATATTCTTACTAAGTTTTAAAAAGTCTCTTGTTTTTTTTGTTTGTTTGTTTGTTTTTAACATGGTTTCACTTTGTCACCTGGACTGAAATGCAGTGGCACAAACACAACTCACTTCAGCCTCTACCTGCCAGGCTTAAGCAATTCCTCCCTTCTAGGCCTCTTGAGTAGCTGGGACTAGAGGTTCGCACCACCAAGGCTGGCTAATTTCTGTATTTTTTGTAGAGAAAGGGATTTATCATGTTTCCCAGACTTGTCTGGAACGCCTGGGGTCAAGCAATCTGCCCACCTTGGCCTCCCAAGAGGCTAGGATTATGGGTATAGGCCCCCTTGCCTGGCTTTACTTTTAGACTTTTTATAAATTGTTTCTTGCTGATTTTGTTATGCATTTGCTTGCTTTTTCCGTTAACATGGTCTATGAGATGGATCAATGTTCACACAAATAGTTCATTTGTTTTCATTGCTAGATAGTATTCCATGGAAGGAATATGCTACAATTTATCTCTTCCCCACTTCATTGACCTCTACATAGTCTCTATTAAAGACACTGCTGCAATGAACATGCTGGGACATTGCTTTCTGGTTCCAAGAATACATGAGCTCCCCTAGGATATGCATGTAGGAGTGGGGTCACTGCACCCTTCCCAAATGATGCTACATGATGTCAAATTGTTCTCTGAAAGAAATAATCCAAATGCCTATCAGTAGGGAGCTGGTTAAAAAGCATTGCATTCAAAAAGGGTAATCTCTATTTTAAAAAATGCATGCCTATACAATGGATTGCCAAGAAAATTTTGAACAAAAAAAAGAAAGACATAGTGTAGTTCTTGATATTTCTTCATGGGATGGTCTCCGTGATACAATGGTAAGGGAAAACAGCAAGGTACAGAAAAGCATATGTAGTTTGCTAAAATTTGTGTGCAAAGGGAGAAAGAACATACACATATACATTTATATTTGCTTGCACAGTCACAAAATACCTTTGAAAGAATAAGCACTGCCTGATGAGTTTGGAGTGAGAGATGGTCAGGATGATTTCCCGCACAGTCAGGTTGTTTGAAGGGAGGGGAAAAGAGCAAGCAGCAAGTTTTGTGTTTCTGCAAAGACAGAGACAGTGCAGGAGACACTGAGAGCCTGGAGTGTCCGGGAAACCCGAGTCTTTCTGCCATTTCCCCACTTCTGTGTATCTGGCAGGGGGTGGTGATTTCTCATCCTTGAACCTAATTGCACTGTCAGTTGGCCCCTCAGGCCTGGGCAGATGGGATGGTTCATCCCCTGCCCTGCAGCAAGAGGGCCCTGTCCAGGAGGCACCCACAGCAGGGGCAGTGCAGGTCTGTGGTCGCTCCTGCTCTCACCTGTGGTGTCTCCTGAAGAGGGATTGTCAGTTCTGGTTCCCCGTGGGCGGGAACGGTTGCCTTGTAGGTTACTGGGGCATTGGCCAGGAAAGGGGTGTGAAAGTTATGTGCTAATTTCTCAAAATTCCTGCTTTAAATGCTGATGTCCAATAAAGATGTTTGTAGTTTCAGCTGGGTCTTAAAAGGATGTCCACCAATACTAATGTTGTAACGCATATCAAATGAAACAGGAACTCAAATGTGGAGCTCCCTCTCCAGGACGGTCCATGTGGGAGATGGTGGCTGTGGCAGTGGCAATCCCCAAGTGCAAAGGGTGGGCAGAGGCAGCCTCAGGCTGAGGGGTCTCAAGAAACTTTCTACTCCACAGGGAGAAGAAGATCCCCTATGGGCTGTGAGGGCAGTGGCTTGGGTGGAATCCCTGCTAGGAATCCCTGCTAGGAACAGGAGAGGAAGGCCTTTCAGCCTCCCCAAGCAGCAGCCCTGGGGAGAAGCTGTGCTTCCAGGGATGAGTGGACCAGGCTGGAGCAAGCATGGCCCAAGTGCAGGTCATGGGCCTGGGGGTCAGGGTAGGCAGGGCCTCCTTGAGCAAGGGGGTTCCCAGGGTCAGGTCAGCTGCAGACCCCATAGCAGCTACATGTTTCCATGCTGGGCCTGCCATGCTGATGGGATTCTTAATGGGCTTCCCAGTTAGGAGCTGCCTGCTCAGGGCTGGAAGTGGAGGAGCACTGAGCTGCAGGTGGAGGGCAGAACCACAGTGTTTAGGGCCTGCCCTTGTGTGCAGGTGTCTCTACAGGTGAGGTGGGACTGGGGACTGAGGAAGAGAAGGACTGTGCGTGTGACCCAGCCCAGTCCTGGAAGGACATGGAGCCAGGGCCAGAGCCTCTCTTTGGGGAGTCCTCCTGCTGTCAGAGCTGGCCAGGCTTGAGAGGAGGGGAGGGCACTGGGTTTTTCCCAGGTCTTGTCCTTTGGTCCTGGGGCTCTTTTCCTCCTTGCATGGTGACTGGTGGGCACAGGGCAGGGGTTGATGTTGATGGAGTCACGGGAGGGGACTGGCAGGGGCTGGGAAAAGTGCCATGGGAGGGAGAAAAAAGTGCAGACATCATCTTCCCTCGGAGAAAGGGTGAATCTGATTTGGGACTGACTGAGGAGGGAGAAGTCGTCAGGGAGTAAAAAGCAGCACTGTGCACCCAGGGGAGCACTTACTATTTTTTCTCTTTTCTCCAGAGCACATGAGCCTGCAAGGCCCAGATCAACACCTGACTCAGACAGAACACCAGGGCAGTGCACAGCTGGGATTTCAGTCTCTGCTCTCAGCTCCCAGGTCCACTGGCTCTACTGAGGGCACCTACACTCTGCAGCCAGGCGGCCTGGATTGAACGCCCTGCCCAGGTCTCACCAGCACTTTTTCTCTTGCTGGCTCAGCTTTCTCATCTATGAAATAGGGAATGTAACAACATTTATTTCTTGTGGTTGGGTGGATGAAAAGTGTTAGTATATATGAGGTGTTTGCAGCTGTGCCATATTATTTTTGTTATTTTGTTATGATTTTATTATATTTTAATACATTAATGTCATGTAATTGTATTATCACAGGTGAGCTTTATGAGTGAGTGTCCTGGTGACGGCTCCTCCAGGGGAGCCAAGGACCAACTTTCCTGGCACGTTGAGGTCCCCTCGCCCTGTCACACTCTCCTGCATTACCCCATTCTACTCTGTCTTCATATTTTATACTATAGATATTTAGCTTTTAAATAGACATTTCTGGTCTGTGTTTTATTTCAAGTGTCTGGGAACGGATAGAGTTGAGGTTCAAGGGAGAATGAGAGCTCTGTCTAGATGCATTGACATAGCACAAAGAAATCTCCCCTCCTCCCTGATATCTCCCCGCCAGTTCTCAGGGAAGGACAGATTCAGAGCAACACAGACAGGTCTGGAAAGGGATGGGGGGACATCTGAAGCAAATGTTCAGGGCCTGAAGCTGTGAGAGTACACCTGCCCTGCAGAGTTGGAGCCTTCATGTGATGATGCAGAGCTGAAGTGTTATATTCTGGAGGGGATAAAAAGTGCTCTGGGGTTTCCTGATTATGAAGGGTAGGGGTCAGTCTGCTTCTAGGAGATGTGGACTGAATTAGTGAAAAATAAATGCACAGGGAATGAGGATGAGTAAAGCAAGCATCAGCATCTCCCGCCATCAGTTCAGACTGATTCAGAGGTGGGGAGGTGGGATAGTTCCTGACCCTGTTGCAAGGTTTCTTTTGACTTTCTGTTTTTGGGGCACATAGATGGGTGGTGCTCTTCTTGGTCAGGGCGGCCTCAGCTCCACCCAGGTAAGGCAGTGGTGGCAGAGAGTTAGGGGAGCACCTATGAAACAGACCAAGGCAGGGATGGGAGCCCTTGGTGCAGCAGGAGTGTATGCAGGACTTGCCTGGAAGCAAGAGTATTAGGGACCCTAGTCAGGTCCTGGTCCCCTCCCTGCCTAGGCTCACAGGACAACCAGTAAAGATGCTGGAGTGGGGAATTCATTCATGGGCTATCTATCCAGAGTTGTTTATAGACATATTCTTTCAAGTTTGTATTCAGGGTTGATGTCACATACACATTTATACATGCTGTTTTATGTCTAAGTGTTTTTATATTTTGGTTAGCCCTTTATCATTGTTAAACAAAGTTGTCATTAGGCATAAACTTGCATGTTAACTGAAGCTTTTGTTTTTATTTTATTCGAAGTTACAATTGCACATAATGGAAAGAGTAAATATTTGTGCAGGACTTTCTGAGAAAAATGAGAGTCTTCTCTGCCTTTCTAGGGAGAGTCCTCTCTTCTCTATTTCTGCCTTTCTAGGGAGCAACCACTTTCAAGTTTCAGCTGATTCTTTTGACTTTACTTTCACATATCTAAGCACCAAAGCACCATTTCTTTATTAACATTGCTTGATTTTTCAGTTGCAGCCATTGACTATTGCACTGCACGATGGTGGAATCAATAGTTAAGATTACTTGTTCTCTTTCTTTTTGTATTTTTTTTTTCTTATTTTTTAATTTATTTAAATAAATAAAAATATTCTACCTCCCCAAAACCCCTCAGGACCCACACACAGGCACTGCAGCAGCGACAGGAGGAGGGGTTGCTGGGAACAGGAAGGACACCACCGCTTGGCCTCGGGCACCGGAGGGACAACCTGGAGGGCTCCGGGAGCACCGCAAAGGTCCAAGCGGAGCCAATCCTCACAAGCCCAGGGAAGGGCAACGTGACAGACCGGTGGGACAGCCCCACCGCCGCGAAGAGGGGCTGCCCAAAAGGCAACAGCCATAGGAGATGAGCAGGGGTGCCTGCTGCGTCGGAGAACTCATCTCCCCAACCCCACCGACGCCACAAGGTAGAGGGCGAGGACAGCGAGGTCGGCCGGATTCCGCACCCCTGCCTCCAACCACCGCCCATGGGCGGGGAGGAGAGACTACCGGCCGCAAGCGGAACGCAGAACGAGAAAAGCCGTCCCGTTAGCCATGAATGTGTCCCTCATCTGTACCGCCTCCGGCCCCGCCCGGGAGAACGCGACGTCACCACATCCATCACTTGTTCTCTTTCACTCTTCCCGTTCTTTCCTTTTCCCAGTATATTTATATAGTAATTATGTTTAATTCAGCCACTCCTTGTTTTTTTCCGTGACTCATCTTCTCATATGTCAACTTGACTACTTTTCACTTGCTTCGTAGTATTTGTTCTTCCTCAAGTTAATACTTGCCTTTGTTTTTATGTTCTAGATAACTCTCATTAATTTAACTTTGATATCTGTTCCATTTCTGTGACTCTGTTAAGAAATTAGAGACTTTGAACTTTCTATTAATTTTACTTTCTTGGAAATGTCCCTCTTGGGCCCTTCTGGCTGCTCCCATCTGGACTGGAGGCTTCTACCTGTGGGACAGAGTCACCTTCCTAGGATCTCCCTCCACCACCATCTGGGGCGGTGCTTTACATGCAGTGGAGCCACCTGGGGTCCTGACAAATGCAGACTGATCAACCTGTCAAGGCTGGGCCTGTGAGCCTTTCTGTCCAGTTTCATGAGATGCTGGTTCTGCTGGTTCATGGATAATAGCTGGGGTAGCAAGGATCTCTCTTTTTGTCTCACAGTTTTCTGCATCTCTTTTTCATAGTAAGCACATGCTAATATATTTTCAATAAATTCATGTGCTCTTTTCCTAAGTTGGTATCAGAGCTAATTATTTTTTTCATTGCGCCAAAATCCATATTATATAAAATTTGGTATCGTAACAATTTTTAAGTATAGAGTACTATAATATGAACTGTAGCACATTGTTATGCAACAGATCTCTAGAACTTTTCATCTTGCAAAACTGAAACTCTACGCTGAAAATCTCCTCATGAATCCCCCCAGCCTAACCACTGGCAGCCGCCATTCTACTTTCAGGTTCTAAGAGTTTAGACGCCGCATATAACGAATTGCGCAGTATTGGAATTTCCTTGTGATTGGCTTATTACACTTAGCATTGTTCTCCAGGTTCATCCATGTTGCAGCATGTAACAGAATTTCCTTCTTTTTAAGGTTGAATCATATTCCATTGCCTACATAGACCACATGTTCTTCATCTATTCATGTGTTGATGGGTGCTTTGTTTGCTTCCTTGTCTTGGCTATGGTGAGTAATGTTGCTGTGAATACGGGTATGCAATGTTTTTCTTTTTTACAGCCTCCCTCATTTCAGTGGAATTAATGTTTTAGTAGCTACTTCTGATAGCACATATTTAAAGTATTTTTGCATGCATCAATGTGTCCATTGTTGTTTTGATTCTCTCCTGGAAGAGGATGGAAATGTATGAAGGTGCTGTTTGGCACAGTATTTAATGGTGAAGAAGAGACGGTGTAACTGACCAGTGCTGGGTCTCAGCATCCTGCAATTTCAGAACTACTGTGAATGCAAAAATAATTAAAAAAACCAGTGCTGCCCAGAAAGGGGGAGTCATCCCTAAATATGGCGGCCCTGGGACAGCTGGCCTCCCTGCCAGGCCTCTTCCATGGGGGCCCTTTTCTGCAGTGACTGGGATTTCTTTCCATTTCACTCTACCCTGTGTCCTGACCCAAGAGACAAGGCATGTCTGCAGCTGTGCCCACACTTGGAGTGTGTCAGTACATTATAAACACTGGCTCAGTGGTGTTAGTACATTATAAACATTGGCTTATCATGGGTTATTTTATTATTTATTGTGTATTTTGATTTCACTTTACTGGCAACACAATAAACAATGACATGATGACCCTAGCAATCACATCCTCTTTCTTGTGTCAAAAAGCACCTTCCAGGAACGTGAGAAGGAGACAGTTTTCGCTACAGTTGATTAAGGGAGAGCCCGCTAGGCTGGGCAGGAGGATTTTTACCGGGAACCTGTGCGATGAGCTGTGACATCCTTCTCCCCACCTTCAATCTCAGCCCCAGCAGTCACCTCCTGGGCGCAGAAGCAGTGCAGCGGCGCCACCTGGCGGTCTGCACTCTTCCTTTCCCAGATCAAGCACAGCCCTGAAATCCACCTGTCCCTCCTCTGTGCCTGTGATTTCTTCAGGGGACACCAGCGTGGGTCAACTTTCTTGTAAAGCAGAACAAGCGTGAGATTGGACCATGTTACAGGAGGAATGGTGTCATCTCTACCTGTGGAGAGATCCCTGTCACCGTGTTCAGGGGAAGGACCAAGCCTCACTCCCACGCAGAGAGGAGGCTCTGGCTGTAACTGCTCCAGTGGAGAGATGAGGACCTCCTCCCTCTACACTGATGGCCAAAGCCTGCAGACTGGGCCAGGCTTCCCCTCAGCTATGTCCTGTCAGGTTCATCCAGGACTCAAGAAATAAACTGTGGACATTGTCTCCAGCGACGTGGAGCTGAATGCACACTCAGTAATGAGACAGCCTTGCCAGGGGTCCTGGGGCTGCCGGTTGTTCTGGGTGCTCAGTGTCCAGAGAGGAGGATGGGGAGGAGGCTTTGTGCAGAACAGGAACCGTGCCCCATAACTCATTTTATTCTGCGTTCGCCTTTTTGTCATAAAACACAGGTGACATAAAAGAAAAAAAATCTTAAAATGGTGACCTTTAATCAACAGTAAACACTCTTTAACCATCAGAAAGAGAGAGAGAAGTCTGTCAGCTGACCTAGAAGCCCCATCAATTGACCCAGTTCAATAGTAAATTTTTATTTTTTCAAATAAAAATCAATCACATCCTGACTTTTGTGGTCCTCACTTCTTTGTTCTATTTTATATTTTCATCATCCCAAATGATAGTTTAGTTTTACCTTTAAAAATAAGTTTTTTGTTCTTATTTGTTCTATAGGTTATCCCTTTGAAATTAATATTGTCTGGTAGAGTTTCCTGTTGTTTGTATTTTGTGGATTGCACCCCAAACTATGGTTTAATATGCATCTCTATTACCTGCATTTTCTAGAAATTTGTAGTTTGGTATAGAGGTTTGCATCTATTCAGATTTTTTTCCCCGTGAGTTTTGGTGGTACTATATCATGTTTTTCAACAAGGGGAAGAGTTTAATACTGGTTATTTCCCTTTGGTGATGAAAATTGTCATTGCTGTTCAGTGGCTAGATCTGTTCATTCATTACGGATGGCAAAGAGTTGTAGTCTCAGTCTTCCATTTCTTTTCATGTATTATTTGAATAATTTGTAAAATAAGAGACTTACCCCCTTCTACTATTTACCTATTATAGGAAAATCACTTTTAATTAATTAAATGTGAAAATTCTAAGAAAAATATTAGTAGACTGTATTAACCAATGTGTTATAAACAGACTGTCTTGACCAAGGTATATAGCCCAAGAATGCAAGGATATTTAAACTTTAAACCTTTTAATGCATTTTGCCACTTAATTAAAGAATAAAAAACAGAGATGATGTTATTTTACTAGATTAAGAAATTATTCTACATGAAATTCAGCACTCCATCTGACCCATATTTCTCCAGTCATCTCCAGGTTAAAGAAATCATGCAATCAGATTGGGGCCACTCAAATAATACAAAATAATCTCCACATCTAAAGATCCATGCTCTTAATCATATCAGCAAAGTCCCTTTTGCTGTGTAAAGTAACATATCTAAATGGTCTGCGTCTTAGGGCTTGGACATATGTGTGAGGCCATTATTTTGGATTCCACAGTGTATATGGTGGTTGAATGAGGTTTAATTTAATTCTTCTCTAATTAAATTCCTAGAAGAAGAGAAGTGAGTAAATGGAAAGAGGCATTCCAGAAAGAGGTTATCTTAAAATATTAAGGAAATGTATTATTGTAAATAAAGTCTCGATGCCACAAAGAAATAGCACTCAAATATAAAATTTTCTTTTTTTCTTCTCAGCAAGGCAATTACTTCTATACAAGGGTGTGCCCTCACAGATGGAGCAATGGTGAGCGCACCCCTGGACAAGGAAGGGGAAGGGGTTCTTATCCCTGATGCATGTGGCCCCTGCTGCTGTGTTATTCCCCTATTGGCTAGGGTTAGACCGCACAGGCTAAACTAATTCAGATTGGCTAATTTAAAGAGAGTGAAACAGGTGATCAGAATGAGTCAGGGTGGAGCAGGTAACTGGAATGAGTCAGGCTGGGGCAAGTAATCAGGATGAGTCAGGGTGGAGCAGGTAATCAGAATGAGTCAGGGTGGAGCAGGTGACTGGAATGAGTCAGGGTGGAGCAGGTAACCAGAATGAGTCAGGCTGGAGCAAGTAATCAGGATGAGTCAGGGTGGAACAGGTGATCAAAAAAGGTTGCTTTATGAGGAAGTTAAGTTTAAAAGTAGAGGGCAAAGAATTGAACATACTGACATGTTAATTATTTTAAGAGAAATTTAGAACTCATACCTAACAGTATCATAGCACTGTGAATAAAAAGAGATCCACATTTACTCATACTGCACTGGAACAGATGTTAAAGAGAAACAGATATCTTAAAATTTGCCACAGGAGAAACAGAGATCCTCTAAGAAGCAACTGGTTAAAATGTAACTGACTATTCCCTGTCAGCCACAGCAGCCAGAAGCAACATAATCATCAAAGATCTGAGAGAAAACCAATGTCAAACTAGAAATTTGCAGCTGACAAATCTCTCTTTGATGAATAAAGGTAAAACAAAACATTATCATATAAATGAAACCGTTGCACTGTCTCCATAATACCCAATCTCAAAATATCTACAAGAACAGAGAAATATGTAAGAACAAAAGAGAGAAAGAAAGCAGAAATTTTAATTTGTAATCTTTGGTATATGTAACTCAGTACTGTCATAAAATATTAATAATGTAGCTTTCAAAGAAAAAAGTCATGTAAAATACATAACATGCTGTGTTATAATTTCTTTATTTATCTTCCCACCCCCACCTTTGACTTCTATGAAGTCCAAGGAAGTTTGATTCTTTTATCTGAGGCTCAACTCCATAGAGCACAGTACCCAGAATAAGGTAGGTGCTTAATGATGTTTACCATATGAATGAGTTTCCTGGAAGTACTTAGCAGATCAGGAATTCTGATGCATAAACACAATTCAAAGGTGGCTGAGGAGTGACATCAGAGAACATAGTGGCATAGGAACTCCAAGGGCCACCTCTGCACAGAGACAATGTGCTTGTAAAACATCACTATAAAAAAAATCCCTTGGCTGGGCATGGTGGCTCATGCCTGTAATCCCAGCACTTTGGGAGGCCGAGGTGGGGGGATCACCTGAGGTCAGGAGTTCGAGACCAGACTGATCAACATGGAGAATCCCAGTCTCTACTAAATATACAAAATTAGCTGGGTGTGGTGGCTCGCGCCTGTAGTCCCAGCTACTCGGGAAGTGAGGAAGGAGAATCGCTTGAACCCGGGAGGCAGATGTTGCAGTTAGCCGGGATCATGCCATTGCACTCCACCCTGGGCAACAAGAGCAAAACTCCATCAAAAAAAAAAAAAAAAAAAAAAAAATTCCCTCAGAGAGCTGTTAAAGCAAGAATTCCTGGACCTACCACCAGATATTCTGATTGGGTTGATAAAGAATCAACTGCATTGGAACCCTGAAAAATCATCAAAGGTTTATTGCAACCTAGCAAGTCCAGAAAAATCAACTGGAACTCAGGAGCAGAGCTCTGTGGCACCATATCTTACCCTTGGCCCATTCCTCCCTGTTCAAGTCAGTAGTGATCTTGAAGACAGCAGCCTGGTTCCTTAGTGTGGGCTCCAATGCCAGTGGGAGCCGAGTGGACCATGTTCTCAAAGTGTTGTGGTTGTCTACCTTTTCCTGTTGGGTGACTCCGTGAAGGATGATAAGAAATGGCTTACATTGGGCTGGGCATGGTGACTCATGCCTGTAATCACAGCACTTTGGGAAGCTCAGCTGGGTGCATTTCTTGAGTTCAGGAGTTTGAGACCAGCCTAGACAACATGGTGAAACTCCATTTCTACAAAAAATACAAAAATTAACTGGGCATTATGGCATGTGCCTGTAGTCTCAGCTACTCAAGAGGCTGAGGTGGGAGGATTGCTTAAGCCCAGGAGGTTGAGGCTACAGTGAGCCAGGATCGTGCAACTGCACTCCAGCTTGGGCTTCAGAGCAAGACCTTGTCTAAAAAAAGAAAAAAAAGAAAGAAAAAGAAAATAAATGGTTTGCATTTATTTTCCCTACTCAGAACTCTCTTAGGTCACAGAGGCAGAGGGCATCTGCTAAAACCATTTAAGTGCCACTGAACCAGCAGCTGCCCCCTTGGGGCAAAAATATATTACATGAGGAAGGTAATAGACATACAGAAAAGCCTGGAGGAGAAACTGGGTGAGTGAGATGGGAATATGGGTTTTGAAAAGCTTCCATATCCCTGGGAATCTGTATAGCCTCCTCCATGACCAGTATGTCGCACAGACTCACAAAGCACCTGAGAATGCCCTGTGTTCACACCTCTTGCTAACTTTCAATATCTGCACAAGTAGGAAATGAAGGCCAAAGCAGGATTGTAAACTGCCCAGCAGAGTGTTGAGGGCATGCCCCAAAACACACAGAGAGCCCAGATAAAAAGATTGAATTTTTTTTTCTTATTTCTTTTTGGCTGAAGATGTTTCAGGAAATATCTATCAAATCATGAGTTGACCACTAAGCTTACAGAATAGAGACTTCAGTGATGACACACAATAAAGAATACAGTCTATACAAAAATAGTTTAGAAAACATGATTTTCAAAGTCACCACATGTTAGTATTCAAAATAAAAATGAGGTATGCAATTAAACTAGACAGTAAGACCCATTCTCAAGAAAAAAGAGCAATTGACAGAAACTGTTCCTGAGAAAGGCCATTGAACATACTTACTGGACAAACACTTTGAATTGACTGCTTAAATATGTTCACAGAGCTAAAGGAAACTATGGGCAAAAAACTAAAGGAAATCAGAAGAACTATCTTAACTCAAATAGAGAACATCAATAAAAAGATAGAAAGTTTAAAAAGAAACCAAATAGAAATTTTGGAGCTGAAAAGTGCAATAACTGAAATGAAAAATTTACTAGAGTAATTTTACTATTTTTTACTATATTTTACTAGAGTAAATTTACTATTTACTTTTTTACAAAAGCAACTTTCACTATGCAGAATGAAGAATCGGCAAGCTTAAAGGTAAGACAATTGAAATTATCCAGTTTGAGGTGCAGAAGTAAAAAAAAATTATGAAGAAAAATGAACAGAACTTATGAAAACTGTGAGACAACACCAAGCATATGCATTTTGGGAATCCTCAAAGAAAGGAGAGAGAAAAAGAAGAATGGCTATTTGGAGGAATAATAACTTCAAATCTCCTAAATTTGATGAAAAATATAATTTTACTCATCCAACAAACTTGATACATTTTAAGCAGCAAGAATTTTAAAAGTCCACACTGAGAGACGTTATAATCAACCAGTCTACACCAATGACAAACAGACCATCTTGAAAGCAATAACAGAGAAGGAACTTTTCAGGTACAATGGATCCTCAATAAGATTAACATACAAATTTTCATCAGAAACCATGGGGTTCAGGAGGCGTTGGGATGACAAATTTAAAGCTGAGAAAGTAAAAGGACTATCAACCAAGAATTGTATGTCTGCAAAACTCTCCTTCAGAAATGATGGAGAAATCATGACATTCACAGGTTAAAAAAAGCTGACTGAGATTGTCTCAACCCTACAAGACATATATATATACACACACACATATATATATTTGTAATTCCTCTCTTGTTTTTCCTATTTGATTTAAAAGAAAATGTCCATCGACCAATGAATGGAGAAACAACATATAGTTTTTTCCTACAATAGAATATTATTTGGTCATAAAATGAATAAAGCACTGGTATATGCTAAAACATTGCTGAATCTTGAAAACAAGACAAGTGAAGGAAGCCAGTCACAGGAGGCTACATAACTTATGAGCCCATTTTTGTGAAATATTCATAAGAGGCAAGTCGATAGAGAAAGAAAGTGGATTTGTGGCGACAGGGTCTGCTGGCAGGTGGAAATGGAGGGTGACTGCTTAATGGGTGCAGAGTTCCCCCTGAGGTGATAAAAACACTCTGGAACTAGAGAGTGATGATGGTTACATAACATTGTGAACATACGAATTGTCACTGCATTGTGCACTTTAAATGGTTACGGTGGTATCCTTTGTGTTTATGTGTATTTTACCACAATGAAAAAGAGGCTGAGGAAGATATTCCAAAATCTTTTGTATAGTAAACTCCTGAGTTTGCTTGAGAATCTGCCTATCTGTCTTTTCTTCTCAGGACATCATCTCCTACCCAGAGCACACCTTTGTTCTTCTGCAAGTAGAAAGCCCTCTTTCAGAACATTGTCCAAGATCAGCCAGGCCCAACCCTCAAAATGACTTTCTGTCTTTGACCCAAATGCTCAAATACAACTCTGGGGCTAATTTCAGTGGGAGTAAGAGATTATCCAATCAGGATAATTCATTTGGAGAGAAAATGTTTTGCTTAAGTCAGCAAAGTCCTTTGCTTTCCTAAAAAGGATCCTGCTTACCAGTGAGTACAGACTTTTTGTACATTTGAGGTGGAGTTCTCAGCAGAATAATTAAAGATTCCTGTAGAAACACCACACACATTATGTATAGCTGACTGATTCATCCCTCTGCCACCCCCAATTGAAGGAAGGAGCTGTATTCTTATCTTGGCCCATCCATCAACTGAATGCCGCTGGACATGGAACATTGCAAGTGTGAAGCTTCCAGGGTTCTCAGTTGCTCTTCCTGCTGTTGCGGAGACTCCACTGGTGTGGCTCACATCCAGGCAGGCCTGCAGGAGCTCTTTCCTAATTCTCAAGGCCAACATTTTCAGTGAACCCATACCAAACCCCTAGGTTCTCAGGGACTCAGATTTTCATCTGTGGAAGAAAAGAATCCATCTCACTCTCTCAGGTGTGATGGTAATTATATATAATATAATGTATATATACATAATTATAATTTATATATCTATAAAAGAGATAATCAGTATTCCATAAATTGATGATATTCTTAGTGTTGACTTCATTGCCCAGGTGAACACTGTAACAGAAGGATGAGTCATGGATTGTAGAGGAACAATATTTTTTTTACTCTCTGGAGGAGCCATCAGTAGGCATTTCTGCCATATGGACTTCAAATGAGAAATTTGTTTTAGGTTGAGATTGGAAGGAGATCTGAACTTCTTTTTATTATTATTATTTTAAATATGAGGTCTCACTATGATCTCCAGGCTGGAGAGCAGTGACTATTCACAGGTGTGACCATAGCCTCAAATTTGTGAGCTCGAGCCATTCTCCTATCTCAGCCTCCTGAGTAGCTGGGACTACAGGTGCCCACCACAGTGTTCAGCCACTTTTCATTGTTATTTTACTTCAAATGTTTTATTTTGAATGTTAAAAATACATGTTTCTACATTAGAAATATGAAAATGTATTTGATTACAGAAGAATTTAAAATGCACATATCAACACGTGGTTGAATTTTAAAGAAAAAAAAATGCAGAGAAGAAAGAAATATCACCCAGGCTTCCCCTCCAAAGAACCACTGCTATCGTATTATTGAAACTTCCTGGACTGCAGTGTGAATGGTCATCCCTGGAGCTATCTTCTGCAGTGGTGCTGATTTCCATTCTTTTGTTTTCTATGTATATATTTTTATATATGCTTTCATTGTAGAAAGTTGCATTCATAAGTTTTGGGGTTTTTTTTAAGATGGAGTCTCACTCTGTCCCCCAGGGGCTGGAGTGCAGTGGCATGATCTCGGCTCACTGCAACCTCTGCATCTCGGATGAAAGTGAGTCTTCTGCCTCAGCCCCTCGAGTAGCTGGGATTACAGATGTGCACTACCACGCCTGGCTAATTTTGTGTTTTTAATATAGATGGGGTTACACTTGTTGGCCAGGCTGGTTTTGAACACCTGACCTCAAGTGATCCACCCACCTTGGCCTCCCAGAGTGGTTGTGGGTTATTTTGAAGTTGCTTTTTGAATGTATTATTATGAAAGTAGTTTTCCATGTCATAAAGTCTGCATAAAATTTACACACTTCTAGAAGCTGCATCCCATCTCAAACAAGGAGAAGTCAGCAGGGTTCTTTTAGATCCATGTGCTTTCATCTTGTCTTTTGGTAAAGAATATTTTGACAAGCATGTTTGTACATGAAGATTCTTCTATGGTTGTGATTTTAAAAATTCATAGAACACTCAGGATGGACATGGTGGCTCATGCCTGTACTTCCAGCACTTTGGGAGGCTCAGGCTGGCAGATTGCTTGAGCCCCTGAGTTTGTGACCAGCCTAGGCAACATAGAGAAACCCTGTCTCTACAAAAAATTCAAAAGAATTAGCTGGGCTTGGTGGCACATGCCTGTAGTCCCAGCTACTTGGGTGTCTGAGGTGGGAGGGTTGCTTAAGCCTGGAAGATTCAGGCTGCAGTGAGCCATGAACAACACTGCACTCCAGCCAGCAAGCCCAGTCTCAAAAAAATAAATTATAGACTACTCAAATTGTAAGTATTAAACCAGTGTCTGTGAGAGTTTTTCTGGAAGGGATGTGAGTGGGTGGACTGGTGGGGAAGATCCTCTCTCACTGTGGGCAGCCACAGTCCAATCACCTAGTGGCCCAGATAGAACAGAAAGGTAGATAGAAGTAAAATTTCTCTCTGTCTCTGTCTCTCTGTCTCTCTCTGTCTCTGTCTCTGTCTCTCTCTCTGGAACTGGGGCTGGGACACCCTTCTTCTCCTGCCTTGGACATCAAAACTCCAGGTTCGATGATCTTTGGACTCTGACTTTTGCACCAGTGAGCCCCTTTATCCTCCTGTTCTGTATTCTGGGTCCTCAGGGCTTTGACTTTGGACTGAGCCACACTACTGGCTTTTCTAGTTCTCCAGCTTCCAGACAGTCTATCATGGGACTTCTCAGCCTCCATAATTGTGTGAGCCAATTAGCCCAATAAATCACCTATCTATCTGTCTGTCTGTCTGTCTATCTATCATCTAACATCTATCTATCATCTATCTATCTATTATCTATCTATCTATCATCTATCTACCTATGCTATTGGTTCTTTCTTTCTTGGTAACCTTAATAAATCAACAGACAATAAACAAATAAAACCTGTCACAGTATCACTGATAATTGCCATTAAGAAAAATATGCTTGGGTTAGAAGATTGGTGGCAGTGGTGGGAATGGCAGGGGATAGATTTCAGAAGAGGTCACTGGACAAGACATTTCTGAACACTTGACCATGGGACATTTGAGCAGGGACCTTAATGGTGTGAGGAGTGAGCCATGTGGATCACTGGGCAGCACATGCATGTGGGAGTCACAGCAGGGGCAGGTGGTGGAGACAGGGTGGAGTAGACAAGAAACTGGTGTGAGTGGAGAAGAGTGAGCTAGGCTGAGAGTAATGGGATGAGGCCAAAGTGGCCAGAGGGGACCCTGTGATAAGGAGTGCATAGGAAATGGTGGGAAACTGGGGTTTCCTTGTGCCTAAGAAGGGAAGGAGCTGGAGCGTTCATAGGATATGCTCTAATTCCCATTGGAAAGGCACGCTCTCTCTGTTGTGTGGGTGATGGACAGTGGGCATGAGAGTCAGCAGGCAGCCCAGCTGGAAGGCCCTTCCGGTTTTCTATCCTAGTGATGATGGTTCTGGGGTGGAGGTGGCAGAGGAGTGAGAAGTGATTGGATTTGGTGTTGATATATATTTTTTAAATTGTGGTAAAACACACATACTATACGATTTACCTTCTAAAAATTTTTTTCAGTGTACAATTCATTGGCATTAAGCACATTTACAATTGATGGTGGTTACACAAACACCAACATGCATTTTCAGAACATTTTCATCATCCCAACAGAGACTGTACCCATTAAATGACAGCTGCCCATTGTTCCTGCCCTCAGCCCCTGGTAACCTGTATTCTACTTTCTGTTTTTGTGAATTTGCTTATTCTAGGTGCCTCATATAAGAGAAATATCATATTTGTCTTTTTTCTGGCTTATTTTATTTAGCGTGTTTTCAAGGTTCCATCCAATCCAAATATTCTTCACTTTTAAGGCTGATTAATATTCCATGTGTATATGCACCACATTTTGTTTTTCCAATCATCCTCTGATGGACACTTGGGTTGCGTCCACCTTTTGGCTATTGGGAATAGCACTGCTATGAGCATGACTGTACAATTATCTGTGTGCATACCTGCTTTCAATTTTTGGGGGGTATACACCCAAAAGTGGAATTGTTGCTTCATATGGAAATTCTATGTTTACCTTCTTGAGAAAGCATCATCCTGTTTCCATGGTGGCTGCACTGTTGTTCACTCTCAGCAGCAGTGCACAAGCATTCCATTTTCTCCACATCCTCACCAACACCTGGACTAGTGAAGCTGAGCATATTTTCATGTCCTTATTGGAATTCCTTATTTTTATGTCCTTACTGTGTATCTTCTCTGGAGAATTGTCTATTCATGTCTTTTACCCATTTTTGAATGAGATTGTTTTGCTATTGTTAAGTTGTAGTTCTGTATGTAGTCTGGATATTAATTCTTTATCAGATATGTGATTGGCAAATATTTTATCTTATTCTATGCAGTTTCTTTTATTTTTACTGTCTTTTTTTGTTTGTTTGTTTGTTTTTTTGAGACGGAGTCTCTCTCTGATGCCCCGGCTGGAGTGCAATGGTGCAATCTCAGCTCATTGCAACCTCTGCCTCCCAGGTTCAAGCGATTCTCCTGCCTCAGCCTCCCGAGTAGCTGGGATTACAGGTGCCCACCACTGCGCCCGGCTAATTTTTGTATTTTTAGTAGAGACAGGGTTTTGCCATGTTGGCCAGGCTGATTTCGAACTCCTGACCTCAGGTGATCCACCCACTTTGGCCTCCCAAAGTGCTGGGATTACAGGCGTGAGCCACTGCGCCTAGCCTCTTTTCACCTCTTAATAGCGTCCTTTGATGCAAAAAAAGTTTTTACATTTTGATGAAGTCTTATTTGTCATTTTCCTTTTATTGCTTGTACTTTTGGTCACCAGCCAAGAAACGACTACCAATTCTAATGACCATAAGACTTTCCCTCAGTATTTTCTTTTAAGAGTTTTACAGGTTTAACTCTTAAGATTAGTTCTTTAAGGCATTCTGACTTAATTTTTGAAAAGGGTGTAATGGAAGGGCATAAATTTTGTCCAGCATCATTCTTTTGCATGTGGATATCCAGGTTTCCAGCACCATTTGTTGATGCACCATCTGTTGCAGTGGGGCTGACACATTTGTAAGATGCAATGAGCACGAATACATGGGAGCACCATGAATTTATTTACATGTCTTTACTTCACAGTTGTTTTGAGGAGGCTTTCACTGAGAAACCTAACAGAAATGAATATATATGACTTCCTATAAAATGAAATTTAAGTAAAATTATACTTTTTAAAATGTTAAGACTGGAGCAAGACTGGAACATCACCAGACAAACAGAAACATAGGCTGAAATGAAGGGTTTATGTTTATCTTGCTACAAATTCTGTTGGCCCACAATCTCTTATGCTTATTGCATAAGAGAGCCACAGATTGGGGTGATAGCTCAAATAACCAGTCCCTGGTTTTCTGCTTCAGAAACAAGTTTAAATTCTCTGCTTAGACAAAGTAAAGAAAATAATTGAAAGATGTTGAATGTGAAGTTGGCATCTACAAAGTCAAAGAAGTGAGTAGTAAATGTAAACATCAGGAATCCAAGGAGATTCTATCTTTTTACACAGAAATGGCCTCACTATGCACTGCTGAAGGGAGAAGGTCCCTCCAGGAGACCTTCATGATGAGGAAAAACCCAATATGATGTAGGGGTTTTCTGCTGCAGCCCTAAATTGAATTGTCCTTCGCTCTAAATACAGGTCTCACAAAGTTTTATGTCTTCAATGATTTCACCTGGGCCGAGATTTTGTTTTGTTTTTGATGTTGTTTGTTTTGAGCTGCTGCCTGGGGCTTAGAAAAGTGACTTGGATATTTTGCCAAAGTTGTATTTCTTTGATGGAATTCGAAATCCATGAACACTCTGCTTTCCTGCTGTATCCCCAGAGCGGGTTGAGTACCTTGCACTTCTTTTCAGCACTTCCCTAGAAGTGGTAGAAGATTTGGAGTTAGGGCCTCCCTCAATCTCTGCCCTTTCTTTAATTCAGAGGATCACAAACTGTTGGGGGAAGAGTGGTATCTTGGGCCCCCAGTTGATCGGATGAATATTAATATCCAATGTCCTGTAATGAAGTCATGTGTGCATGTAACATCACTTCTGCACGCAGTGTCATGGGAAAGTGGGTTCGCGGACCCCAGGTTAAAAGCCTAAGCACTAAAGGCACAGAGCTAGAGCTCTAGGAGGGGCGGGATGGCTGGGGTGGAACGTCATCTTGTCCTTTAGTCCTGGGGCATTTTCACTCCTCACATGGTGGGTGCTGGGCATCTGGCAGGTACTGATGTTTATGGAGTCGAGGGAGGGTACTGGCCGGAACTGGGAAAAACAGGGTTGGGGAGATAATTAAGGTGAACATTATTTTTTCTGAGTGTAAGTCATGGCTTGAAATCTGGAGAGCCTGAAGGAGATCCCGCTACCTAAACCCGTTTTCCTTTTCCCTCAAGCCTCATTTGGCCACAGGCCCAGTGTCAACACCAGGGGGCGCCCACAGACCATGAAGGCACCGCGCAGCTGGGATTGTTTGTGGTGGGCTCCAGGTCCCTGACTTAACCAGGGAAGCCAAGACCCTGCAGCCAGGTGGCCTGGATTCAACCTTCAGCTCTGGTCCTACTGACACTTTTCTTCCTGGTGCCTCAGTTTCTTAATCTGTGAAATGGTGAGGACATTACAGCACTTACCTCTCGGGCGGGTTTCTCAACAGCAGCCCTATTAAGAATTTGGAACAGAGAATCCCTTGTGGTCTGTCCTGTGCATTGTGGGAGGTTTGCCAGCAGCACCCCACTCACCCCCTCCCACCAATCCCCACGTGACAACCGAAAATGTCCCAGGATTTTTAGGTCTCCCTTGGGTCTAGAGCTGCATTTAGTCAAGCATTTTCCCACCTGACATTTGAGCTCATCTCTGCTTTGGTCCACATAAGGCCACTTTAAAAAGATGTTGTTTCTTTAAAGATTCTAACCATCTTTTAAACAAATCTATTTTCTTCCTTTATTTCTGCATTCAGTTAATCCTTCCAAACCCTTGGTTTAGTATATCTCAAAATGTATCAACTCCAGTTCTAGTAATTAACATATGTGACTTGCATGATATCTGCTATGACCCCTAGTAGAGTTCTGATTCCTTTAGCACAGGGAATGTGTTCTCGATTCTGCTCTGGATGATGTAAATCAATTTATTTTACTTTACTTGTCTGGGATGTTGCTCCTCACCTGTAAAATGTAAATGTGGATATGGCTTGGATTACTAAGTGGTTTTATTTCTTCATTCACCTGACATTTGTTGTGTACCTGCTGCAAGTCAAATACATGGCATGGTATTGTTTCCTTGTTCACACCACAGCAAATGAGAAAATGAGACATTATAGCCAGGTGTGGCGGCACAGGCTTCTCGTCCTAGCTACTCAGAAGGCTGAGGCAGGAGAATTGCTTCAGCCCAGGAGTTTGAGGTTACAGTAAGGTCTGATATCACCATTGCATTTCAACCTGGGCAACAGACCCTGTCTCTGAAAAAAAGGAAAAAGACACTGTGAGCTGTCTACATGTACTCTATGTCTCAGGAGACTCATGTGCTGTAATTTTTCTAAATGGCATCTCCATGTGGTCTTTCATGAATGTTTGTCTGGTATTTCTTTTCTATCTTTTTACTTTCAACTTTTCTGTACCTTCTACTGAAATTATGGCTTTTGTAAATAGCCTACGGTTATTTATTTATTTACTTATTTATTTTTATCCCTCTGCACTATTTGTCTTGTAATTGGAGTGTCTGAGTCCATTACGTTTAATGTCATTGTTGACCTCGTTGGGTTTAAGTCTGTCCATTTTCATTTACTGCCTTCTAATATTATCTTTCTTGCTCAACTATTTTTCTTCTGTTGCCTTCTTTAGATGAATAAAAAACTTTGCATTATTGTGGTCTTCTCAGTAAGTGTTCTAGTTACAAATTCTCTTATTATTTCTTTAATTATCTGAGAAAGCACAATAATCTGTGACTTATTATAACCAACAGCAGACCATAACTTCCCTGACTTTCACCTACCTGTGCAGACAGCACAGGGGAGAATCAATGCTCTGGCTCTGAGACACAGGGGTGGTGGAAGTAGGATAGTGATTGGATGATGAATCTGTAGCTGCAGAGGCATCTGGGCCCCTCACCTTCATTCCTCGTAGATGTCACCTCCACTGGATGCCTGCAATGCCCTCTCCTCTGTATGCTCCTGCCAGAGTCTCCCCATCTCCACTGACAGCAGCTCCACCCTTCTGCTCACTCAGTCCAATACTGTGGGTGTCCTTGATTCTTCTTTCTCACACCACAGATAAATCCATTAGCAAGTGCTGTGAATTCATCCAGAATCCCATCACTTCCCACTATTTCCCCTGCTCACACCCCAGTCAAGGTAAGCGACGTCTCCATCCTGGAATACTGCACTCCTTTCCCACCGTTTTCCCCACTGCCTCACTAGTCCCCCACCTCTCAATTCTGTTCTCAGCACAGCAGCCAGAGAGAAGCTTTCAAAGGATAAGTCCTACCATGTCCCACTTTCCAAAACTGTCCTCTAACTCCCCATGTCATTCAGAGCAAAGGTCAACATCCTTCCCACACCCTCCAGGGCAACCTGCTCTGGGCACACCTCTGACTTCATTTCAGTTTCTCTCTGTTCAACACTTCTGGCCTCTTCCTCCTTCCAGGAACACAGACAATTTCCTGCCCTAGTGCATCTGCACTGAAGGTTTCCCTGCCTGAAAAGAACTTTCTGAGACATCCGTGTAGACAACTCCTCACATCCCTCAAATCTTTACTCCAAGGTCACATTTGCAACAAGGCCCATGCTGACCACCCAGCACAACAGCCACCTCCCTGTACCCACAGCCCACCCTCTGGATCACCTGCCACACAGCACTTGCCACCTTCTAACTCAAGCATTTTCTGTTCCTACTCTGCTTATACTATATCATCTGCCTGCAGAGGTGTCCAATCTTTTGGCTTCCCTGGGTCACATAGGAAGAAGAATTGTCTTGAGCCACACAAAAAATACACTAATGACAGCTGATGAGCAGAAAAAAATAGAAAAAAGAAAAAAAAATGCATGGATAATTTTCATGATATCTGCCACTACAGATAAGCAAAAAAATCATCACATTCTAAAGCTGTCCTGGGCCACATGCATCCCGAGATCTGCAGGTTGGACAAGCTTGCATCTAGAATGTATACACGACAAGGCCAGAAATTTTTCTGTTTTTACTTTAACGATGTTTTCTAAATGCAAAAACAGTCAAATACCTAACAGACAACAAATGCCACTTGAATGGATGATTACTGTAGTGCGCCCCCCTATTCTAAAGGCAATATCTTTATTAATGTAGACTCAGGCCAAATGTCATTTTGTAGCCGCTGTGGAACAATATTATCTCATGTGGATATAAATGCACCAGTGCTTTTCTCACCAGGGCTGCTTTTGTGTCCTCCCTCCCTCCCTCCTCCCACACCAATCCTCCTGCACACTGCAGCACACAACCATATTTGTCTCTTCAGGAAAGATAACCCAAGGCTTATGGCTCCAATTATCCAACCACATATGAATCTAAATTAGACTCTGCTTTACAAATCCATGAGTTTGGTTTGGAGCCAGCAATAGGATTACTACAACTCAGGGCAGGAAGAAGAGTAGGAGAGAGAGCAGAAGAGGAGTTCCAACAGAAAGTAAACTACAATGAAAAACTCTGGGACCTCTCCTCTCGGGAAGTTTCAGAATCTGCTTCCTTTAAGAAGGTTGGGGAAGCCAGGCATGGTGGCTTACACCTGTAATCCCAGCACTTTGGGAGGCAGAGGCGGGCAGATCACAAGGTCAGGAGATCAAGACCATCCTGGCTAACATGGTGAAATCCCGTCTTTACTAAAAATACAAAAAATTAGCTGGGTATCGTGGCATGTGCCTGTACTCCCAGTTACTAGGGAGGCTGAGACAGGAGGATTGCTTGAACCCGGGAGGTGGAGGTTGCAATGAGTCGAGATTGCACCACTGCACTCCAGCCTGAGTGAGACTCCATCTCAAAAAAAAAAAAAAAAAAAAAAAAAAAAAGATGGAAAATACAATTGAAAGAGACCTGGAAGGAGGGGAAGAGGTGTAGGGGTCTGAAAATTTTTCTTCTGATAACACAGGAACTTCTAAGTGTAGGGACCACCCTAGGTGATATCCAAGTCTATGTGATCACAGGTCCTGGTGGGACAAGGTTCTACTGAAGGGCCAAGGACAATGGAGCAGCAAAGATGACCCAGCTGAGCAGTGACCACATAAAGTTCATGGTGGCCTGAGCACCCACTGGGCGCAGCCCCATCTACTCTCCTCTCCTGCAACAAATCAGCACAAGAAACACGTGTACTGTGGAAAGTTCTCATGTCTTCCATTTATTTTGTCTCTCAAATTTCAGGAATCTTCTCCTTTAATTAACCCATCAATCTCTCTTGGAAATAATTTGAAAAACTAAATTTATACTCAGATTCTAATTTTAATACAGAAGTAAGTTATAGCTCAGTGCACCACAAATTTGAGACAGAGACGGAGACATCCCAGCCCCTTTTCTGGAACAGGAAAGGTGATTGGGGAAGGAATGCAGTTCAGCATGAGGAAGAGGGTCATGGTGGGCACAGGGGTGGGCTGGTCTCTGCAGAAAGAGAAGTCAGGGTTCTTGAAGTCACAAAGGGAAGGCATGAACAAATCTTGCCACTCAGTCCCACACAGGGCAGCTGTTTCACACTACAGAAAAATATTCATGAACAAATTCATATCAGTCACAGTGAGGGGTGACACTTTAAACAGCCCATCACATGCTCAATACATTCAAGTCAAAGAAACCTCATAGCACAGCTATGTCCACTGTTCCCCTCAACAACCCACACACATCAGGCCCCCCGGGGTGTCACATTTACAAGCCGTGAGAGACACATTAGAGCCCTGGGCACTGTCACTGCCTAGAGTAGAACAAAAACAGCACCTGGTCAGAGACCACAGGAGATGTGGCCAGAGGAGGAATTGTGGGGTGGGTGAGCTCCCCCATGGGCTCCCAAACACAAGATCCCAAGGATCTCAGGGATCAGCCTCCTTCATACTTACTTGCAGCCTGAGAGTAGCTCCCTCCTTTTCAATCTGTGGGAAGAAAATGTCCTGTGAGAGGCCAGAAAGGTGGCAGGGCCATGAGGTCCTAGAGGAACCTCCTAGTCTTGGACCCTCGAGAAGTTTCCAGAAATGTGTGACTGCAGACTCAGGGCGGGATCAGGAAAAACAAGGAAAGCAGATGTGGGTCCTCGACCAACTGCCCTCCTAAGGTCTGTCCTTAGCCAGGGACCTTCCCCTGACCTGTGATTACTAGGATCAGGTCCCCATCACTACAATCATCAAGGTGATAAATCTGTCCTTCATTGTCACAGGTGCTTTACAAAAGAGAAGGTGCTGGCACACAGGGCCCAGGCTGGGTAGGCCCATGAGTGTGGATGGTGCTTCCCAGTAACCAGGCAGGGCGCACTTCTACCTGGGGCTTGAAACCCCCAGTGGGACAAGAAAACTCAGACCCCACTTGTCACCCCTTCCTTACCTGAGCTCTTCTTCCTCCACAGCACAGCAGCGACCGCAGCTCCAGTGACTACAGCTGCAAGGACAACCAGGCCAGCAACGATACCCATGATGGGGATGGTGGGCAGGGAAGACTGCTCTGGGAAAGGAGGTGAAGGTGAGGGTCTCTGACCCCCAGGCCTCACCACCGACCCTGTTAAAGGTCTTCAGAGAGGCTCCTGCTTTCCCTAACAGACATGATGCCTCCATCTCCCTCCTTACTCCATCTCAGCATGAGGGGCTCCGGCAGCCCCTCATGCTGCACATGGCACGTGTATCTCTGCTCCTCTCCAGAAGGCACCACCACAGCTGCCCACTTCTGGAAGGTTCCATCCCCTGCAGGCCTGGTCTCCACGAGCTCCACGTCCTGGGTCTGGTCCTCCCCATCCCGCTGCCAGGTCAGTATGATCTCCGCAGGGTAGAAGCCCAGGGCCCAGCACCTCAGGGTGGCCTCATAGTCAAAGACAGGGTGGTGGGTCACGTGTGTCTTGGGGGGGTCTGAAAGGAAGAGTCAGAAAACTCAAGCACTTTGCATCTCTCATGGGACACTCCAGCAGCACCTGGATGTGACCATCCTAAGAATGAACCAGATACCTGGGGTGGGGAAGGGAGCACAGAACCCAGACACCAGCCTGGACACGGGCACCTGGGATAATCTCCTATTCCTTGGAAAGTTCTAGTCTCTGAGCGGGGGAGCAGGGACCTCTGGTTCTGACCTGAGTGGAGGCCAAGGGACTCAGAGGAGCTGGAGTCAGACTCCCACACACATTGAGTGTGAGGCAGAGAACAAGGCCTGAGGGGAAAAGTCCTGGTGCCAAGGCTGCTGTGGGGTCAAAGGGAACCCCTGATCAGTCCTCCAGGGATTGTCTTCCCCTCCACTCCCTCAGAGACTTCATCCCTTAATTGTCCCAGAGAGCAGGACGGGCCCTCAGAATCACTCTCTGGTACAGGATCTGGAAACCCAGGAGGATTCCTCTCCCTCAGGACCAGAGGGAGGGCGATATTCTGGTGTTGGTCCCATTTTCCTCCTCTCCTTGTGCTAGGCCAGGCTGGGAGGTCTACAGGAGATCAGGGAGGCGCCCCACTGCCCCTGGTACCCGCGCGCTGCAGCATCTCCTTCCCGTTCTCCAGGTATCTGTGGAGCCACTCCACGCACGTGCCCTCCAGGTAGGCTCTCCTTTGTTCAGCCACATTGGCCGCCTCACACTTGCGCTTGGAGATCTGAGCCGCAGTGTCCGCTGCGGTCCAGGAGCGCAGGTCCTCGTTCAGGGCGAGGTAATCCTTGCCATCGTAGGCATACTGTTCATACCCGCGGAGGAGGCGTCCGTCGGACCCCAGGTCGCAGCCAATCATCCACTGGAGGGTATGAGAACCTGGCCCCACCCCTTCGGTCAGCCCCGCCCACCGAGCCTCGCCCTCGCCCGGACCCACCCGCAGGGATTTTGGTAAAGGCGCCTGGGGTTCTCCCAGGTAGAGGGTCTGGGCGGGTCCCGCGGCCTCGGGGTGGATCCCAGACCCGGAGACTCGGGAGTACCCGGGGCGTCCGTGGGGCATGGAGGTGGGGGGTCGTGATCTGCGCCCTGGGCCGGGGTTACTCACTGGCCTCGCTCTGGTTGTAGTAGCCGCGCAGGGTCTGCAGGTTCATTCTGTCAGTCTGTGCGTGGGCCTTGGTGTTCCGTGTCTCCTCTTCCCAATACTCTGGCCCCTCCTGCTCCACCCACGGCGCCCGCGGCTCCATCCTCGGACAAGCCGAGTCGCTGTCGAACCGCACGAACTGCGTGTCGTCCACGTAGCCCATGGCGATGAAGCGGGGCTCCCCGCGGCCGGGCCGGGACACGGCGGCGCTGAAATACCTCATGGAGTGGGAGCCTGGGGGCGAGGAGAGGTTGAGACCCGCCCGACCCTCCTCCCGGCGCGGCTGCCGGGTCCTGCGCCCCCGCCGGGCCGGCCCCTCCCTCCTCCGCGCAGGGGCCGTTTCCCTCCTGACCCCGCACTCACCCGCCCAGGTCTCGGTCAGGGTCAGGGCCCCCGAGAGTAGCAGGAAGAGGGTTCGGGGTGCCATGACCACCATCCTTGGCGTCTGGGGAGAATGAGTCCGGGTGGGTGAGCGAGGACTTTAGAACCAGGACCGCGGCGACGCTGATTGGCTTCTCTAAAAACCTGTCACCTAATGGGAGTGAGAACTGGGGCCGCCCGGTGAGTATCCAGGAAGAAGGACCCGACACAGGTTAGGAGAAGGAGGAGAGAATCCCCAACGCGGGGCCTCCCCAATCCATACACCGCCTGTGGGGCCTGAGACCCTGAGAGCCACGCTTGAGGCCCTGGGACTTCGCCCTGACCCCGCTACTCTTGTGCCAAGCGTTCTGTCTCAGTGTCTCCCTGAGTCTTGGCCCAGGAGCTGTCTGAGAAACCAGGGAGAAACCCTCGGCAAGGTCCCTGTCCCTCTCCCTTCACTTTTCATCCCGGAATCCCTGTCCCTGAACTGGACTCCCTGCCTCCCACTCCTTGCCTGTCCTCCTGTACTCTTCTAGAAGAAAAATCACCCCACGGAGCTTGGTGCCAGAGAGTGAGCTCGCCCTGGGATTGTAGGTGTAAAGACAGGGTTTTTTTTCCCCCTTAAATCTGGAAAAGTTGTGCCTGAGTGCATGAGATAGAATAGAGACCAGTTTGCTTTTTGTTTATTAACTATAGTGGGTAGCATAATCTTGGTAACCCCTGAATGATCAGGAATCTAATAGGTAAAAAATGTGACTTTGGCCCGTTGGTATATAAATGCATCTAAAAGCCTTACAACAGGACTCACAAAGCTCTTAAGTTTCACTTTCCCAGACAATGTATCTGTGACTCCCGCTTGTTTTATTTTAAATTTACCTTCATTCCGTAGCCCTAAGTTTCCGTGTGAGTCCAGGACATCTCCTCAAGACAAAGTACCACACTATGTTACTATATGTTGCAACCAGGAGCCAGCACAAACTTTATTCACCTCACAGTTGTAAGTGTTCAGTGCAGTCACAATGCCCCTCACTAGTGCTCATGCACTGCCTGTTTTTAGGAAGTATCCACATGTGAGTGGAGTGTATATTTTTTAGGAATACTTAGTATTTTTTAAACCTGATTAACATAAAAAACAATTAGTTTCTAGGCAGACCCACATAAGATATTAAAGGCCAACTGCAAAGAACACCCAGCGAGGCTCTGTAGATGGATGTAATAAAATCTATAAAACAATGTGTTTAAACCTAAGAGTTCCGCTGCTTTGGAATTCTTTCCTCTGCTCCTTTTCCTCACCTCCTGCTCCTCCAGCCCTTCCCTCCGTCCCTCTCATCCCTCAGGCCCTCTTCTCCCCTTAATCCCCACCACCCTCTCACTCCTGAATTGTGGCTCTAGCACTGTTCCATGACCTGCTACATGAGTGTTCTCTCTATAGTGGTCCTGCTACTATGAGTCAGAGTGTGTCATTTCTCCACCTAAAACACTCCAGTGGCTCCACCTCATTCTTGTGAAGCTTCTAGAATGTCAGGCACTTGAGCATATGAGGGCATACCTGGTTCATTGTAGGGACTAAATTATTTTTTCTTGGCTGAATGAATGAATTATGAGTGTATTAAATTGCATCACAGAAAATTATAAAATGTAAAACACTGAAAAAGTTAAAAAAGATTTTATTTTATGTAACTAGTGTGCGTATCAATTCATCAGTTCATTCCAGGAGTCTTTTGAGTCTGTGTATGAATTTTATAAGACTGGGTAACAAATTGTCACAAACATTGGCTTTAAACAGCACCCATTTATTGTATTCATTGATTTATTTTTAGATACAGAGTCTCCCTCTGTCATCCAGGATGAAGTGCAGTCACATGATCATGGCTCACTGCAGCCTCAAATTCCTGGGCTCAAGGGACCCTCCTACCTCAGTCTTCAGAGTAGCTAGGACTGCAGGCAAGTGCCACCATGCCCAGCTAATTAAAGAGAAATGTAGAGACGAGTGTCTCACTATATTATCCTAGCTGGTCTCAAAGTCCTGGCTGCAAGTGTTCCTCCTGTGTCAGCTCCTCAAATGTTCGGATACAGGTGTGCACTACCACGCCTGGCCAAATAACACCCATTTGTTGTTTATAGTTTCTTAATCAGAAATCTGGGCATGATGTGGATGGAATCTCTGTTCCGGTCTTCCTAAACCTGTGTTTTCATTTTGAATCCTCCTTCAGGCTTATACAGAGGTGGCAGAATGCAGTTTCTGGCAGTTGTAAGACTGAGGTCCCTGTTCCTCACTGGCTGTCACTGTAGAGAACAGGGAGGGCTGCACTTAATGCATGGTGCCCACCAGCGTTCTTTCCTACACAGCCCCTTCATTTTCAAAGCCCACAGTGGAGGAAACCCCTATGCTGAATCCCTCTCACACTGTGAATCTCTATGCTCAGGAAGAACCCAGTCCTTTCAAGGACTCTCCTTATTAGGACAGTCCAAGCAGGATAAACTCAGCCTAAAGTCAACTAATTGAGGCCCTTAATTATATCTGCTAAATCCCTTCACAGCAGCACCTACATTAGAGTTGGTTGAATAACTGGGGGAAGGTGAATGACCAGGAGCTGGTTGTTGGGAGCCATGATAGAATCAGCCCAGGAAGGGCTGGATCTTCCTTTTGTGTTTAATTTGGACACAGTTGGAAACTGAAGTTCAAGTAAAGTGATCATTATGAATAGTAATAAAATACATCCTCTTCAGCCGTGGAACTTCTCCTTTCCTTTTAAAACTAAGTTACATGTTTAATATCTTATAGTTAATTTAGACCAGGTGTGGTGGCTCACGCCTGCAATCCTAGCACTGTTGAAGGCAGAGGAAGGCAGATTTGACTCCAGAAGTTCAAGATCAGCCTGGGCAACATGGTGAAACCCCCATCTCTACAAAAAAATTAGAAAATTAGCCAGGCATGTTAATTCATGCCTATAGTCCCAGCTACTCAAGAGGCTGAGATCAGAGGATCCCTTGAGCCCAGGAGGTCGACACTGCAGTGCATGGTGATCATGCCACTGCACTCCAGCCTGGGTGACAGAGCAAGACCCTGTCTCAAAAATAGTAATATGATGATGATAAATTTAGAGCAAATGCAAATTAACGTGTAATAATACATCCTCTCTTGTGAAAATGTATTAGTTATTTACTATTGTGTAACAAATTATGTAAAACTTAGCAGCTCAAAACAGCAAATATTCATCATCTCCCACAGTTTCTAATGGTCAGGAATCCGGGAGCGGTTTTCCTGAGTGCTTCTGGCTCAGGGCCTCTCACAAGGTTGCAGTCCAGTTGTCAGCCTAGGGCTGCATCGTCTGAGGGCTTCACTGGGGCTGAGGATTCACATGAAACATGGCTTAGTCACATGGCTGTTGGAAAAGCCTAGTTCCTTGCTGTCTGGTCCCAGGGGACCTCAGTTCTTAGCCACATGGACCTTCCTGCAGGGCTGCTTATGGCACAGCAGCTGGGTCCCCAAGAGCTCATGATCCCAGAGACAGAGAGAGAGAAGGTGGAAGCCATAGTGAGTTTCACATTCTACACCCAGAGTCACAAACTGTTATGTCAGCATTACTCTATCAGTTAGAAGTTGTATTAGTCTGTTCTCACACTGCTATAAAGAAATACCTGAGACTGGGTAATTTATAAAGGCAAGAGGTTTAGTTGACTCGCAATTGTGCATGGCTGAGGAGGCTGCCCCAGGAAACTTACAATCATGGCAGAAGGGGAAGCAAACGTGTCATTCTTCACATGGTGGCAGGAGAGAAAAATGCAGAGTGAAGTGGGGAAAATCCCCTTATATGGTACATATACACCATGGATATTATGCAGCCATAAAAAGGAATGAGATCAAGTCCTTTGCAGGGATATGGATGAAGCTGGAAGCCATTATCCTCAGCAAGCTAACACAGGAACAGGAAACCAAACACCACATGTTCTCACTTATAACTGGGAGCTGAGCAATGAGAACACATGGACACAGGGAGAGGAACATCACACACTGGAGCCTATTATGGGAGGGCAGTGCTGAGGGGAGCATTAGGAAAAATAGGTTCAACCGCTGACTTCCACAGCTTGGGGGAATCATCCCCATGATTCGATCACCTCCCATGAAGTCCCGCCGCCAATATGTGGGGATCAGAATTCGCATGACAATTCAAAATGAGATTTGGGTGGGAACACAGAGATAGGCCATATCAGAAGTGCATCATTAAGTCCAAGCCACACTTAAGAGAGGGAATTAAGCTGCACCTCTGAAAGAGAGCTGTACTAAAGGACTTACGTATATGTTAAAAGCAAAATTAAAACTATTGTTTCAGGATTTTGTAAATCAAAGACTTCTTTTATCTAATTATTTTTCTTTAATGCTTTAAGCTTATCTTTTAATTTAATTTAATTTAATTTAATTTTAAGTTCCAGGGTACATGTGCAGGATGTGCAGGTTTGTTACATAGGTAATCATGTGCCATGGTGGTTGGCTGTACCTATCAACCCATCACCTAGGTGTTAACCCTGGCATTCATTAGCTATTTTTCCTAATGATCCCCCCATCACTGCCCTCCCCGAACAGGCCCCATTGTGTGTTTTTCCTCTCCCTGGTTCCATGTATTCTCATTGCTCAGTTCCCAATTATAAGTGAGAACATGCGGTGTTTGGTTTTCTGTTCCTGTGTGAGTTTGCTGAGGATAATGGCTTCCAGCTTCATTCGTATCTCTGCAAAGGACTTGATCTCATTCCTTTTTATGGTTGCATAATATTCCGTGGTGTATATGTACCATATTTTCTTTATCCAGTTCCTCACTGGTGGGCATTTGGGTTGATTCCATGTCTTTGCTATTGTGAATAGTGCTGCAATGAACATACACATGCATATACCTTTATAATAGAATGATTTATATTCCTTTGGGTATATAACCTTTAATGGGATTGCTGGGTCAAATGGTATTTCTGGTTCTAAATCTTTGAGGAATTGCCACACTGTCTTCCACAATGGTTGAACCAATTTACATTTCCACCAACAGTGTAAAAGCCTTCCTATTTCTCTGCAACCTTGCCAGCATCTGTTGTTTCTTGACTTTTAATAATTGCCATTCTGACTGGCATGAGATGGTATCTCATTGTAGTATTGATTTGCATTTTTCTAATGATCAGTGATGTTTAGCTTTTTTTCTTATGTTTATTGGCCACATGTATGTCTTCTTTTGAGAAGTGTCTGTTTAGGTCCTTTGTCCACTTTTTAATGAAGCTTTTTTTTTGGTGTAAATTTGCTTAAGTTCTTTGTAGCTTCTGAATATGAGACCTTTGTCAGGTGGACAGACTGCAAAAATTTTCTCCCATTCTGGGAGAAATGTCTGTTCACTCTGATAATAGTTTCTTTCACTCTACAGAAGCTCTTTTGTTTAATTAGATCCCATTTGTCAATTTTTGCTTTTGTGGCAGTTGCTTTTGGCATTTTCATCATAAAATCTTTGCCCATCCCTATGTCCTGATTGGTATTGCCTAGATTTTCTTCCAGGGTTTTTATAGTTTTGGGATTTACATTTAAGTCTTTAATCCATCTTAAGTTAATTTTTGGGCAAGGTGTAAGGAAGGAGTCCAGTTTCAATTTTCTGCAGATTGCTAGCCAGTTCTCCCAGCACCATTTGTTAAATAGGGAATCCTTTGCCCATTGCTTATTTTTGTCAGGCTCATTGAAGATCACAGGGTTTTAGATGTGTGGTCTTATTTCTGAGTTCTCTATTCTGTTCCATTGGTCTATGTGCCTGTTTTTGTACCAGTACCTTGCTGTTTCAGTTACTGTAGCCTTGTAGTATAGTTTTAAGTCAGGTAGCCTCATGCCTCCAGCTTTGTTCTTTTTGCTTAGGATTCTTCTGGCTATAGGAGCTCTTTTTTGGATCCATATGAATTTTAAAATAGTTTTTTTCTAATTCTATGATAAGCTTCACTTTTTAAATTAATGACTAAAAGTTTGAGACATCACAGAGCCTTAGGTGTTGAGGGGAAAACAGTTTGAGGCAGAGAAAGGAGATACAACAGTATCTCTGAGTTTTTCTTGCCAATATCTTTAATAACAGCAATGTTCTCTTCAATGAGTTAACACAGTTGAGAACATAGAATAACTAGATCAAATAGTTCCAAGACTTTAGTGCTATAAAAATAATGCCTTGAAAATAAGTCTTTGTTTTGTCTAAAATGTCTCAAATTTAGGGGAAGTATGCCCCTAGTGCCAGTTTTCTTATTGAAATATCGTCTTCCAAAAAACATTTGCCTACACTTAAAAAAAGAAGTACTGCTCTGTCTCTGGAGTAGCCATCCTTTGTTTCTTTCTCTAATTAACTTGCTTTCACTTAGAAAAATATTGCTTAATCAGATTGCTTTTCATTTACAAAGATGTGAATCTCATACTTCAGTCAACACATCTAGCATGCCAATAACTTCGGTTTGATGCAGTATCACGAAATTGTTAGCTCGAATTGAGAAACTAGTTTTTTCGATAACTGGCTATTCGATCGGCATTCTATAATACACTTAACATCTTTTGTTGTGATATTGAATGATATGTGATAGAAGTGATTTGGACACCACTATGATTCTAAATAGCATGCCATCAGGTGCTTCTGAAGTGGTTTTGTTTGTTTCTTTGTTTTCGCAGTCCTATTGTATTTTCTATTCATATTGCTATTCCATCACTGGTTATTCCTTTCTACTCTTTTCTTGTTTCATTTATTTTGATCAATGATGTGCATTTCCAATTCTGTAAAAGTTTAATTCAGTGGTATGTGTGGTAGAATGTAACATCAAATCCTTTGCAAGATGGAATTACCTTGCACATCAGATTGAAGATTGTATACATGAAAATCTACAGAGATGCCAGTGAGCCAAGGATCAAATGACCTATTTGTAGCCAAAGCCATTTTCATGGCCTCGTGGTCCTCTCTGTCACATGGCTCCTTACAATTCTGTGTGGTTTTGTTCCAATGTAAGTAGTTCTTGTTAAGGATGCTTGCAATGAACTTTGGTATTCTTTTCTCTTTCATTTTTATAAAAACCAAGCATATTTTACTTTGAAAAAATCTATTTAAGGAATTAGGAATTTAAGTCAATTCTTTCAACTCAATGTTTTCAGAACACATCATCAACATCAAGTATTACACATTTATTTTAAAAGTTCCATTTTAAAAGGGAATGGATGATATGTTGTTTGGACTTTAGCCAGCACTGTTGTAAAACACAGAACCTGTAAACTACCCTGGGCTGCTGCCCATTCACATCCCCCAAAAGGAGACTCCACCCTGAGTCTTGTGATTATTATTCCTTTATTTAGATGTGTGGTCTTATTTCTGAGTTCTCTGTTCTGTTCCATTGGTCTATGTGCCTGTTTTTGTACCAGTACCTTGCTGTTTTCATAATATCTATAAAGAAATTATAGAGTTTCTTTAAGGATTTGTGTAATAAGTATAGATATATCCCCAATCCAAATATTAGTTAGTTTTGATGGTTTTTAAGCTTCCAGTACAGCAAATTCCTACTGCATTTATTTTCCCATGATGCACATTACATATAGGAGTTATCTGTGGTGTGGGAGGCTGTCATTCATTCGTTTTTACTGCTGAAGGTTTACATTTTATGGTTATACCATAATTGCACTAGTTTTCTATTGATATATATGTAGCTGATTCCAGTTCTTGCCATAAACATTAGTGTGCATGTCTCCTGGGCACATAGGCAAGAAAGCCCGCAGAGTGTATGATTAGGAGTGGGATGATTGGATGATATGTTGTATGGCCTTTAACCATACTAGATAATAATAATATGATTTCCAAAGTGATTGTGCCAACTTAAACTTATTTATTTATTTATTTATTTATTTATTTATTTATTTTTGAGACGAAGTCTTGCTCTGTTGCCCAGGCTGAACTGCAGTGGTGCTATCTTGGCTGATTGCAACTTCCACCTCCCAGTTCAAGCAATTCTCCTGCCTCAGCCTCCCGAGTAGTTGGGATTACAGGCATGCACCACCACGCCCAGCTAATTTTTGTATTTTTAGTAGAGTCGGGGTATTGGAGGCCGAAAGAATGAGGGTCGTGATCAACTCAGTATACCACTGGAGGCTATATGAGCAAACAGCAAACTGTTCTCATGAAAGCAGGATGTTGGCAAACTGACAAACTGAGTTTGCTGCCAGAAGGAATCACTAGAAGCAAGAAACCCCCGACCCCTTCTTTTAGAACAGATCTTTTTGTCTTTGTCTTTATTTCTGTGTTCATCCCCCTTCATTATATCCCATAGTAACCGATTGCGACAATGGGGTTTTACCATGTTAGCCAGACTGGTCTTGAACTCCTGACCTCAGGTGGTCCACCCACCTCAGCCTACCAAAGTGCTGGGATTACAGGCGTGAACCACCACGCCTGGCCTAAACTTTTGAAATAAGTGCGTAATACTTGATGTTGATGATGTGTTCTGAAAACACTGAGTTGAAGGAATTGAGTTGAAAGCCACTGTCTTGGCTGCAGAATTATAGCAGGCATTTTTATTTAGATTCTGTCAATAACTTTCTGTTGTTTACTTGTTTCTCATATACCGTGGCATTGTACTTTTGACATACAGATTCAGAAAATGCTTACTTATAGCACAATCACATAGGGTTATTTTATATGTTAGGAAATTTTCATAATAAAAAGGAAAAAATGGAGGAAGGGAGGGAAAGAAGGAGGAAGAGAAGAAGGAGTGAAAGAAGAAAAGAAGGAAGGGGAAGGGGAAGAAAAGGGAAGGAAAGCAGAGTAAAAAGGAGGGAAGGCGAGAGGTTGAATGGAAATAGAGAAGAAAGAGAGGGAGGGAGGGACAGAAGGAAGGAGAAAGGGAAGGAACAAAAAAGAAAAGAAACTAAAATAAAGAAAAGAATACACGTTGAGAAACTAGAAACCCTACGTATGGCCAGTGTTATGAAAATGGAAGGAAATAAAGCAGATGTACGTAACCTGTATAGAATAATGGAAATGTAAGAGGGCTTCATTAGTTATCCATTGCCGCATAACAAACTACCCCCAAATTTAGTGATTAAATCAACAAACATTGACGAACTCAAAAACATAATACAAATACCAGCAAAATGGAGCCAACGCAAGTAGAAGAAGTTGAATAAACAAAAGGATTTTACAAATTGGAATAAGAGGACACTGGTGTGCAGATGAAAATGATTTTGTAGTCCAAATCCTCCAAAAAGCAAGTGCCATCATGGGATTAAAGTTACAACATTTTATTAGGGGACATACCTGTCAGACGATATTGTGAGGGAGTCAGGTTACCCTGGGAAAGGCAACAGGCCGAGATGCAAGTGTGACCCCCAGTGATGGACAGAAGGAGAGAAGGTTTACTGGATGTTTCCTAGACCACAGGCAATCTAAGGAGAGTTGAGCAAGGCCATGGAGGAGACCCGGAGCCACCATTGGCCATCAGAGGAGTCCCCTGTCTCCCAGGAATGTCCTGCCTTAGTGTCACTGGTGTGAGCCATCACTGACTGGGAACAGCCCATGGGAAGCAGGGCCTCCATACCAATGCTACTGAGGATGTCAGAGCACAGGAGCAGGGCCTTGGGAGATTACCCAGGAGTGTGACTCAAACCTGCTGCCCAGATGGGTCTGGGTTCTTGGAAATCAAATCCTCTCAAGCTAAATTTCTGGATGATTCTGCTCACACTTACAATGGGGCAAGGGGACCCAGAAGGTTCCCAGGTGGATGTCTGGTTTCCACACACACTTCTGCCCTCATTGTGTGAAAGTAGCCATGCCTCCTCCTGGGGATGAGGGCCTATTACCTGGGCCTGGAGAGAAGGACACTCCTCTTCTCACGATGTGGTCTCTGGGAACATGCTCTCCAAACTTCTCTGGTGACTAAAATAATGTGTAGTTCAATGGGCTCTCTTTTGTCTACTTTTAAGGGTACCCTCCTTTGGAAACCAGGACCTCCTAACCCGCACAGCCCATTGTTGGGAGATAAAAAAGGCAAAATACCTTAGTGGGTGAATCTAAGAGATTGGACATGGAGCCATACCTGCTTCCACCTTTTGATTTCTGGACCCACATGTTCTTCCATTGAGAACACAGCACCATAGAGACATCTCTGATTCAAACAATATACCATGTTCTGAAAGATGGCACTCTCAGAGTGCTTCCTCCAGGCTGGCACTGAGTTGTGCCTATAGAAGACCTGTCCAGCATTCCTTGTGGCTGGTAGCTCCTGGGTGGTGCAGATGGTGATAGGATTAGTGGAACCCACAGCCATGGAAACATTAAAACTTTCCAGGCCAAATGGGTCCTTCAGGCAGAGAATGGGCTAGGAGCACCGCCTAGCCTGCAGATCAGGAATGTCAACAGCACCCGGAGAGTGGTGCTGGCTGAGTGTCAGAGCAAGACAGGAAAACCCACCCATGGAATATGAGCCTATTTCTGTGAAGATGAACCTCTGGCCCTTCCAGGATGGAAGTAGCTAAATGTAGTCACTTGTTACTTAGTGGCTGGTCGCCTAAAGAAATAGTGCCCCACTAGGGCACATCATGGGCTCCAAATGCTGACGAGTTGACATTCAGGAGTGGCAGTAGCTGGATCTACCTTGGTAGGGCTGGGAGAGTCAGTGCTGCTGGCCCCATACATAGCCTCATGCCTGCCACTGTGGTTGCTCCATTCATGCACCCATCCTACCAGGCCTGGGCTGACCCATGGTGAAGGCTGGCTAACTGCCATTTGTCTGTTTGGTTGTTCAGTGCCACATCACACTTGGGTGTTTTCTGTGGGTGTCAACATGGGATTCAAGCTCAACCCAGGTGGACCATTTTCACCTGTTGATGAATGCTGTTGGGCCTGTGCAATTTATGACTTTGTGGGTCACACAGCCACTTGGAACCACATTGTTGTTTGGTGTCTCTTGGTCAAGCATTCTATCAAATCAGGACAAGTAACACTAAATGTTGCTTCTAACAGGGGGCATATGTCTCTGCTGTGGATGACATGATCTTACTCCAGAATCCCAGGCCCTCCATTGTGACTCTCCCACTGGTGCTTGGTTCAGCTCCATCCTGCATCTTTCCCCACCACTGGCACCACCAGCCCCAAGGGGTCTGAGGGATGCTGGCTGCTTGTACCATGGCCTGGATCTGCTGCAGGGTCCTTTCCTGTGTGGGCCCCACATGAAGGTGGCCTCCTCCTATGTCACCTAGAGTGTGGGCCAAAGCAACACACCTAAATGTGGAATGTGGTGTCATCAGAACTCAAAGAGGCTCATCAGGCAGTGTGCTTCCTTCCTTCTGGTGAGGATGCAAGATGAAACAGTTTGTCTTTTACCTTGGAGGGGACACACCTACATTCCCCTAAACACTTGGCACTTGTTCACCCATAAAACTTCACTTCAGTGGCCACTCTTGAAGCTCTGTAAGGTTTACCTTCACCTTCTGGAGTGTGCTTGTTTTGCCAAGGACTCCAGTGCACTTTCTACCTGCTGCTCATCCACCCCAGTAAACATGAAATTGTCAATGAAATGAGCTGATTTAATATCCTATAGGATATCCAGTATGTCTAGTGTAGTCTTAAGACTATATACTATAGCGGGCAGAGGAGTTACAATAGCCCTGAGGCAAATGATAAATAAATGTGTTGTGGATCCCACATGAATGTGAATCATTCCATATCCCCTTTCTAATTGGAGTGGAAAGGAATGCACTCACCAAGTCTGCAGCTGCACACTGTGGGCCCAAGGATTTATTAATCTGCTCTACCAGTGATATCCAGACAACATAAAAGCTGCAATTATAACTCCTACTTGGCCATACCTAGAGTAATCTCATTCATTCTTTAGGCATCATCAGGCTCCCTCAGGGACAGTTTGCTGGATTACGTAGAGACGATAGACAGCCCCAACACCACCCCACATCCTTCAGCTCTCTCATGGTGATGTGACCCCCACAGTACTTTCAGTGCCTTCCACAAGACACATGAGGTTGCCTGGTTGCTGTGGTGCCCGCTTTCCACCCCACCCTCCCGTACCCCCATGTCACTTTCATTGTGTCCTGAATAACAGTTTCAAGTTTGTCTATGGCTTCTGTGAGGAGCCAGGACATCCAGATAGAATGGGCCACATGAATCAATTGGTACGTGTTTCTCCTTTCAGGCAGAGTCTCACTCACTTCACACAAGCACAGAGATCCCCATATAGGCAACTAGATTATGAGAAACAAACGCACCCATCCAAACCCAAAGAATGGACTCTGAGACCCAGAGAACAGCAAAAGTGAGAGTGTTAGTGATGGTTTTGCAATATTGGGTGTCTGGAATGCAGGCACACCAGGGAGAGTTTCAACAATTTATTCCCTAGTGCGCAACTCCCTCCCCCAGTTGCTCATTAGCTGAGTACCAAGGACTTACGATCTTCCCGGATGTCACCTATTGGTAGTTTAAGACTTCAAGTATGTTCCTTAGGGTTTTTTTTTTTTTTTTTTTTGCTGCATTTTGTTGCAGCCCATAATGCATTGTGATTGTCTCAGGACTCTTTAAACATTTGACTTATGTCCCTAATGGCTGCACTTAGTTGATAAGAAAGGGTACAATTATCTATGTTGCAAGCTAGCCTAAACTACATTTTTTGGTGAGGTGGGGAAGGGGTCGTTGAGGGGGCCCCAACCGATAGGTGCCTGGCCAGTGCATGAAAGGGAAAGCAAGAAGTAGGGGGGATGGTGGCTTAGTACATTTTCCTTCTTTATCTCTTTATGACCATGTGGCCTGCTTAAACCTATACTAAGGCACATAGAATTGAAAATGAACCATCACATGTAGGTTATTTTTTACACCCTTAAGTCCTGCCCAAGCCAGGGCTGGGCCAAGGCCCTCGAACATCCAGCTGTGGCCTCCTCCTGCTGCAGGTGAGGAGTGGGCAGCAGGGAGGGCCGTGGTGCCTGCTTTGTCCCCATCCCGGTCTCTGTCTCTCAGGCTTACCAGGTCGCATCCAGGTGGGTGAGTTGGGAATTGCGTGCTGATTGCTGAGGGCCTGGATGATCACTATCTCAGAGGGAGCAAATAGTAAAGGCAGATGTGATCTAGGGAGGGCTAGAAACTGGAGAGGAATCCAAGGAGAGGTGGTGCCTCTAGTCCCTTCCTCTCTGCATCCCCCTCCCCTGTTTCTCCAGCCATCAGGAGGACATCAAGAAAAAGACCCACGAGGCCCAGAATGAGGGCCCCCATGTGTACAGCCCCTTTGAGGTCCCCTTGTAACAGGGAGAGTCCTGAGTGCACATGGCCATCCTCTGTCCACTTTGCAGCTCCCCATATGCCTCATCTGGGAGCTGTCTCAGGGGTGTCACGTCCTCTGGGTCCCTCGAGACCGTGCTTTTTCTGGGTTCCCACCATATGGCCCCTGTCTCCCTGTGTTTCCTTGCAGATAATATGGACCAGTTGATAAGCAGATGTCCCTGGGCTATTTGGGGAGTGGGGACCAGCCCTCTGTCAGGGCAGCTGTGGTCCCTGTTTTCATCCCATGTCCAGGTGTTACTTTTTCCAGCCCCCGAGGGTCATAGTACCCAGTGGGCTGTTTTTTGGGCTTTGTTCTGTGCTCTGTGGCCTCACCTTGCCTTTCCTGAGCCAATGTTTTTGTTCTTAGTGTAGTCGCTGCCTGGTAAGTTTACAATAAGAGACAGTCAGAATCATTTCCCCCACAGTCAGGTTGTTTGAGGGGAGAGGAAAAGAGCAAGCAGAAAGTTTTGAGTTTCTGCAAAGACAGAGGCAGTGCAGGGGACAGTGAGAGTCTGGGGTGTCCAGGAAACCCGAGTCTTTCTGCCATTTCTCCACTTCCGTGTGTCTGGCCAGTGAGGTGGTGGTGACTCATCCTTGAACCTAATTGCACAGTTAGTTGGCCACTCAGGCCTGGGCAGATGGGACGGTTCATCCCCTGCCCTGCAGCAAGAGGGCCCCGTCCAGGAGGCAACCACAGCACGGGCAGTGCAGGTCTGTGGTTGCTCCTGCTCTCACCTGCGGTGTCTCCTATAGAGGGATTGTCAGTTCTGGTTCCCTGTAGGCAGGAAAGGTTTTCTCGTAGGTCACTGGGACATTGGCCAGAAAAAGGCATGAAAATTACATGTTAGTTTCTCAAAATTCCTGCTTTAAGTATTGGTGTCCATCAACATAATTTCAGCTGGATAATCTTAATAGGATTTCCCCCAATACTGATGTTGTAAAGGATGTTGAATAGAACAGGAAGTCAAATTTGGGGCTTCGTTTCTCAGAGGGTCCATGTGGGAGACAGTGCCTGTGGCAGTGGCAATCCCCAGGTGCAGAGGGTGCGTAGAGGCAGCCTCAGGATGAGGGGTTTGAAGAAACCCCCTACTCCACAGGCGAAGAAGATCCCCTGTGAGCTGCGATGGCAGTGGCCTGGGTGGAATCCCTGTTAGGAATGGGACAGGAAGGGCTTGCAGCCTCACCAAGCAGCAGCCCTGGGGTGGAGCTGCATTTCCAGGGTTGAGTGGACAGGCAGGAGCAAGCACAGCCCAAATGCAGGTTATGGGGAGGGCAGGCTGGGCCTCCTTGAGCAAGGGGGTCCCCAGCATCAGGTCAGGTGCAGACTCCATGGCAGCCACATATTTCCATGCAGGGCCTGTGAGCCCCAGGGCTTCCTGATAGGATCTCTAGTTAGGAGCTGTCTGCTCAGAGCTGGGAGGGGAGGAACAGTGAGCTGCTGGTGGAGGGCAGAACCCACAGCGTGCAGGGCCTGCCCTGGTATGCAGGTGCCTCTGCAGGTGAAGAGGGCCTGGGGTCTCAGGAAGAGAAGGACTGTGTGTGACTTGGCCCAGACCTGGAAGGACATGGAGACAGGGCCAGGGCCTCTCTTTGGGGAGGCCTCTCACTGTGTCAGGGCTGGTCAGGCTTGAGAGGAGGAGGAAAGGGCACTGAGTTTCCTCCTGGGTCTTGTTCCTTAGTCCTGGGTCCTTTCACTCACTGCACAATGGATGGTGGACACAGGGCAGGTGCTGATGTTGATGGAGTCACGGGAGGGGACTGGCAGGGGCTGGAAAAGTGCGATGGGAGGGAGAAAAAAGTGGGGACGTCATCTTCCGTCAGAGAAAGGGTAAATCTGATTTGGGAGTGACTGAGGAGGGAGAACTCCTCAGGGAATAAAAAGCAGCACTCTGCACCCAGGGGAGCATTTATTGGTTTCTCTCTTTTTTCCAGAGCGCGTGAGCCTGCAAGGCCTGGGTCAACACCTGGTTGGGACAGGAGACCACCAGGGCAGTGCACAGCTGAGATCTCAGTCTCTGGTGTCAGCTCCTGGGTTCGCTGGCTCCACTGAGGGCAACTAGACTCTGCAGTCAGGCGATCTGGATTCAACTCCTTGCCTAGGCCTCACCAGCATGTTCTCTCTTTGTGCCTCATTTTCCTCATCTATGACATGGGGAAACTACGAGCATTTATTTCTTGTGGTTGGATGAATGAAAAGGGTTAGTATATATGGGGTATTTGCAGCTGTGCCATATTATTTTTGTTATTTTGTTATTTTATTATATTTTGATATATTACATATGCAGTAATTGTATTATTATAGGTGAGCATTATGAGTGAGTGTCCTGCTGATGGCTCCTTGGTCCTGGCCCAGCACCAGCTTTCCTGGCACCTTGAGGTCCTGTCATCTCTGTCATGCTCTCCTGCATTACCCCATTCTACTCTGTCTTCATATTTTATACTATAGATATTTAACTCTTAAATAGACATTTCTGGTCTGCGTTTTATTTCAAGTGTCTGGGAAGGGATAGTGTGAGGTTCAGGAGAGAAGGAGAGGTCTGTCTCCATGCTTTGACACAGCATAAAGAAACCTTCCCTCCTCCCCCACATCTCCCCGCCAGTTCTCAGTGAGGGACAGATTCACAGCAACACCGAAAGGGCTGGGAAGGGATGGGGGGACATTTGCAGCCAGTGTTCAGGGGCTGACCCTGTGGGGCAACATCTTCCCTGCAGAGTTAGAGCCCACATATGATGATGTAGAGCTGAAGGGTGATATCAGGGAGGGGAAGGAGAGTGCTTTGTGGTTTCCTGATTACGAAGAGTAGAGGTCAGTCAGCTTCTGGGGTGAAGTGACTGCTGGGGAGATTGGATTGAATTAATGAAGAATAAGTGAGCTGGGATTGAGGATGAGTAAAGCAAGCATCAGCATCTCCCGCCATCAGTTCAGACTGACTGGGGAGGTGGGATAGTTCCTGACCTTGTTGTGTGGTTCCTCCTAACTTCCTGGTCTTGGGGACACAGATGGGTGGTGCTGTTCTTGGTCAGGGCAGCCTCAGCTCCATCCAGATAAAGCAGTGGTGGCAGAGAGAGTTAGGGGAGCACCTGTGAAACAGACCAAGGCAGGGATGGGAGCCTTCTGTGCAGCCAGAGTGGATGCAGGACCTGCCTGGATGCAAGAGAAGGATGAGGGACCCTAGCTGGGTCCTGTTCCCTGACTCCCTGTGTTCACAGGGCAACCAGTAAGGGAGCTGGGGTAGGGAATTCATTCATAAGCTATCTATCTAGAGATGTGTTTATAGACATATTATTTCATGTTTGTATTCAGGTTTGTTGTCACAGACACATTTATCCATGTGTGTTTTATGTTTAAGTTACTTTGGAATAGCTCAGTCACAAAATCTTAATCTCTTAATTTGTGCTGCCTCTCTACACGGAAACACACACACAGGTGGACACACACACACAGGCACACACACACATTCACACACATGCTATACAAACATGTCTACCTGTATCTATAAAGAAACATGTTATGTTATTTTATTTTTTATTTCTTAGATTCATATATATTCATGAGGCACAAGTGCAATTTTGCTACATTGCTATATTGGTTGTGGTAAAGTCAGGGCCTTCAGAGCATCCAGCACTGGAGACAAGCACATTGTACCTATCAAGAAACCCCTCTATTATACACCAACTGCCAACCCCCTTACCCTTCTGGGTCTCCATGGTCCATCATTTCACACTCTCCTTTTATGTATATAAAGAGATATTAACCAAATACGGCAGAGTGGTAGCTTGAATTTTACTGCACCATTCTTTCAGCTTCTTTGCACATTTGAAAATTTATACAGTTATAAGTTGGAAGAATGAGGGAAAATAGAGAGCAAGACAGTGCTGAATAGGAATAGGCTAGGGGTTGTGTCCCACTAGGAACCATAATTGATCTTTGCCATTTTGAAAGTGTGTCCCCTGAGCAGCCTTCAGAGAGTCCTGGAGGCAGACTTGTTTTCACAGTAATACCAAGATGCCATCTGCCTGTTTCATTGTGTTGACTTTTCCATAGTGCTGCAAATGCCAAGGTCGGTAACACACCCAGCACCTTAGCAGAACCAGGCAGTGGCTCCAAACTGCAGTCCCATTTAAGAGTGTCTTTGATGGAGCAGTAAAAAATTTATGTGGATTAAAGTTTGATCCTTGAGTATACGTGTTTAATATTCTTTGTGAGAAAATGGGAAATATGCATAAAACACTTACTGCACAGAGAAGCAGGATGGTAGCCTTGAGAAAGGGCACTTGTGTGACTCAGTTATTATTTCAACCAGCAGATCTCACTCACCTACGGAAAGACAGTTGTATTAATTCCTGTTTGGGGGTATCATGAATAAAGCTGCAAGAGTATTTGTGCACAGGATTTTCGTGAACATAAAGTATTCCCTCGTTTGAAATAAGTGCCTAGGAGGGCAATTGCTAGTCATAAGGTAAATTGCATGTTCGGTTTGAAGAAAACTGCAATACTCATTTCCAGAGCGGCTGTACCATTTTAAAATACATCCCTACCAGCAATATAAGAGTGTCCCAGTTCCTCTGCGTCCTTGCCAGCATCTGTTGCTACCTTTATTTTGTATTTCAGCCATTCTCATCACTGTGGTTTTAATTTGTATTTTCCTACTGGATAATGATGTTGAGCACCTATTCATCTGCTTATTAGCCCAGTATTTATCCTCTTCAGTGAAATGTCTGTTCATGTCTTGCTCATTGCCTGTTTTGTATTTGGATTTCATTTTTATTGTTGAGTTTTAAAATTTCTTCATATATTCTGAATACAGTCTTTACAGAATATGTTGCCTGCAAATATCTTCTCTCATTCTGTAGCTTGTCTTTTTATGCTCTTCATAGGTCTCTCACAGAACAACAGTTTTTAGTGTTGATAAGATCCAATTTATTAACTTTTATGGATCATACTTTTGGTGTTATGTCTAAGAACTCTTTGTCCAGTCTTAGCTCTGATGACTTTTTCTTAAAAGGTTTGTAATTTAAAAATTTAAATTTATTATTTATTTTAGAAAAAAAATTCTTGCCTAGGCTGGCCTTGAACTCCTGGGCTCAAGGGATCCTCCCACCTCAGCTTCCTGAGTAGCTGAGAGTACAGGCCTGTGATACCACACCTGGCTCAATGTTTGCCATTTTAACTCTGTGCTTTACATGAAAGCTTGTGACTCATTTTGAGTTATTTTTGTATGAAGCATGAGGTTTTGGCTCAGGTTATTTTTTTTCCACTGTGGTTGTCCAGTTGTTCCATCACCATTTGATGGAAAAGCTCTCCTTCCTTCATTGAATTGCTTTTGTGCTTTTGTAAAAGTCAGTTGAGCATGTTTTGCTCATTTTTAGTTGAGTTGCTCATCTTCTTACATTGAGTTTAAGAACTTTTCACATATTCTGGATACATGTTCTTCATCACAGATGTAATTTGTGATAAATTGTGAAATATTTTCTCTCAATCTACGGCTTGTCTTCTCATTTTCTCAATATTGTCTTTTGGAGCACTTAAGTTTTAAATTTTAACTAAGCCCAATTTGTCTCTCACTTTTTTTTCATCTGTAGATCATGTTTTTTGTATTTTATGTAAGAATCTTTTGCCTAACTACTCAATGTCACAAAAATTTTCTCCTATATTTTCTTTTAGAAATTTTATGGTTTTAACTTATAAATTTTAGCTGTTTAGGTCTCTAATTTGTTTGAGCTTATATTTTATATGGCGATAAGTGTCACATCATATTACCTATGCAACTTCATTGAAGATCAATTGACAAAAAAATGTAAGAATGTCTTTCTAGATTCTCACTTCTGTTCATTAATCTCTGTGTCTCTCGCTTTCACACTGTCTGGATTATTGTAGTTTTATATGACATTCCATTTTTTTTCAAATTTGCGTTGGCTTTTCTGCATCCTCTGCATTTTCACATACATTTTTAGGATTAAATTGTCAATTTTCCATAAAATGCCTGCTGGGGTTTTGATAGAGATTGTACTGAACCTATAGATCTCTTGGTGGAGAATTGTCATCTTAACAATATTATTGAGCTTTCCAACCGCATCTCTCCATGAATTTAGACCTTTAATTTCTCTCAGTAATGTTTTGTAGTTTTCAACAAACTCTGCTGTCTTCCTAAATTTATTCCTATTTCTCTCTTTTTGTAACTACTGTGATAGGAAAGTTTAGATTTTAATTGCTTGTATAGAGAAATATGTTAATAATTTTTAATTTGATTTTATATCCTATGGGAGCTTCTGGATTCATTTTTTAGTGCTAGCAGGCTTTTATCTGCTTGTGAATTCTACAGACAAGGTCATGTTATCTGTGAATAGAGTTTTATGTTTTCCTTTTTATCTGGATGCCTTTAACTTTTAATTATTTGCCTTATTGCACCAGCTGCAATCTCCAGTACAATGTTAAGTAGAAGTGTTGGATTGGACATCCTTGCATTGATCTCCATCTTAGGAGAAAAGCATTCAGTCTTTCTTCAGCAAGCATGATTTTAGTTGTGGGTTTTTTATAGATGCCCTTTATCAGGGTGAGGAAGGTCCCCTCCATTCCTATTTTGTTGAAACTTATGAACATGAGTGGTGTTAACATTTTTGTCAACTGTTTCTTCTGTATCTTTTGAGATAATTATGTCTTTTATTCCCTTACTACAGTGCATTCCATTAATTGATTTCTAATTGTTAATCCAGCCATATATTCCTGGGATGAATCCCATTGGTCATGGAATGTAATCCTTTTTTACGTGGCTTTCTATTGTCTGCCAATGTTTGTTAAGGATGTTTTCATTTATGTTTATTGGTGACACTGGTCTATGGTATTCTTTTCTTGTCAGTCTTGCTCTGACTTTGATATTAGGGTAATGTCAGTTCTGTAAATGAGCTAGAAAGTCTTGCCTCCTCTCTTCTTGTCTGAAAGAGCTTTTGAAATATTTGATAGAATTCACCAGTGAAGATATCTGGGCTTTGGCATTTCTTTGTGAGAAGGTTTTAAAATTACTGTCTTAGTGTACAGTTCTCTTCAGATTTTCTATTTATTTTTGAGTCAGTTTCAGCAATTTCTATCTTTGTATAAATCTGTCCATTTTATCTAAGTGGTCTAACTGATTGGCTTCAGGTTTTTCAGAGTATTAACTTATAATGTTTTTTAACTTCTAAAGGGTCATTAGTGATACTCTCTCTTGTGTTCACAATTTTGGTAATTTATCTCATTTCTCATACTGTCTGTTTTGACTTTTGGTCAAGAAAACAGACAGAGGCAGCTCTGTGACAGATTCTGTAGTGGGAAGCTTTGATCATTCATAGCTGGCAAGCCAGACTAATGCCAGCAACCCCAAAGGAGCTGCCAATGGATCTTGACAGGGAAGTCACTGACTCTGGATTGGGCTATGATCAACCAGGGGTAGATGTCAATGCTTCAAAGGCTATACAAGAACCAGAAAAATGGAGATTACACCAATTTGGACTGTTGAGTCACATTTCTTTACACAAGAAAACACACTTTACAGCCTTAAAAAGCCAACAGTGCACAGGGAAATGTACTATTCAGGGGAAACTTTGATAGAATATTGAAATGGCTGACCAGGCACGGTGGCTCATGCCTGTAATCCCAGCACTTTTGGTGGCCGAGGCGGGCGGATCACCTGAGTTTAGGAGTTTGAGACTATCCTGGCCAATATGGTGAAACCCCGTCTCTACTGAAAATACAAAAATTAGCTGCGTGTGGTGGTGGGCGCCTGTATTACCAGCTACTCGGGAGGCTGAGACAGTAGAATTGCTTGAACCTGGGAGGCAGAGGTTGCATGAGCCGAGATCATACTACTGCACTCCAGCCTGGGCGACAGAGTGAGACTCCATCTCAAAAAAAAAAAGAAAAAGAAATAGTCAGTTGAAACATTGGTTGTCTAATTGTCTAAAAACTGCCAATATAATTGTTGGGCAATATAAACATGAAGGACTGGCTTTTATATCTTCATGAATGTGCTTACTGTCAACATGGGTGGAGCTGCGAAACTGACTCCACTAGGTAGCTTCCTCTCTTTTTCCTGATGGATCAGGGTGATGCTGTTATGACTGTACATACAATTCTTCTTAAGGGGAGGATGCTGGAATAATGACTACACTTCATTTCTTATTTCTTTTTTTACACAGGGTGCAGTGGTACCAGGAACAGGGATGCAAATCGAACTGCCAGAAACAGGAATTATCCCTAAGGAAAAAACCATAACTATATTTTTATACCTTTATGTAAGAATTCCCAAGCAAATCAAGGATTGCGCTGTGCCTTCATTTCATCTGGCAAAGTCGGGATTAACTGTAAGTAGAGCTACGTAGACTGGTGGTCAGATAGCCTGCACTAGTTCCTAACCTATGTAACCTACTGTCTATGATCAAGAGTAGATTAAGAGAAGACATGGTAGAATACTATTGCTGCATGCAGTCTAGGCCAGCACAGCAGCCAAACCTAATGTCACTTCTAGAACTGGAAAAGACTGATATAAAGGGACAGAAGGAGGAATAGTGGCTGAAGGTAGGTGAATAAATCAAAGGGTTATGTAATGAGGAAAATTCAATATTAGCTTATCTCCTCAAAAGTGGTGTGAGCAAGAGATGTTGTCTCTTAGGTCAACTATACTGGATGCCTAAAAGGGTGAAGCTGTATGTCCCTGAGACCATTCTTGTTTTTGGAACCTGATAAGATTGAATGGTGTCTGCAAAGCTGAGTGATGTCATTCTGGGAGACATATTCATACAAGAGGATGATAAACTGGCCTAATTTTGAATGACCGAATGAGACTTGGATAATATGCCAATGCTTCTTTACTGTTATAATCCTTTTCGTATGAAAAATATGTGGTCAAAGAAAAGGGGGTAATATGAGTTATCACAAAAACATTTAGTTTTGTCCCTGGTTTCTCCTAAAAACCTTAGAATCTCTTGAGTGATTAGAGTGTCTTTAGAATACTGAGGAAAGGACTCTTGGCTGAGTGGATCCTGGATACCTTGAGAATGGGGGCTGGCTGCCACAGACACATACCTATGATGAGAGGGTTGTCTTATTCCGTTTTGTGTTGCTATAAAGAAATGTCTGAGACTGACTAATTTATATAAACAAGGTTCATTTGGCTCAGGATTCTGATGTCTGGAAATGTTTGAGCATTTAGCGAGGGCCTCAGGCTGCTTCCACTCATGGCAGAAGGCAAAGGGGAGCTGGTATGTGCAGAAGTCACGTGGTAAGAGAGGAACAGAGGGAGTAGGAAGGTGCGAGACTCTTTTAACAACTAGCTCTTTTGGAAACTAATAGGGCAACAATTCATTGACTCCCGAGAGAGGGCAGTATCTCTCTGTTCATAAAAGATTGGCCCCCAAGACCCAAACGCCACCCATTAGGCCCTAAGTCCAACATTGGGGATCAGATTTTAACATGAGGTATCTGGGGATAAATATTTATATCATTGCATCCTGTCCCTAGCCAGCCAAAGCTCACATTCTTCTCACATTGCAAAAGACAATAATCTTCTCCCAATTGTCCAAAATGTGTTGGGTTGATCCAGCATCAACTCTAAATTCCAAAGTCTCATCTGAGACTCAAGGTAAGTTCTTATAGCTGTGCACCTGTAAAATTAAAAAAAGTTATTTACTTCTAAAATATTAATACAACAGTGGTAGAGACATTTCCTATACATTTCCATTCCAAAAGAAATAAGTGGACCAAAAGAAATGAATGCAGTGTCCTCACAAGGTTGAAACTCATCATGGCAGACATTAAAACTTAAAGCTCTAAAATAATCTCCTTTGACTCTATATCTTGAACCCTGAGCACACTGGCTGGTGCAAGCAATGGACTCACAATGCCATCTTCAGCCTCATATCCGTGGCTTTGGTGAACATAATCCATATAGCTGCTCTCATGGGTGAACATTGAATGCTTATGGCTTTTCCAGGCTGAGCTTGCATATTGCCAGTGGCTCTATGATTTAGTAGTCTTGGCAGGGGTCCTGTTCCTGCAGCTCCACTAGGAATTGTCCTGGATATTAAATTTCCCCTTTAAATATCAGTTCCAGTTTCAGGTCATGTCTTTGCTCACACATATGTGCATAGGCTATTACAAGCAGGCAGGCCAAATCTGGAATGCTATGCTGCTTAGAAATTTCTTCCACCAGATACCCTTATACATCACTCTCAAGTTCAAAGTTCTACAGATCCCTAGGGAGGGGGAACAATGCCTCCAAGTTATTTGCCAATGCATAACAAAAGTGACCTTTCCTCTAGGTCCCAATAAGTTCCTCATCTCCATGTGAGACCTTATCAGCCTGGACTCTATTGTCCATATCACTATCAGCATTTTGGTCACAACAGCTTAACAAATCTCTAGGAAGTTGCAAATTTTCCCCCATTTTCTTGTCTTCTGAACTCTCCAAACTCTTCCAACCTCTGCCTGTTACCCAGTTCCAAAGCTGTTTCCACATTTTCAAGAATTTTTATAGTAATACCCAACTCCTGGTACCGATTTTCTGAATTAGTTCATTCTCACACTTTTATAAAGAAATACCTGAGACTGGGTAATTTATAAAGAAAATAGGTTTCTTTCTTTCTCCTCCCACCATCCAAGATGCCAAAAGGAAAGAAGGCCAAGGAGAAGAAGGTGGCTCCAGCCCCTGCTGTCGTGAAGAAGCAGGAGGCCAAGAAAGTGGTAAATCCCTTGTTTGAGAAAAGGCCTAAGAATTTTGGCACTGGACAGGATATCCAGCCCAAAAGAGACCTCACCCACTTTGTGAAATGGCCCTGCTATATCAGGTTGCAGCAGCAGAGAACCATCCTCTATAAGTGGCTGAAAGTGCCTCCTGAGATTAACCAGTTCACCCAGGCACCAGACAGCCAAACAGCTACTCTGCTGCTTAAGCTGGCCCACAATACAGACCAGAGACAAACCAAGAGAAGAAGCAGAGGCTGTTGGCCCGGGCCAAGAAGAAAGCTGCTGGCAAAGGGGACATTCCCCACTAAGAGTCCACCTGTCCTTCGAGCAGGAGTTAACACCATCGCCACCTTGGTGGAGAACAAGAAAGCTCAGCTGGTGGTGATTGCACATGATGTAGATCCCATCAAGCTGGTTGTCTTCTTGCCTGTCCTGTGTCATAAAATGGGGTCCCTTACTGCATTATCAAAGGGAAGGCAAGACTGGGACATCTAGTCCATAGGAAGACCTGCACCACTGTCACCTTCACACAGGTTAACTCGGAAGACAAAGGTGCTTTGGCTAAGCTGGTGGGAGTTCTCAGGACCAATTACAATGACAGATACGATGAGATCCGCCATCACTGGGGAGACAGTGTCCTGGGTCTCAAGTATGTGGTTTGCATTGCCAAGCTCAAAAAGGCAAAGGGTAAAGAACATGCCACTAAATTGGGTGAAATGTATGCTGTTGAGTTTTCTGTATGTAAAAATAATTAAAATAATATAAATTTTCCTTCAAAAAACAAAAACAAAACAAAAACAGAAAAGAGGTTTAAATTGGGTCATGGTTCTGCAGGCTATACAGAAAGTATGATTCTGGCATCTGCTCATCTTATGAGAGGGCCTCAGGGAACTTTCGATTATGCTGGAAGGCTAAGGGGAAGCAGACATTACTTACATGCCTGGAGCAGGAGGGAGAGAGAGCAGGGAGGTGACACAGATTTTTAAACACCAGATCTTATGAGAATTATCACAAGAATAGCACCAAAGAGATGGTTCTAAACCGTTCATGAAGGATCCATCCTCATGAGCCGATCACCTGCCACCAGACACCACCTCCAAAATTAGGGATTACAATTGAACATGAGATTTGGGTGGGGACACAGATCCAAACAATATCAGGGGTCATGGTGGACATGAGGATGGGCTGGTCTCCCATTTCTTACCTGTTACTGTAGACATAGACACATTCAGACCCTTTGGCAGAAAGAGAAGCCAGAGGCTCTTAATGTCACAAAGAGGAGGCATGAACAAATCTTGCATCTCAGTCCCTCACAAGGCAATCTTAGAAAAAACATAGTCATAAACTAATCCAGGTCAGTCATAGTAAGTTGTGACACTGAACAGCCCACCACACCTTGAAAAATTCCAAATCAAAGAATCTCCAGAGCTTAGTTGTGTCCCCTCTGCCCAACTCCTCTTTCACTTCAGGCCCTCTAAGGTGTCACTTTTACAAGCCTTGAGAGACACATCAGAGCCCTGGGTACTGTTCCTGTTTGGGGTGGAACAAAAACAAAATCTGGTCAGAGCCCACAGGTGATGTGACTAAAGGAGGAATTTTGGGGTGGCTGAGCTCCCCCATGGGCTCCTGTCTACACTATCCCAAGGATCTCAGGGATCACTCTTCCCACCCCTACCACACTTACATGAAGCCTGAGCATAACTGCCTCCTTTTCCATCTGTGGAAAGAAAACAAACTGTGAGAGGCCAGGGAGGAGGCAGGGCATGAGATCCTAGAGGAGTTTCCAGAACTGTGACTACAGACCCAGGTCAGGATCAGAAAACCCAAGGGAAGAGGATGTGTTGAGGCTGGACCAATTGTCCTCCTGAGGTCTGTCCTCAGCAGGGACCTTCCCCTGACCTGTGACTGCTGGGAGTCAGGTTCCCATGACCACAATCAAGGTGATAAATTTGTCCTTCATTTTCACAAGTGCTTTACAAAAGAGTAAGCGTTGATAGACAGGGCCTCTGAACAGGGTAAATGTGTGTGGAGATGGTGCCTCACAACTAGGCAAGATATGAGCCTACTCCTACCTGGGGCTTGAAATCCACCAATGGAAGAAGGAAACTCAGAGCTCACCCCTTTCCTACCTGGGATCTTATTCCTCCACATCACAGCAGCGACTACAGCTACAGTGATTACAGCAACTAGAAGAACCAGGCCAGCAATGATGCCCACAACGGGGATGATGGGCTGGGAAGACAGCTCTAAGAAAGGAGGTGAACGTGAGGGGCCCTGACCCCCAGGCCTCAGCCCTGACCCTGCTTAAAGGCTCCAGAAGGACTTCTGCTTTGCCTGAGAAGAGACATGACCCCTCATTCGTCTCCTTACCCCATCTTAGTGTGAGGGGCTCAGGCAACCCCTCGTGCTGCACATGGCATGTGTACCTCTGCTTCTCTCCAGAAGACACCACTGCAGCTGCCCACTTCTGGAAGGTTCTGTACCCTGCAAGTCTGGTCTCCACAAACTCTGCATCCTGAATTTGGTCCTCCCCATCCCGCTCCTGGGTCAGTGTGATCTCCAGAGGGTAGAAGCCCAGGGCCCAGCACCTCAGCGTGGCCTCATAGTTGGAGATGGGGTGGAGGGTTACCTGTGCCTTCAGGGGATCTGAGGGCAAGAGGTAGAAAATTCAGGCACTTTGCATTCCTCATGAGACACAGCACCCATGTGACCATCCTGAGAATGGATGGGACATCTGGGGTGGGGAAGGGAGCACAGAACCCAGACAACATTCTGGACACAGGCACCTGGGATAATCTCTTATTCCTTGGAAAGTTCTAGTGTCTGAGGCGGAAACAGAGATTTCTGGTCCTGACCTGAGTGGAGGCCGAGGGACTCAGAAGAGCTGGAATCAGACCCCCACACACATTGAGTATGAGGCAGAGAACAAGGCCTGAGAGGAAAATTCCTGGTGCCCAAGGCTGCTGGGGGGTCAAAGGGTACCGCGTATCAGTATTCCAGGGATTGTCTTCCCCTCCTTTCCCGCAGAGACTTCATCCGTTAATTGTCCCAGAGTGCAGGGCGGGCCCTCAGTCACTCTCTGGTATAGGATTTAGAAACCCAGGAGGACTCTTCTGCCTCAGGACAAGAGGGAGAGGGATATTTTAGCGTTGGTCCCATTTTCCTCCCCTTCTTTTGGAAGGTGGCTCAGGGATATCTGCAGGAGATCAGGGAGGCGACCCGTGGCCTCTGGTACCTGCGCATTGCAGCCTCTCCTTCTCATTCTTAAGGCCTTTGCTGAGCCACTCCGCCCACCTTCCCGGCAGGTAGGTTTTGAGCAGCTCTGCATGTTCCTCCTCCAAAACATCTGAGCCGCCTTTTCCGCTGCGGTCCAAGAGAGCAGTTCCTGGTTTAGGACGAGGTAACTGGCGCCATCGTAGGGTATGTTCATCCCCGCGCGAAGAGGCTCCGGTCCGGGTCCAGGTCGCAGCTGTGTATCCACTGGAGGTGGGAGACCCTGTCCCCAAGCCCGCGGTCAGCCTCAGCCACTGAGCTCCTCCTCTGCCCCGATCAATCCCCCGGGGATTTGGGCCTGAACTGAAAATGGAATCGGGTATAGGCACCTGGGGTTCTTGTGTCGAGGGTCTCCACGAGTCCCGCAGCCTCGGCGTGGGTCTCCGATTGTGCTACAGTGGGTAGCACAATCTTGGTAGCCCCTGAATGGTCACGAATCTAATTTGTAAAAGAGATGATTTTTGGCCCCATTATATATAAATATGTCTAAACGCATTGCAATTAGACTCACAAAGTGAAGTTTTACTTTCCCAGACTGTGTATCTGTGACTCTGGTCTGTTGTATTTTTACAGTATCTTTATTTCATAGCTCTGAGTTTGTGTGTGCGAGTCCAGGACATCTCAATACAAAGCACAATGTATTACCGTATATTGCAACCAGGAGCCTGTACAGAATTTAATTACCTCAGAATTGCAAGTGCTTAATGCAGCCAAAGTGCCCTTCGCCAGTGCTCATGCACTCCCTTTATTATTAATTTTTTTATTTTTTATTTATTTACAGACAGGTCGTCACTCTGTTACCCTGGCTAAAGTGCAGTGGCACGCTCATGACTCACTGAAGCCTCGACCTCCTTGGCTCATGTGATCAATGCTCCTCCCTCAGCCTCCCAAGTAGCTGGCACCACAGGCTTGTGCCACCACTCCTGGCTAATTTTTCTAAAAATAATATTTGTAGAGATGAGGTCTCCCTAAATTGCTCTGGCTGGTCTTGAACTCCTGGGCTCAAGCAATCCTCCCGCCTCAGCCTCCCAAAATGCTGGTATTACAGGCATGAGCTATAATGGCTGGCCCATGCACTTGCCTATTATTATGAATTATTCACATCTAAGCTATGTGTATATTTTATTGAGACATTTGGTATTCTTTTTTAACCTTTTTTTTTTTTTTTGAGACGGAGTCTCGCTCTGTCGCCCAGGCTGGAGTGCAGTGGTGCAATCTCGCTCACTGCAAGCACCGCCTCCCGGGTTCACGCCGTTCTCCTGCCTCAGCCTCCCAAGTAGCTGGGACTACAGGCGACCGCCACCACGCCCGGCTAATTTTTTTGTAATTTTTTATTAGAGACGGGGTTTCACCATGTTAGCTAGGATGGTCTCGATCTCCTGACCTTGTGATCCACGCGCCTCGGCCTCCCAAAGTGCTGGGATTACAGGCGTGAGCCACCGCGCCCGGCCTTTTTTAACCTTTTTATCTTAGAGAGGCAATTAGCTTTTAGACAGCCCCACAGAATGCATTAAAGACCAAGGTGCAAGTAACACTGTGCCAGGCTTTGCGGATAAATGCATTAAAAATCTATAAAACACTGTATTTAAGTCTGAGAATTCCATTGCTTTAGAATTCTTTCTCTCTGTTCCTTTACCTCACCTCCTGCTTCTCCAGCCCTTCTCTCTGTCCCTGTCATCCTTCAGGCCCTCCTCTCCCCTTAGTCTCTACTACTCTGTCACTACTGAATTGTGTCCCTAGCTCTGTCCCTCGCCTGCTGCCCATGACTGTTCTCCCCACAAAGGTCAGCAATCCTGCTAATGTGAGTCAGATTGTGTCATTTCTTCACTTAAAAGCCTCTAATGGCTCCATCTTACTCTCAAGAAGCCTCTAGAATGGAAGGCACAAGCACAGGGGCTTTGGGTTGTTTTGATCAAAGTTGTATCTACAGAATATAAAAGTATATCTGCCACATAGTAGGCACTAAGTTAATTTTTGTTGAATGAATGAATGAAATATAATTGTGTTCAAAATTGTATCACACAAAAATCATGAAATGGAAAATGCAAAGCAAGTTAGGAAATATTTGGTTTTATGCAACTACTATGCATATCAGTTCATGAATTCATTCCGGTGGAGAAAATGTCATATACTTATCCTTTGAATCTGTTTATTTATTTCCTGGCAGTACATAACCAATTACCACAAACTTAGTGGCTGAAAACAGCACCCATTTATTTGTCTACATTTCCTTCATCAGAAATCCAGGCCTAATGTGATAGACTCTTTGTTCAGAGTTTCGCAAAGCTGTATCCTCATCTTAAGATTGGGGTTCTCCCCCAAGCTTATGTAGAGTTTGTTGGCAGAATTCGGTTTCTGGCAATTGTAGGATTAAGGTCCCTGTTTCCTTCGGGCTATCAGAGTAGACAGTGGGGAGGGCTTCTAATTCCTATTGGCCACCAGTGTTCTTTCCCCATGATCCCTCCATTTTCAAAGCCCAAAGTGGAGGAAGCCCCTCACGCTGAATCCCTCTCACACTGTGAGTCTCTATTCTCAGGAAGAACCCAGTCCTTTTCAGAGCTTACCTGATTAGGACCGTCTAAGCAGGATAATCCTCATCTTAAAGTCAACTGACTGGGGACTTTAAATATATCTGCAAAACCTCTTCACAGCAGCACCTGCTTTAGTGTCAACTGAGTAACTGGGGTAACCTGAGAAACCAAGGGTGGTTATTGGGGTGTCATCATAGAATCAGCCTAGCTAGCCTGGATCTTCCTTTCATGTTTAAATAGAACATACAAGTTGAAGATCAAAAAATAGATCATTGTTAATGATAATAAAATATATCTTATATAGCCATGGAAATTTTTATTAAATATTAAAAGCAAATGACATGTTTAATATCTTATAATGAATTTAGAGCAAATGAAAAAGTTCAGTGATTCATCCTCTCTTGTGAAGCTGTATTAGTTATCTACTGCTGCATAACAAGTCACCTACAACTTAGCAGCTCAAATCAACAAATATTTATCATCTCCCACAGTTATCCATGGTCAGGAATCCAGGAGAAGTTTCTCTGAATGCTTCTGGCTCAGGGCCTCTCACAACGTTGCAGTCTAGTTGTCTTCCAGGGCTGAATCATCTGAGGGCTCAAATGGGGCCGGGGATTCACAAGACACAAGAATCTCTCACATGGCTTTTGGAAGAGGCTTTAGCTTCTTATTGTCTGGTCCCAGGAGGACTCACTTCCTAGTCACATGGACCACAGGCCTCCTTATGACACAACAGCCAGCTTCCCCCAGGGCTCATGATTCCAGAGAAAGAAAGAACCAAAGTAGAAACTTCAGTGAGTCTTATGTTCTACACCCAGAATCACAAACTATTATGTCAGCATTACTCTATCAGTTAGAAGTGAGTCATTAAGTCCAGGCCACACGAACAGGGAGGGAATGAAGCTGCACTTCTGGAAAGGAGGAGTATCAAAGAATTTATAAACATGTTAAAAGCAAAATTAACATTATTGTTTCAGGGTTTTGTAAATCAAATACTTCTTGTATCTGACTTTTTTTAATACTTTAAAATTCTCTTCTGTAAAGTTGATTAAATATTTGAGACAGAGAAAGAAGATACAACAATATCTCAGATTTTTTTTGTAAATGCCTTTAATATTAATATTCTCTTTGATAAGTTGCAACAGAGTTGAGAAAATACAGTAGCTAAATTAAAGTGTCCCAAGACTTTGGTGCCATACAATAATGCCTTTACAATCATAACTACGTTTGTTTCTCTTCAGAAGTTTCTAATTCGGTTTAAGAATGCCCAAAATGCCAATTTTCTTACTCAAGCATCTACAAAAATATTTGCCTAATCAGGGTGCTTTGCAGTTAGAAAAATGTGAATCTCACACCTCTGTCTATACACTAGCTTAGCATCATGACAATAATTTGTTTGGCTAGGGTAGGCAGAAATTGTTTACTCCAATCTAGGAACAAGATTTTTCAATAACTGGCTATTCAGTGGGCATCCTATGAAAGTTTAACATCTTTCACTGTGTTTTTTAATTAGATGTGGTAGAAGTGATTTGGACTCCTGTATGATTCTGAAAAACACTGTTCTTTTGTGCTGCTATCATTGCTGTACAAGCATCTCTTTCATGTTTTCCATTCTTATTGCTATTTCATCACTAGTTATTCCTTTATGTCTTTTCATTTAATTTATTTTGCTCAACAATGCTTTTTTTTTTTACTGTGTAAAAGTTTAATCCACTTGTATGTGTGGTAAAATGTGAGCAACATATCAAATTCTCAAATTCTTTGCAAGATACAATTGCCTTGCACATCAGATTGAACACTGTATGCCAGACAATGTAGAGAGTTGCCAATTAGCCCAGGGTCAAATGACCTCTTTCTAGCCAAGGCTATTTTTCATGAGATCCTGGTCCTCTCTGTCACATGACTCTTTACAATTGGCTGTGGCTTTGTTTTAACGTGTGTAGTTATTGCTAAGGATCCTTGAGATGAACTTTGGTATTTTCTTTTCTCTTTCATTTCCAAATAATCAGTCAGGAATGGCACACAAGGTGCATTTTGAAAAATGACACTTTAAAGATTTGTGGGCCGGGAATGGTGGCTCATGTCTGTAATCCCAGCACTTTGGAAGGCCGAAGTTGGCGGATCACCTGAGGTCAGGAGTTTGAGACCAACCTGGACAATATGGTGAAACCCCGTCTCTACTAAAAATACAAAAATTACCTGGGTGTCGTGGTGGATGCCTATAATTCCAGCTACTCAGGAGGCTGAGGTAGGAGAATTGCTTGAACCTGGGAGGCGGAGGTTGCAGTGAACTGAGATCATGCCACTGCACTCCAGCCTGGGCAACAAGAGGGAGACTCCATCTCGAAAAGAAAGAAAGAAAGAAAGAAAGAAAGGAAAGAAAGAAAGAAAAGAAAAGAAAGAAAGAAAGAAAGAAAGAAAGAAAGAAAGAAAGAAAGAAAGAAAGAAAGAAAGAAAGAAAGAAAGATTTATGATCAAGTAACTTAACTACCTGGACATCCCCTCCTGGCATAAAAAACAAAACCTATGAAGCCACCCTCGGCTGTTGTCCAATTCTATTCCCCAAAAGGAACTTCTATCTTGAGTCTTGTATTTACTATTCCTTTTCATTGTCTCTAAAGATTTTTACAATAAGTATATATATATATATCCAAATCACAGTTTGACCTGCTTTTTTTAACTTCCCCGTACAGAGAACTCACACAATGTGCATTCTTCTGTGATGCTGATGCATGTTATGTGTAGGAGAGTTATCTCTGATGTGGGAGGGTGCTGTTCATTCACTGTTGCTGCTGAAGTTTTACTTTTTATTATTATACGACTATTTTGTTAATTCCCATTGATGTATATGTGATTGTTTCCAGTTTTTGCCATAAACATTGGTGTACATGTCTCCTGGACACATAGCCAAGAATGTCCCCAGGGGGTATGATCAGGAGGCAGATGGTGGGATTATATGATGTATGGACATTAATCATACTAGATAAGGCTAATTTGATTTCTCAAGTGCTTGTACCAAGAATGGGAAAGAGCTTGTGTTGCTCATGTGTTCTGAAAACATTCAGTTGGAGGCAGAAATTAAATGTTAAAAGGTACTGTCTTGGCTATAGAATCACCCTAGGCATTTTTTCATATTCCATTAACAACTTCCTTTTCTTTACTTTTATATTATAAATTACGGCATTATACTTTTAGCATAAAGTTCAAATAATGCTTCCTTTTGGCCTAAACACTTGGAGTTTATGAAAAAAATGGAGGGAGGGAGAAAGCTCTGAGGGAGGAAAGGAGGAAAGAAGGAAGGAAGGACAGAGAAAGACAAAATTTAAAATGTTCAAAAATAGGAGGAAAGAGTTGGAAACAGCAAGTATAGCTAATGTTATTAAAATGCAAGGGATTAAAAGATATGTAGATAATATCCATGGAATAATGGAAACTTAAGAAAGCCTTAATAGTTATCAAGTGCTGTGTCACAAACTACCTCAAAATTTAGTAGCTTAATAGAACAAATATCTGTTAACTCAAAGAGATACTACACACACAAGTAAAATAGATTCTGTGGGGGTGGCAGAAGTTGGATAAAGAGAAGGATTTTACAGGTTGGAATAAGAGTTATTGATATGCAGATGGAAATAATTTTTAGTCCAAGTCCTTCAAGGAGCAGATGCCAAGATGAGCTTAAAGTCTGCGACATCTTATAAGGGGACACACCCATAAGGGAATATGGGAAGTGAGCCAGAAATCCCTGAGAAAAGGCGGCAGACCACGATGCAAGTGTGACCCCAAGTGCTGGACAGAAGGAGAGAAAGTTTGTTTGACGCATCCTAGAGCACAGGCAATCTAAGGAGAGTTGAGCAAGGCCGTGGAGGAGTCTTCCAGCTACAGTTAGCCATCAGAGGAGTCCCGTGTCTCCCAGGAATGGCTTGCCTTAATGCCTGCTGTGACCAGTCACTGGCTGGGAACAGCCCATGGGAAGCAGGGCTTTGCACCAATCCTGCTGAGGATGTCAGAGCACAGGAGCACAGCCTTGGGACATTACCTGTGAGTATCACTCAATCCTTCCTTCCTGAGGGTTCTGGGCTCTTGAATATGAAACCCTCTCAGGCTGGGTTGCTGGATGATTCTGCTCACACTTACAACAGGACAAGGGGAACCATAAGGTCTCCAAGTGGATCTCTTATTTCCACACACACATCTCCTGCCCTCCTTGTGTGATAGCAGCCCTGCCTCCTCCTCTTCTCACCTGCTTGTATCTGGACACATACTATTCAAACATCCCTGGGGGCAGCCATAATGTGTATTTCCATGGACTCTCATTTAAATGTCTCCTTGCCAGGGTGCCCCCTTTGGGAAACCAGGACCTCCTCCCCTACAGAGCCCAGATATTGGAGATGAGAAGTGCAAAATCACCCTGAAGGTGAATATAAGGGTTTAGATATGGAGCCACACCTGCTTCTACTTCTTGGTTTTTGGACCCACGTATTCTTCCTTCTGTAAACACAGCACTATAGAGACATCTTTGATTCAATACATGCACCACATCCTGAAAGATGGCACCCATTCCTCAGAGGGTTTCATCCAAGCTGGCACTAAGTTGTGTCTGTAGAGACCTGTCCATGACTCTGTGTGGCTGGCAGCCCCTGGGAGGTGCAGGTGGTGATAAGACCAGGGGGTGCCATGGTCATGGACCACGCTTCATCCCCTTTCCTCTGAGGTGTGTCCCGCGGGCAGATAATGTACTGAAATTCTGAGCCAGTGGCTCAGGAATGCCAATAGTGATACTGGCTGAGGGTCTAAGAGTAGAGAGGAAAACCACACCACATCTAATAGGTGCCTATCCCTGTGAGGATGAACCTCCGCCCCCCGGGCCGCCTCCCACTTGAGCTGGGTGATCTGAGCCGCCGTGTCTGCGGCTGTCAAGGAGCACAGGTCCTCGTTCAGGACGATGTAATCCTTGCCATCGTAAGCAAGCTGGTGATACCCGCGGAGTAGGCGCCCGTCCGACCCCACGTCGCAGACAGACATCCTCTAGATGGGTGTGAGACCCTGGCCCCGCCCCCGCGGCCAGCCCCGCCCACCGAGCCCCGCCCTCGCCAGGACCAACCTGCGGGGATTTTGGCTGAAAATGAAACCGGGTAACGGCTCCTGGGCCTCTCCCGGGTCAAGGGTCTCCAGGTCCCGCTGCCTCGGCGTGGATCTCGGACCCAGAGACTCGGGGAGACCCGGGCGGTCCGTGGGGGATGTGGAGGGGTAGTGACCTGCGCCCCCGGCCGGTGTCACTCACAGGCCTCACTCTGGTTGTAGTAGCCGCTCAGGGTCCGCAGGTTCACTCGGTAAAACTGTGCTTTGGCCTTGGCGGTCCCTGTCTCCTCTTCCCAATATTCCGGCCCCTCCTGCTCCATCCACGGCGCCCGCGGCTCCATCCTGGGACTCGTGGCGTCGCTGTCGAGCCGCACGCACTGCGTGTCGTCCACGTCGCCCACGGAGAGGAAGCGGGGATCCGCGCGGCCGGGCCGGGACATGGTGGTGTGGAAATACCTCAAGGAGTGGAAGCCTGGGAGCAAGGAGGGGGCTGAGACCCTCCCGACCCTCCTCCCGGCACCGCAACCGGGTTCCTGCGCCCCCGCCGGGCAGGCCCCTAGCTACTCCCCACAGACGCCGTTTCCCTCCCGACCCCGCACTCACCTGCCCAGGTCTGGGTCAGGACCAGGGCCCCCGAGAGCAGCAGAAGCAGGGTTCGGGGCGCCATGACACCATCCTCGGCGACTGGGAAGAATCGGAGTCCCGGTGGGTGCGTGGGAACTTTAGAACCGGGACCGCGGCTACATTGATTGGCTTCTCTAGAAACCCGACACTCAATGGGAGTGAGAACTGGGGCAGCCCGGTGAGTACCCAGGAAGAAGGACCCGACACAGGTTGGGAGAGGGAGAAGAGAAACCCTGCAAAGATGGGGAATGCCCAGCGCTGGGCCTCCCCAATCCATACACCGCCTTTGGGGCCTGAGATCCTGAGAGCCACGCCTGAGGCCCTGGGACTTCGCCCTGACCCCGCTACTTCTGTGCCAAGCGCTCTGTCTCAATGTTTCCCTGAGTCTTGGCCCAGGAGCTGTCTGAGAAACCAGGGAGAAACCCTCGGAATGGGCCCCGTCCCTCTCTCTTCACTTTGCATCACGGAATCCCCGTCCCAGAACTGGACTCCCTGCCTCCTACTCCTTACCTGTCCCCGTGGACTCTTCTAGAAGAAAAATCACCCCAGGGAGCTTGTTGCCAGAGAGTGAGCTTGCCCTGGGAATGGAGGTGTAGAGACAGGGTTTTTTGTTGTTGTTGTTTGTTTGTTTTTTAAATCTGGAAAAGTTGTGCCTGAGTGCATGAGATAGAATAGAGACCAGTTTGCTTTTTGTTTATTAACTACAGTGGGTAGCAGAATCTTGGTAACTCCTAATGATCAGGAATCTAATCGGCCAAAAATGTGACTTTGGTCCCTTGACATATAAATGTGTCTAAAAGCATTACAACAGGAATCACAAAGCTCCTAAGTTTCACTTTCCCAGACAATGTATCTGTGACTCCCGCTTGTAGTATTTTAAATTTACCTTCATTCCATAGCCCTGAGTTTCTGTGTGAGTCCAGGACATCTCCTAATACAAGGTAGCCACTGTGTTACTATATGTTGTAACCAGGAGCCAGTACGGACTTTATTCATCTCACAGTGGCAAGCACTCAATGCAGTCACAATGCCCCTCACCAGTGCTCATGCACTGCCTGTTTTTAGGAAGTATCCACTTCTAAGTGTTGTGTATATTTTATATGAACACTTAGTATTTTTTAAACCTGATTAACATAAAAAAATTAGTTTTTAGGCAGACCCACATAAGGTATTAAAGGCCAACTGCAAAGATCACCCTGCAAGGCTCTGTAGATTGATGTATTAAAATATATAAAACAATGTGTTTAAACCTGAGTTCTGCTGCTTTCGAATTCTTTCCCTCTGCTCCATTTCCTCACCTCCTGCATCTCCAGCCCTTCCCTCCATTCCTCTCATCCCTCAGGCCCTCCTCTCCCCTTAGTCCCCACCACCTTGTCACTCCTTATTTGTGACACTAGCACTGTCCCATTACCTGCTACGTGACTGTTCTCTGCACAGTGGTCCTGCTCCTGTGAGTCAGAGTGTGTCATTTCTCCACCTAAAACATTCCACTGGCTCCACCTTGGTCTTGTGAAGCTTCTGGAATGTCAGGCACGTAAGCATATGAGGGCACACCTGGTTCATTGTAGGGATTAAATTAATTTTTCTTGACTGAATGAATGAAATATGAGTCTATTAAATTGCATCACAGAAAATTATAAAATGTAAAATACTGAAAAAGTTAAGAAATATTTTATTTTATGTAATTAGTGTGCATATCAATTCATCAATTCATTCGTGCACTACCACGACTGGCAAAACAACACCCATTTATCTGCTTATACTTCCTTGGTCAGAAATCTGGGCAAGATGTGGATAGAATCCCTGTTCTGGGCTTCCAAAAGCTGTGTTTTCATTTTGAATCCTCCTTCAGGCTTATACAGAGGTGGCAGAATGCAGTTTCTGGCAGTTGTAAGACTGAGGTTTCTGTTCCTTGCTGGCTGTCAATACAGAGAATAGGCAGGGCTGTGCTCAATTCCTGGTGCCTAACAGTGTTCTTTCCTACACAGCCTCTTCATTTTCAAAGCCCACGGTAGAGGAAACCCCTCATGCTGAATCCCTCTCACACTGCAAATCTCTATGCTCAGAAAGAACACAGACCTTTCAAGGACTCACCTTATTAGGACAGTCAAAGCAGGATAAACCCAGCCTAAAGTCAACTAATTGAGGCCCTTAGTTATATCTGCTAAATCCCTTCACAGCAGCATCTACACTAGAGTTGCTTGAATAACTGGGGGAAAGTGAATGACCGGGAGGTGGCTGTTGGGGGCCATCAAAGAATCAGCCCAGCAAGGGTTGGATCTTCCTTTTGTGTTTAATTTGGACACAGTTGGAAATTGAAGTTCAAGTAAAGTGATCATTGTGAATGGTAATAAAATGCATCCTCTTCAGCCATGGACATTCTCCTTACCTTTTAAAACTAAGTTACATGTGTAATGTCTTATAATTAATTTAGGCCAGGTGTGGTGGCTCACACCTGTGATTCTAGCACCGTGGAAGGCAGAGGAAGGCAGATTTGTTGACTCCAGATGTTGAAGATCAGCCTGGGCAACATGGAGAAACCCCCATCTCTACAAAAAAATTTAGAAAATTAGCCAGGCGTGGTGCTTCATGCCTGTAGTCCCAGTTACTCAGGACGCTGAGATAAGAGGGTCCCTTGAGCCCAGGAAGTCGACACTGCAGTGCATGGTGATCATGCCACTGCACTCCAGCCTGGGCGACAGAGCGAGACCCTGTCTCAATAACAATAATATTAATAATAATGATAAATTTAGAGCAAATGCAAATTAATGTGTAATACTACATCCTCTTTTGTGAAAATGTGTTAGTTATTTACTATTGCATAACAAATTATGTAAAACTTAGCAGCTCAAAATGGCAAATATTCATCATCTCCCGCAGGTTCCAATGGTCAGGAATCCAGGAGAGGTTTCCCTGAGTGCTTCTTGCTCAGGGCCTCTCACAAGGTTGCAGTCCAGTTGTCAGCCTAGGCCTGCATCATCTGAGTGCTTCACTGGGACTGAGGATTCACATGAAACATGGATGGGTCACATGGCTGTTGGAAAAGCCCTAGTTCCTTGTTTTCTGTTCCCAGAAGGCCCCAGTTCTCAGCCACATGGACCTTCCTTCAGGGCTGCTTATGGCACAGCAGGTGGCTTCCCCCAGAGCTCATGATTCCAGAGACATTGAGAGAGAAGGGGGAGGCTGCAGTGAGTTTTATGTTCTACACCCAGAGTCACAAACTCTTATGTCAGCATTACCAGTTAGAAGTTGTATTAGTCCGTTCTCACATTGCTATAAAGAAATACCTGAGACTGGGTAATTTATAAAGGAAAGAGGTTTAATTGACTCATAGTTCTGCATTGCTGAGAAGGCTGCCCCATGAAACTTACAATCATGGCAGAAGTGGAGGCAAACACGTCCTTCTTCACATGGTGGCAGGAGAGAGAATTGCAGATCGAAGTGGGGAAAAATACCTCATAAAACCATCAGATCTCATGAGAATTCCCTCAGCATCATAAGAGCAGCATGGGGGGTACCATACCCGTGATCCAATCACCTCCCAGGAGGTCCCTCCCCCGATACATAGGGATTACAATTTGCATGACAATTCAAGATGAGAATTTGGTGGGAACTCAGAGCCAGACCATATCAGAAATGCATCATTAAGTCCCAGCCACACTCAAGAGAGGAAATTAAGCAGCATCTCTGGAAGAGAACAGTATTAAAGGATTTGAATATATATTAAAAGCAAATTTAAAACTCTTGTTTCACGATTTTGAAAATCAAAATTTTTTTATCTAATTATTTTTCGTTAACCCTTTTAGCTTGTCTTTTAATTTAATTTAATTTTAAGTTCCAGGTTATGTGTGCAGGATGCGCAGGTTTGTTACATAGGTAAATGTGTGCCATGGTGGTTTGCTGCACCTATCAAACCATCACCTATGTATTAACCCTGGCATGCATTAGCTATTTTTTCCTAATACTCCTCCCACCACTGCCCTCCCCCAGCAGGCACCAGTGTGTGATGTTCCTCTCCTTGTGTCCATGTGTTCTCATTGCTCATCTCCCAATTATAAGTGAGAACATGTGGTGTTTGGCTTTCTGTTCCTGTGTTAGTTTGCTGAGGATGGCTTCCAGCTTCATCCATATCCCTGCAAAAGACTGAATCTCATTCCTTTTTGTGGCTGCATAATATTCCATGGTGTATATGTACCATATTTTCTTAATGCAGTACATCATTGATGGGCATTTGGGCTGATTCCATGTCTTTGCTATTGTGGATAGTGCTGCAATAAGCATACACATGCATGTATCTTTATAATAGAGTGATTTATTTTCCTTTGGATGTATACCCTGTAATGGGATTGCTGGGTCAAATGGTATTTCTGGTTCTAAATCTTTGAGGAATCACCAAACTGTCTTCCACAATGGTTCAACCAATTTACATTTCCAGCAACAGTGTAAAAGCCTTCCTATTTCTCCACAACCTCGCCAGCATCTGGTGTTTATGTAGTTTTAAATAATTGCCATTCTGACTGGCATTAGATGGTATCTCATTTGTGGTTTTGATTTGCATTTCTGTAATCAGTGATGTTGAGCTTTTTTTCATGTTTTTTTGGCCACATGTACGTCTTATTTTGTGAAATGTCTCTTCATGTCCTTTGTTCACTTTTTAATGAAGTTTTTTTCATGTAAATTTGCTTAAGTTCTTTATAGATTCTGAATATTAGACCTTTGTAAGATAGATAGATTGCAAAAATTTTCTCCCATTCTGTAGGGTGTCTGTTCACTCTGATAGTTTCTTTTTCTGTGCAGATGCTCTTTTGTTTAATTAGATCCCATATGCCAATTTTTGCTTTTGTGGCAGATGCTCTTGGCGATTTCATCATAAAATCTTTGCCCATGCCTGTGTCCTGAATGGTATTGCCTAGATTTTCTTTCAGGGTTTTTATAATTTTGTGTTTTACATTTAAGTCTTTAATCTATCTTGAGTTAATTTTTGTGTAAGGTGTAAGGAAGGGATCTAGTTTCAATTTTCTGCATATGGCTAGCCAGTTCTCCCATCACCATTTATTAAATAGGGAATCCTTTCCCCGTTGCTTGTTTTTGTCAGGTTTGTTGAAGATCAAATGGTTGTAGATGTGCGGACTTTTTTTGTGAATTCTCTATTCTGTTCCATTGGTCTATGTGCCTGTTTTTGTACCAGTATCATGCTGTTTTGTTTACTGTAGCCTCACAGTATACTTTTAAGTGGGGTAGTGTGCTGCCTCCAGCTTTGTTCTTTTTGCTTAGTATTCTCTTTGCTATATGAGCTCTTATTGGATCCATATGAATTTTAAAATAGTTTTTTTTTCTAATTCCACGATAAGCTTATCTTTTAAAATTAATGATTAACTGTTTCAGACATCACAGAGCCTTGGGTGCTTAGGAGAAAACAGTTTGAAACAGAGAAAGGATATGCAACAGTAACTCTGAATTTTTCTTGTGAATACCTTTAATAACAATGTTGTTTTCAATTAGTTAACACAGTTGAGAACATAGAGTAACTAGATCAAATAGTTCCAAGACTTCAGTCTGATAAAAATAATGTCTTGAAAATAAGACTTTGTTTTGTCTAAGATATCTCAAATTTAGTGGAAGCACGTCCCAAGCACCAATTTTCTTATTGAAATATCATCTTCACTAAACATTTGCCTACACTTAAAAAAAAAAACAAAAACTCCGCTATATGGAGTAGCCATTCTTTTGTTTCTTTACTTCTCTAATAACTTGCTTTCACTTAGGAAAACATTGCCTAATCAAATTGCTTTTCATTTACAAAAGTGTGAATCTCATACTTCAGTCAACACATCTAGCTTAGCATGATGCCAATAACTTTGGTTTGATGCAGTAGCCTGAAATGGTTAGCTCAAATTGAGAAACAAGTTTTTTTCAAAAGCTAGCTATTTGGTGGGCATTACATAATAAACTTAACATCTTTTGCTCTGGTATTGAATGAGATGTGATAGAAGTCATTTGCACACCACTATGATTCTAAATAACACGGCTATTATGTGCTTCTGAAGCTTTTTTTCTTTTTATCAGTCCTATTCTGTTTTCCATTCATATTTGATATTCCATCACTGGTTATTCCTTCCTATTCTTTTCTTGTTTGATTTATTTTGATCAATTATTTGCATTTCCAATTCCGTAAAAGTTTAATTCAGTTGTATGTGTGGTAGAATGTAACATCAAATCCTTTGCAAGATGGAATTACCTTGCACAGCAGATTGAACATTGTATAACTGAAAATCTAGAGAGATGCCAGTCAGCCAAGGGTTAAATGACCTATTTTTAGCCAAGTCCATTTTCATGGCATCCTGGTCCTCTCTGTCACATGACTCCTTACAATTCTCTGTGGTTTGCTTCCAATGTAAGTAGTTCTTATTAAGGATCCTTGCAATTAACTTTGGTATTCTTTTCTCTTACATTTTTTTAAAATTATACTTTAAGTTCTATGGTACATGTGCATAACGTGCAGGTTTGTCACATATGTATGCATGTGCCCTGTTGGTTTGCTGCCCTCTTTAACTAGTCATTTACATTAGGTATTTCTCCTAATGCTATCCTTCCCCCATCCCGCCACCTGACGACAGGCCCCAGTGTGTGATGTTCCCCACCCTGTGTCCAAGTGTTCTCATTGTTCAATTCACCTATGAGTGAGAACATGCGCTGTTTGATTTTCTGTCTTCGCGATAGTTTGCTCAGAATGATGGTTTCCTGCTTCATCCATGTCACTACAAAGGACATGAACTCATCCTTTTTATGGCTGCATAGTATTCCATGGTGTATATGTGCCACATTTTCTTAATCTAGTCTATCATTGATGGACATTTGGGTTGGTTCCAATTCTTTGCTATTGTGAATAGTGCCACAATAAACATACATGTGCATGTGTCTTTATAGTAGCGTGATTTATAATCCGTTGGGCATATACCCAGTAATGGGATGGCTGGGTCAAATGGTATTTCTAGTTCTAGATCCTTCAGGAATTGCCACACTGTCTTCCACAATGGTTGAACTAGTTTACAGTCCCACCAACAGTGTAAAAGTGTTCCTGTTTCTCCACATCCTCTCCAGCACCTGTTGTTTCCTGACTTTTTAATGATCGCCATTCTAACTGGTGTGAGATGGTATCTCATTGTGGTTTTGATTTGCATTTCTCTGATGGCCAGTGATGATGAGCATTTTTTCATGTGTCTGTTGGCTGCATAAATGTCTTCTTTTGAGAAGTGCCTGTTCATATCCTTTGCCCACTTTTTATGGGGTTGTTTGATGGGTAGACTGCAAAAATTTTCTCCCATTCTGTAGGTTGCCTGTTCACTCTGATGGTAGTTTCTTTTGCTGTGCAGAAGCTTTTTAGTTTAATTAGATCCCATTTGTCTAATTTGGCTTTTGTTGCCATTGCTTTTGGTGTTTTAGTCACGAAATCCTTGCCCATGCTGATTTCCTAAGTGGTATTGCCTAGGTTTTCTTTTGGGTTTTATGGTTTTAGGTCTAACATTGAAGTCTTTAATCCATCTGGAATTAATTTCTGTATAAGTTGTAAGGAAGGGATCCAGTTTCAGCTTTCTACATGTGGCTAGCCAGTTTTCCCAGCACCATTTATTAAGTTTCCCAGCACCTTTCCCTATTGCTTGTTTCTGTCAGGTTTGTCAAAGATCAGATGATTGTAGATGTGTGGTGTTACTTCTGAGGCCTCTGTTCTGTTCCATTGGTCTGTATCTCTGTTTTGGTACCAGTACCATACTGTTTTGGTTACTGCAGCCTTGTAGTATAGTTTGAAGTCAGGTAGCGTCATGCCTCCAGCTTTGTTCTTTTGGCTTAGGATTCTCTTGGCAATGTGGTCTCTTTTTTGGTTCCATATGAACTTTAAAGTAGTTTTTTCCAATTCTGTGAAGAAAGTCATTGGTAGCTTGATGGGGATGGCATTGAATCTATAAATTACCTTGGGCAGTGTGGCCATTTTCATGATATGGATTCTTCCTATCCATGAACGTGGAATGTTCTTCCATTTGTTTATATCCTCTTTTATTTCATTGAGCAGGTTTGTAGTTCTCCTTGAAGAGGTCCTTCACATCCCTTGTAAGTTGGATTCCTAGGTATTTTATTCTCTTTGTAGCAATTTTGAATGGGAGTTCACTCATGATTTGGCTGTCTGTCTGTTATTGGTGTGTAAGAATGCTTGTGATTTTTGCACATTGATTTTGTATCCTGAGACTTTGCTGAAGTTGCTTATCAGCTTAAGGAGATTTTGGGCTGAGATGATGGGGTTTTCTAGACATACAGTCGTGTCATCTGCAAACAGGGACAATTTTACTTCCTCTTTTCCTAATTGAATACCCTTTATTTCCTTCTCCTGCCTAATTGCCCTGGCCAGAACTTCCAACACTATGTTGAATAGGAGTGATGAGAGAGGGCATCCCTGTCTTGTGCCAGTTTTCAAAGGGAATGCTTCCAGTTTTTGCCCATTCAGTATGATATTGGCTGTGGGTTTGTCATAGATAGCTCTTATTATTTTGAGATACGTCCCATCAATACTTAATTTATTGAGAGTTTTTAGCATGAAGGTTGTTGAATTTTGTCAAAGGCCTTTTTTGCATCTATTGAGATAATCATGTGGTTTTTGTCGTTGGTTCTCTTTAAATGCTGGATTATGTTTATTGATTTTCGTATGTTGAACCAGCCTTGCATCCCAGGGATGAAGCCCACTTGATCATGGTGGATAAGCTTTTTGATGTGCTGCTGGATTCGGTTTGCCAGTATTTTATTGAGGATTTTTGCATCTATGTTCATCAGGGATATTGGTCGAAAATTCTCTTTTTTTGTTGTGTCTCTGCCCGGCTTTGCTATCAGGATGATGCTGGCCTCATAAAATGAGTTAGGGAGGATTCTCTCTTTTTCTATTGATTGGAATAGTTTGAGAAGGAATGGTACCAGCTCCTCCTTGTACCTCTGGTAGAATTCGGCTGTGAATCCATCTGGTCCTGGACTATTTTTGGTTGGTAAGCTATTAATTATTGCCTCAATTTCAGAGCCTGTTATTGGTATATTCAGAGATTCAACTTCTTCCTGGTTTAGTCTTGGGAGGGTGTATGCGTCGAGGAATTTATCCATTTCTTCTAGATTTTCTAGTTTATTTGCATAGAGGTGTTTATAGTATTCTCTGATGGTAGCTTGTATTTCTGTGGGATTGGTGGTGATATCCCCTTTATCATTTTTATTGCATCTATTTGATTCTTCTCTCTTTATTAGTCTTGCTAGCGGTCTATCAATTTTGTTGGTCTTTTCAAAAAATCAGCTCCTGGATTCATTGATTTTTTGAAGGGTTTTTTGTGTCTCTATCTCCTTCAGTTCTGCCCTGATCTTGGTTATTTCTTGCCTTCTGCTAGCTTTTGAATGTGATTGCTCTTGCTTCTCTAGTTCTTTTAATTGTGATGTTAGGGTGTCGATTTTAGATCTTTCCTACTTTCTGTTGTGGGCATTTAGTGCTATAAATTTCCCTTTACACACTGCTTTGAATGCATCCCAGAGATTCTGGTATGTTGTGTCTTTGTTCTCGTTGGTTTCAAAGAACCTCTTTATTTCTGCCTTCCTTTCATTATGTACCCAGTAGTCATTCAGGAGCAGGTTGTTCAGTTTCCATGTGGTTGAGCAGTTTTGAGTGAGTTTCTTAATCCTGAGTTCTAGTTTGATTGCACTGTGGTCTGAGAGACAGTTTGTTATAATTTCTGTTCTTTTACATTTGCTGAGGAGTGCTTTACTTCCAACTATGTGGTCAGTTTTGGAATAAGTGCGGTGTGGTGCTGAGAAGAATGTATATTCTGTTGATTTGGGGTGGAGAGTTCTGTAGATGTCTATTAGGTCTGCTTGGTGCAGAGCTGAGTTCAATTCCTGGATATCTTTGTTAACTTTCTGTCTCATTGATCTGTCCAATGTTGACAGTGGGGTGTTAAAGTTTCCCATTACTATTGTGTGGGAGTCTAAGTCTCTTTATATGTCTCTACGGACTTGCTTTATGAATCTGGGTGCTCCTGTATTGGGTGCATATATATTTAGGATAGTTAGCTCTTCTCATTGAATTGATCCCTTTACCATTATGTATTGGCCTTCTTTGTCTCTTTTGATCTTTGTTGGTTTAAAGTCTGTTTTATCAGAGAGTAGGATTGCAACCCCTGCCTTTTTTTGTTTTCCATTTGCTTGGTAGATCTTCCTCCATCCCTTTATTTTGAGCCTATGTGTGTCTCTGCACGTGAGATGGGTTTCCTGAATACAGCACACTGATGGGTCTTGACTCTTTATCCAATTTGCCAGTCTGTGTCTTTTAATTGGAGCATTTAGCCCATTTACATTTAAGGTTAATATTGTTATGTGTGAATTTGATCCTGTCATTATGATGTTAGCTGGTTATTTTGCTCATTAGTTGATGCAGTTTCTTCCTAGCCTCAATGGTCTTTACTATTTGGCATGTTTTTGCAGTGGCTGGTACCAGTTGTTCCTTTCCATGTTTAGTGCTTCCTTCAGGATCTCTTGTAAGGCAGGCCTGGTGGTGACAAAATCTCTCAGGATTTGCTTGTCTGTCAAGGATTTTATTTCTCCTTCACTTACAAAGCTTAGTTTGGCTGGATTTGAAATTCTGGGCTGAAAATTCTTTTCTTTAAGAAAGTTGAATATTGGCCCCTACTCTCTTCTGCCTTGTAGAGTTTCTGCCGAGAGATCAGCTGTTAGTCTGATGGGTTTCCCTTTGTGGGTAGCCCGACCTTTCTCTCTGTCTTTCCTTAACATTTTTTCCTTAATTTCAACTTTGGTGAATCTGACAATTATGTGTCTTGGAGTTGCTCTTCTTGAAGAGTATCTTTGTTGTGTTCTCTCTATTTCCTGAATTTGAATGTTGGCCTGCCTTGCTAGATTGGGGAAGTTCTCCTGGATAATATCCTGCAGAGTGTTTTCCAACTTGGTTCCATTCTCTCCGTCACTTGCAGGTACACCAATCAGATGCAGATTTGGTCTTTTCACATAGTCCCATATTTCTTGGAGGCTTTGTTCATTTCTTTTTATTCTTTTTTCTCTAAACTTCTCTTCTCACTTCATTTCATTCATTTGATCTTCCATCACTGATAACCTTTCTTCCAGTTGATCGAATCAGCTACTGAAGCTTGTGCATTCATCACTTAGTTCTCGTGCCGTAGTTTTCAGCTCCATCAGGTCCTTTAAGGACTTCTCTGCATTGGTTATTCTAGTTAGCCATTCATCTCATCTTTTTTCAAGGTTTTTAACTTCTTTGTCATGGGTTCGAACTTCCTCCTTTAGCTCGGAGAAGTTTGATCGTCTGAAGCCTTCTTCTCTCAACTCATCAGAGTCATTCTCCTTCCAGCTTTGTTCCATTGCTAGTGAGTAGCTGCATTCCTTTGGAGGAGGAGAGGCACTCTGATTTTTAGAATTTTCAGTTTTTCTGCTCTGTTTTTTCCCCGTCTTTGTGGATTTATCTACCTTTGGTCTTTGATGATGGTGACGTACAGATGGGGTTTTGGTGTGGATGTCCTTTCTGTTTGTTAGTTTTCCTTCTGACAGTCAGGACCCTCAGCTGCAGGTCTGTTGGAGTTTGCTGGAGGTCCACTACAGACCCTGTTTACCTGGGTATCAGCAGCGGAGGCTGCAGAACAATGCATATTGGTGAACAGCAAATGTTGCTGCCTGATCTTTCCTCTGGAGATTTTGTCTCAGAGGAGTACTCGGCCGTGTGACGTGTCAGTCTGCCCCTACTGGGGGGTGCCTCCCAGTCAGGCTACTTGGGAGTCAGGGACCCACTTGAGGAGGCAGTCTGTCTGTTCTCAGATCTCAAGCTGCATGCGGGAGAACCACTACTGTCTTCAAAGCTGTCAGACAGGGACATTTAAGTCTGCAGAGGTTTCTGCTGCCTTTTGTTTGGCTATGCCCTGCCCCCAGAGGTGGAGTCTACAGAGGCAGGCAGGCCTCCTTGAGCTGTGTGGGCTCCACCCAGCTCGAGCTTCCTGGCCGCTTTGTTTACCTACTCAAGCCTCAGCAATGGCGGGCACCCCTCCCCCAGCCTTGCTGCCGCCTTGCAGTTTGATCTCAGACTGCTGTGCTGGCAATGAGCGAGGCTCTGTGGGTGTAGGACCCTGCGAGCCAGGCATGGGATATAATCTCTCGGTGTGCCGTTTGCTAAGACCATAGGAAAAGTGCAGTATTAGGGTGGGAGTGACCTAATTTTCCAGGTGCCATCTGTCACCCCTTTCCTTGGCTAGGAAAGGGAATTCCCTGACCCCTTGCGCTTCCTGGGTGAGGCGTGGCCTCGCCCTGCTTTGGCTCACACTTGGTGCACTGCACCCACTGTCCTGCACCCACTGTCTGACAGTCCCCAGTGAGATGAACCTGGTACCTCAGTTGGAAATGCAGAAATCATTCGTCTTCTGCATTGCTCACCCTGGGAGCTGTAGACTGGAGCTGTTCCTATTCCCCAAATTAATTTTTGTTGACTGAATAAATGAAATATGAGTGTATTAAAATTTAATTTCATCACAGAAAATTATAAAATAAACAATACTGGAAAAGATTGAGAAAGTTTTTATTTTATGTAACTAGTGTGCATATCAATTCATAAATTCATTCCATTTGTCTGTTGAGACTGTACGAATTTTATGACTGCATAACAAATTATCACAAATATTGGCTTTAAACAATACCCATTTATTTAATTAATTCATTTATTTTTAGAGAAATGGTCTCTTTCTCTCATCCATTTTGAAGTGCAGTCACACAGTCATGGCTCACTGCAGCCTTGAAATCCTGGGCTCAAAGGATCCTCCTGGCTCAGTCTTCAGAGTAACTAGAACTACAGGCAAATGCCACCACGCCCAGCTAATTAAAAAAAAATTGTAGAGATGAGGGTCTCATTGCATTACCCAGGCTGGTCTCAAATTCCTGAGTGTAAGTGATCCTCCTGTGTAAGCCCCTCAAATGTTAGGATTGCAGGTGTGTGCTACCACACCTGCCCAAACAACATCCACTGATCTGTTTACAGTTCTTTAGGCAGAAATCCAGGCATGATGTAGACGGGGTCTCTATTCAGGGCTTCCCAAAGCTGTGTTTTCATTTTGAATCCTCCTTCAAGCATATATAGAGGCGGCAGAATTCAGTTTCTGACAGTCGTTAAGACTGAGTTTCCTGTTCCCTGCTAGCTGTCAAGGTAGAGAGGAGGGAGGGCTGTGCTCAATGCCTGGAGCCAAACAGCATTCTTTTCTAGTCAGCCCCTTCAATTTCAAAGCCCACAGTGGAGGAAACCCCTCACACTGAATCCCTCTCACACTGTGAATCTCTATGCTCAGGAAGAACCCAGTCCTTTCATGGGCTCACCTGATTAGGAGTGTCCAAGCAGGCTAAACCCAGCCTCAAGTCAACTGATTGAGGACCTTGATTATATCTGCTAAATCCCTTCACAGCAGCACCTACAGTAGAGTTGGTTGAATAATTGGGGGAAGGTGGATGACCAGGAGCTGGTTGTTGGGGCTATTATAGAATCAGCCTAGCAAGGGTTGGATTTTCCTTTTGTGTTTAATTGTGACACAGTTGGAAATTGAAGTTCAAGTAAAGCGATCATTGTGAATGATAATAAAATACATCCTCTTCAGCCATGGAGATTCACCTTACCTCTTAAAATCAAGTGACAGGTTTAATAGCTTATAATTAATTCATGCCAGGTGTGGTGGCTGGCACCTACAATCCTAGCACTGTGGCGGGCAGAGGAAGGCAGATCCATTGACTCCAAGAGTTTGAGATCAGCCTGGGCAACATGGTGAAACCTCCATCTCTACAAAAACATTAGAGTATTATCCAGGCATGGTGGTTCATGCCTGTAGTCCCAGCCAGCTACTCAGGAGGCTGAGGTCAGAGGATATTTGAGCACAGGAAGTCAACACAGCAGTGAATGGTGAACATGCCACTGCACTCTAGCCTCTGTGACAGAGCAAGATGCTGTCTCAAAAATAGTAATAATCATGATCATAAATTTAGAGCAAATGAAAATTGAAGTGCAATAAATCATCCTCTCTTATGAAAATGTATTAGTTATTTACTATTGCATAACAAATTACATAAAACTTAGCAGCGCAAAACAACAAACATCATCTACCGCAGTTTCCAATGGTCAGGAATCCAGGAGCAAGGTTTCCCTGAGTGCTTCTGGCTCAGAGCCTCTCACAAGGTTACAGTCCAGTCCAGGGCTGCATCATCTGAGAGCTTCACTAGGGCTTGGGATTTACAAGAAACATGGCTCACTCACATGGTTCCTTGTTGTCCGGTCCCAGGAGGCCTCAGTTTTTAGCCACATGGACCTTCCTGCAGGGCTGCTTATGGCACAGCAGTTGGCTTCCCCCAGAGCTCATGATCCCAGAGACAGAGAGAGAGAAGCTGCAGTGAGTTTTATGTTCTGCACCCAGAGTCAAAAACTGTTATATCAGCACTACTCTATCAGTTAGAAGTTGTATTTGTCTGTTCTCACACTGCTATAAAGAAATACCTGAGACTGGGTAATTTATAAAGGAAAGAGGTTTAATTGACTCACAGTTCTGCATGACTGAAGAGGCGGCCTCAGGAAATTTACAATCATGGCAGAAGGGGAAGGAAGCATGTCATTCTTCACATGGTGGTGGGAGAGAGAAATGCAAGGTTGTCGGGGGCGGGGGTGGCAGGGAAGACTCTTGCAAAACCATCAGATCTCATAGAACTCACTCACTATCATGAGAACAGCATGAGGGAACCATCCCCATGATCTAATCACTTCCCACCATGTCTTTCCCCTAGCACGTGGGGATTACAATTCAAGATGAGTTTGGGTGGGGACACAGGGTGAGGCCATATCAGAAGTGCATCATTAAGTCCAAGCCGAACTCACAGGGAAGGAATTAAGCTGCACCATTGGAAGGGAGGAGTATCAAGGGATTTGCATACATGTTGAAAGCAAAATTAAAATTATTATTTCAGGATTTTGTAAATCAAATGCTTCTTTCATGTGATTATTTTTCTTTAATGCTTTAAGCTTCTTTTTAATTTTTATTTTAAGTTTCAGGGTACATATGCAGGATGTGCAGATTTGTTACATAGGTAAACGTGTGCCATGGTGTTTTGCTACACTTATCAACCCAGCACCTAGGTATTAAGCCTAGCATGAATGAGCTATTTTTCCTAATGCGCACCCCACCTCTGCCCCCCCCCCCAAAAGGACACAGTGTTCCCCTCCCAGTGCCCATGGATTCTCATTGCTCAGCTCCCAATTATCAGTGAGAACATGCAGTGTTTGTTTTTCTGTTTCTGCATTAGTTTGTTGAGGATAATGGCTTCCAGCTTTTTCCATGTCCCTGCAAAACATGATCTCCTTCCTTTTTAAGGCTGCATAGTATTCCATGGTGTACATGTCATATGTTTTCTTTATCCAGTCTATTGTTGATGCGCATTTAGGTTGATTCCATGTCTTTGCTATTGTGAGTGGTGCTGCAATGAACATACACATGGATGTAACTTTATAATAGAATGATTTATATTTCTTTGGGTATATACCCAGTAATGGGATTGCTGGGTCAAATGGTATTTCTAGTTCTAGATCTTTGAGGAATCGTCATATTGTCTTCCACAATGGTTGAACTAATTTACATTCCCACCAACAGTTAAAGCATTCCTATTTCCCTGCAACCTTGCCAGTATCTGTTGTTTCTTGACTTTTTAATAATCACCATTCTGACTGGCATGAGATGGTATCTCATTGTGGTTTTGATTTGCATTTCTCTAATGACCAGTGATGATGAGCTTTTTTTCATATGTTTGTTGGCCACATGTATGTCTTCTTTTGAGAAGTGTCTGTTCATGTCATTTGCCCACTTTTTAATGGGGTTGTTTGTTATTTTCTTGTAAATTTGCTTAATTTCCTTGTAGATTGTGGATATTAGATCTTTGTCAGATGGATAGATTACAAAAATTTTCTTTCATTCTGTAGGTTGTCTGTTCACTCTGATCACAGTGTCTTTTCCTGTGCAGAAGCTCTTTAGTTTAATTAGATCCCATTTGTCAGTTTTTGCTTTTGTGGCAGATGCTTTTGGCGATTTCATCATAAAATCTTTGCCCATGCCCAGGCAAATGGTATTGCCTAGATTTTCTTCTTGGGTTTTTATAGTTTTGGGTTTTACATTTAGGTCTTTAATCCATCTAGAGTTAATTTTTGTGTAAGATGTAAGGAAGGGGTCCAGTTTCAGTTTTCTGCAAATGGCTAGCCCGTTTTCCCAACATCATTTATTAAATATGGAATCATTTCCCTGTTGCTTGTTTTCATCAGGTTTGTTGAAGATCAGATGGTTTTAGATATGCGGTTTTATTTCTGAGTTCTCTACTCTCTTCCATTAGTCTATTACCATGCTGTTTTGGTTACTGTAGCCTGTAGTATAGTTTGAAATCAGGTAGTCTGAGGCCGCCTGCTTTGTTCTTTTTGTGTAGGATTGTCCGGGCTATATGAGCTCTTTTTTGGTTCCATATGAATTTTAAAATAGTTTCTTCTAATTCTGTGATAAGCTTCTCTTTTTAAATTAATGATTAAAAGTTTGGGACATCACAGAGCCTTGGGTGTTGTGGGGAAAACTGTTTGAGACAGAGAAAGAGGATACAATAGTATGTCTGAGTTTTTCTTGCAAATACCTTTAATAACAATATTCTCTTCAATGAGTCAACAGTTGAGAACCCAGAGTAACTAGAGCAAATATTCCAAAGACTTCTGTGCCGTAAAAATAATGACTTGAAAATAAGTCTTTGTTTCAACTAAGGTGTCTCACATTTAGTTGAAGTATGCCCCAAGTGCCAATTTTCTTATTGAAATATCATCTTCAAAAAACATTTGCCTACACTTAAAAAAAAGGGCTGTTGTGTCTATTGAGTAGCCATTCTTTTGTTTCCTTACTTCTCTCATAAACTTGATTTCACTTTAAAAAATTTGCCTAATTGGTTTTAATTTACAAAAATGTGAATCTCATACCTCAGTTAACACATCTAGCTTAGCAAGATGTCAATAGCTTTGGTTGGATGCAGTAGCCCAAAATGGTTAGCTCCAACTGAAGCATAAGATTTTTCAAAAACTGGCTATTTGGTGAGCATTCTATAATAAACTTAACATCTTTTGTTCTGGTATTGAATCAGATACGATAGAAGTGATTTGGACACCACTATGATTCTAAATAGCACTGCAATTTTGTGCTTTCAAGTTTTTTTGAGCAATCCTGTTGTGTTTTCCATTCATATTTGCTATTCCATCACTGGTTGTTCCTTTATACTCTTTTATTGTTTCATCTATTTTGATCAATGATGTGCATTTCCAATTCTGTAAAAGTTTAATTCAGTTGTATGTGTGGAATATGTAACAAATCAAATCCTTTGCAAAATGGAATTACCTTGCACATCAGATTGAATCTTGTATACCTGAAAATCTAGAGAGATGCCTGTGAGCCAAGGATCATATGGCCCTTTAGCCAAGGGTATTGTCATGGCATCCTGTAAGGAGCCTCTCTGTCATGTGGCTCCTTACAATTCTCTGTGGCTTTCTTCCAATGTAAGTAGTTCTTGTTAAGGATCCTTGCAATGAACTTTGATATTTTTTTCTTTCATTTTTTAAGAAACAGGTATATTTTAGTTTGAAAAATACTGTTTAAGGAGTTATAATCTAGTAGTTACCTGGGTTCCCAGCACTGGCATAAGACACAGAACCCGCAAAGCCACCCTGGGCTGCTGCCCAATCACATCCCCCAGAATGAGACCCCATCCTGAGTCTTGTTTTTATTATTACTTTGTATTTCTTTAAATATTTGTACAATAAGTATATATAATCTCAAACCAAATATTAGTTTCACTGGTTTTTAAGCTTCCTGTACAGAAATTCCTACTACATTTCTTTTCTCATGATGCACATTATGTATAGGAGTTATCTGTTGTGTGGGAGGCTGTCATTCACTCATTTTTACTGCTGAAGGTTTACATTTTATGGTTATACCACAATTTCACTACTTTGCTATTGATGTATAGGAGGCTGATTCCAGTTTTTGCCATAAACATTAGTGTGCATGTCTCCTGGGCACATAGGCGAGAAAGCCGCCAGAGTGTATGATTAGGAGTGGGATGGTTGGATGATATGTTGTATGGCCTTTAACCATACTAAATAATGATAATATGATTTCCAAAGTAATTGTGCCAACTTAAGCTTTTACAATAAATGTGTAATATGTGATGTTGATGTGTTCTGAAAACACTGAGTTGAAGGAATTAAGAGTTAATAGCAACTGCCTTGGCTGCAGAATTATAGCAGATTTTTTTTTTGACGGAGTCTTGCTCTGTCGCCCAGGCTGGAGTGCAGTGGCACAATCTCGGTTCACTGCAAGCTCCACCTCCTGGGTTCACGCCATTCTCCCGCCTCAGCCTCTTGAGTAGCTGGGGCTACAGGTGCCCGCCACCACACCGGCTAATTTTTTTTTTGTATTTTTAGTAAAGACAGGGTTTCACCGTGTTAGCCAGGATGGTCTCTATCCCCTGACCTCGTGATCCGCCCGTCTAGGCCTCCCAAAGTGCTGGGATTACAGGCATGAGTCACCATGCCCAGCCTATAGCAGGCATTCTTATTCAGACTCTGTTAATAACTTCCTGTTGTTAACTTGTATCCTGTATACCATGGCTTTATACTTTTAACATATAGATTCAGAAAATGTTTCCTTATAGTACAAACACATAGGGTTATTTTATATGTCAGAATATGTCATAATAAAAAAGAAAAAAATGGAGGAAAGGAGAGAAAGAAGGAGAGAGGAGTGAAGGAAGCAAAGAAGGAAGGGGAAGAGAAGGAGGGAGGGAGGGCAAATGGAAATAGAAAAGAAAGAGAGGGAGGGAGAGATAGAAGTGAGAAGAAAGGGAAGGAATAAAGGAGAAAAGAAACGAAAATAAAGAAAAAAACAGGCGTAGAGAAACTAGGAACCCAATATATGGCTAATATTATCAAAATGGGAGGAAATAAAACGGATGTATTTAACCTCTATAGAATAACAGAAATGTAAGAGGGCTTCATTAGTTATCCATTGCTGTATAACAAACTACCCCCAAATTTAGTGACTTAAAGCAACAAACATCGACTATCTCAAAAGCATAATACAAATACTAGCAAAATGGAGCCAATGCAGGTAGAAGTTGAACAAACAAAAGGATTTTACAAATTGGAGTAAGTAAGAGGTCACTGGTGTGCAGATGAAAATGATTTTGCATTCCAAGTGCCATCATGGGATTAAAGTTACAGGATTTTATTAGGGGACACACCTGTCAGAGATATAGCAACGGAGGCAGGTTACCCTGGGAAAGGCAACAGACCAAGATGCAAATGTGACCCCCAGTGATGGACAGAAGGACAGAAGGTTTACTGGATGTGTCCTAGACCACAGGCAATCTCAGGAGAGTTGAGCAAAGCCATGGAGGAGTCTTTGAGCCACTGCTGTCCGTCAGAGGAGTCCCTGGTCTCCCAGGAATGTCCTGCCTCAGTGTCACTGGTGTGACCCATCACTGGCTGGGAACAGCCCATGGGAAGCAGGGTCTCTGCACCAATGACACTGAGGATGTCAGAGCACAGGAGTGGGGCCTTGGGTGATTACCCAGGAGTGTGGCTCAAACCTCCTGTCCTGAGAGGTCTGGGCCCTTGGAAATCAAATCCTCTCAGGCTGGATTGCTGGATGATTCTGCTCACATTTACAAAGGGACAAGGCAAACCAGAAGGCCCCCAAGTAGATCTCTGGTTCTCACACACACACTTCTGCCCTCATTGTGTGAAAGTAGCCATGCCTCCTCCTGGAGATCAGGATCTATTACCTGCACCTGGAGAGGAAGAGACTCCTTTTCTCACCAGCTGGTCTCTGGGCACATACTGTCCAAACTTCTCTGGTGACAACCATAATGTGTAGTTCAATGGGCTGTCATGTGTCTCCTTTTAAGGACCTCCTGCCCTGAACAGCCCAAAGTTGGGAGATAAAACGTGCAAAATACCCCAGTGGGTGAATCTAAGAGACTGGACATGGAGACAAACCTGCTTCCAACTTTCGGTTTCTAGACCCACATATTCTTCCTATTGAGAACACAGCACCGTAGAGATGTCTCTGATTCAAACAATGCACCATGTCCTGAAAAACGGCCCCCACCCCTCAGAGTGCTTCCTCCAGGATGACACTGAGTTTTGCCTGTAGAAGACATTTCCAGCATTCCTTGTGGCTGGCAGCCCCTGGGTGGTGCAGATGGTGATCAGATCAGTGAAACCCATAGCCACGGAAACACTGGAACTTTCCCTGCCAAGTGGGTCCTTCAGGCAGATACTGGGTTGGGAGCACCACCTAGCCTGTGGATCAGGAATGTCAACAGCACCCAGAGAGTGGTGCTGGCTGAGTGTCCGAGAGCAGGACAGGAAAACTCACCCATGGAATATGAGCCTACCCCTGTGAAGATGAACCTCAGGCCCTTCTAGGATGGAAGTAGCTAAATGTAGTCAACTTGTTACATAGTGGCTAGTTAGTCACCTAAAGAAATAGTGCCCCACTAGGGCACATGGTGGGCCTCAAATGCTGATGAGTTGGACATTCAGAGGTGGCAGCAGCTGGATCTGTCTTGATAATGGGGAGTCAGTACTTCTGGCCCCATATGTAGCCTCATGCCTGCCACTGTGCTTGCTCCATTCATGTGCCCATCCTACCAGGCCTGCATTGACCCATAGTGAAGGCTGGCTAACTTCCATTTGTCTGTTTGGTTGTTCAGTGCTGCTTCAGACTTGGGTGTTTTCTGGGGGTGTCAACATGGGATTCAAGCACAACCCAGGTGGACCATTTTCACCTCATGATGAATGCTGTTGGGCCTGTCCAATCTATGACTTTCTGGGTCACACAGAAGCCAATTCACACAGGTACTTGGAATCACATCGTTGCTTGGTGTCCTGTGGTTAAGCATTCTATCGAATCAGGACCAGGAACACTAAAAGTTGCTTCTAATGGGGAGCCATGTCTCTGCTGTGGATGACATGATCTTACTCCAGATCCCAGGCCCTCCACCATGACTCTCCCACTGCTGCTTGGTTCAGCTCCATCCTGCATCTTTCCCCACCCCTGCCCCTTCCAGTACCAAGAGGTCTGAGGGATGGTGGCTGCACCGCAGCCTGTATCTGCTGCAGGGTGCTTTCCTGTGTAGGCCTCACTTGAAGCTGGCCTCCTCCTATGTCACCTAGAGTGTGGGCCAAAGCAACATTTCTACATGTGGAATGTGCTGTCGTCAGAACTCCAAGAGGCTCACCGGAGAGTGTGCTTTCTTTTTTTGCAGTAAGGATGCAAAATGCAACACTTTGTAATTTACCTAGGAGGGGACACCCCTGGCATTCCCCTAAACACTGGACTCATAAAACTTCACTACAGTGACCTTTCCTGAAGCTCTGTAAGGTTTATCTTCACCTTCTGAAGTGCAAATGTTTTGCCAACGATGCCAGTGCACTTTCTACCTGCTGCTCATTCGCCCCAGTCAACATGAAGTTGTAAATGAAATGAGCTGATTTAATATCCTTTAGGATATCCAGTATGTCTAGTATAGTCATAAGACTATACTATAGAGGACAGGGGAGTTACAAAAGTCCTGAGGCAAACTATAATTCAATGTGTTGTGGATCCCACATGAATGTGAATCACTCCATATCCCCTTTGTAATTGGAATGGAAAGAAATGCACTCACCAAATCCACAGCTGCACACTGTGTGCCCAAGGCTTTGTTAATCTGCTCTACCAGTGATATCCAGACAGCACAAAAGCTGCACTTATAACTCCTACTTGGCCATATCTGGAGTAATCTCATTCATTCTTTAGGCCTCACTAGGCTTCCTCAGGGACAGATTGCTGGATTACACGGAGACAATAGGCAGCCTCAACACCACCCCGCCTCCTTCAGCTTTGTAATGGTGGTGTGACCCCCACAATACTTGCAGTGTCCTTCACAAGACCCACGCTGGGACACACTATGATTTTTGATTTGGCCAGGATGGGGGCAGTTTCAGAGGTTTCCCTTTGGCCTTTGGCATCAAGAGATCCCTTATACCACAGACTGGGGACCCAGTGTGGGGGTGACTCCACTTACCAGAGCATCAGTGTCAATTATGCACTCAGGGAATTGGAAGATAATCAGGGTTGGGTCTATGCATCCAGTGGTCCCATTGCGGGCCATAATGTGTCCAGGTTTACTCCCTGGCCTCCGTAAGCCCCACTGTGATGGAGAAGATGATTGTGCTGTGGGCATCTGGGCATCAATATCAGCTTACATGCAATGAAAATGATCCCCCCTAGTTCTGCCTATTTCCCTTCCCCAATGTACAGTCTCCTGAGTAAATGGCTATAGGTTCCCTTGCTGAAAGACTGAGGGAATTGTCCCAGCCATATATCTCCATGGTGTCCCAGGGTCCTTTCTCTAGGGATATGGACTCCTCCTCTGTCACTGAGATCTGAGTCTGAATCTTGATTGAGGTCTAGGCATTGAGAAGGGGATCATGGCTTTGTATTTGGTCGAACACCCTCAGTCTCCTGCTCCTCAATTCTTGCTTTCTTATCATATATATCAAGCAGTGCCCTTGTTGGCTGCCTCTTGTAACCCTGGTGTCCTCTCTACTAACTTTCCCCACACTCCCTGCAGCTTGAGTCCCCTTGGCTGCTCCTCTGAGGTTGCCATGGTAACCATGCCCTCCGGCTTTTGCAGGTCACTGCCACCACTTGTTCTCAGTCTCTTCAGGCCCACATTCTCCCCAGAGATATGAATAAGCACAACTCTGGGACCTTTACTATCATCCCCCCCAGCCTGCAGAGGATAACACCCCGACACTTCTTAGTGATGCAGGTCCCTCTCCACAGCATGTTCCTGAGGCTCTGGTGGAAGGTGTGCCCTCTGGGTCCTCTTGTGGAGCATGGTCCTGGTGGGCCTTCATCACGCCCACTTCCCTCAGCCTTGTTATTGCATCCTCTACATGTTCCAGGATAACTAGGTCATATCTACCTTGTTGAGAGTTGGGCATCATTTTTTCCAGTCTATATGGACTCACCCCAGTAGTGGGTTTACCCCATGTCCTGGGTTCTTTGATAAACCCATGTCCTGAGAAAGTGCCTCCAAGCCAAAGGATTTTTATTCATCCAGACTGAAATTCTAGTTTATTGATCAAATGCCCTCAAATTCCAATCCCAGAAGTGCACCCCAGGCCCCTATGGGGACATGCTGGCTAGTTCCTGCAAAGCTCCTGAGTGGGATTCCTGCTGCATCGTAGGAGTGAGGCTTCTGTAGCATCTTTCAGCATAGGAAGTGGGAACGATTACTAGAGAAGGGTGAGCCTCCTCTGCATGCCCAGGGGGTCCTGGAGGAGGGCACCCATCAGATAACTCTGTTCTAGTTTGCAGAATCTGAGGTTCCCCCACCAGGGCCCTGACTTTCCTATAAAAGGCCTGTGTTGGCTGAGTATCAAACGTCTCTGGAGCACTGTGCCCACCATAATGATGTTCAGCTACCATTCCATGCTATCTGCTCTTTTGATCCAGGAGATAAAGGCCTCTCCATGAGACACTGCAGAGACTCTCACACATAGCCAGTGACAGCTGTTAACAACCTGCAGATTCTCATTATCCTTTTATAGAGCATCAACACAGCTGGGAAGTAACCAGCCAACTCCACTGTCTTTGTGGGTTTACCCCCAACTCCATCATTATTGTGCAGGGCATTCTATCACCACATCTGCCATAGCTTCCCCTAACCAGAGCATCTTCTCAGGTTAGCACTGGTGAGACCCACGGCAGCTCAGATGCAACTTCTCTATGGACTTTCTTTGTCCCCCGCTAACCTAGATGGCATCCTCTTGGCCTGACAGGCAGTGGGAAAGCTTATTTCAAATTTCCAGTTTTGGTCATTTTCATGGATCACCCTTGATACCACTTGTGATAGCTGCGGTCCTGAACTTAGACCCCAATACAGTATTAAATGTGTAAGGATTTATTAGGGGAAATAGTTGTGAGAGAAAATCAGGATAGAGACAGAAATGCTGGAAAAGCCATCAGATCACAATGCAACTCTGAGTCCCAGTGAAGGAGAGAGGGCAGGAAGGTCAGCTGGAAGCATCCTAGACCCTGTGTAGGCTAAAGGAAGCTCAGTAGGGATGGCAGGGAGTCCTGGAGCCTCAGCCAGCCTTCAGAGTAGGAATATTCTTGCCTTAGTTTTCCTGCTTTGGTCAATCATTGGTTGGAAAAAGCTGGGGCAGGTGTGGTCTCAGATCAAATGTGACAATAGATTTCAGGCTGCGACAGCTGGGACATCATCAATTATTCTTCCTCTACCCGAGGGCCTGGGATGTGCATCCTCATGAGTGCCACAATGATCCACTGGAATAAAAGGAAAAGGGATGACAATAGAGGGAAAAAAAAGGTATTAATTGATGAACTAACACTTTAAGTAGATGAGAAGGGATGATGTTCAGGGCACCAGCAGAGGAACTGGCTCTGGCTGGGAGCAGGATGGTTAACACACAGCAATCCCCCATGTAGTAAAATGCCTGACATGTGGTGCAGCTGCAAATGCATGAGCAGACGGTGGTGGAATCTGTGAAGTTGTCTTCTAAATGTGTTCAGTTTTCTCAGTGAAGTAGGAAGCAAGATCATCAGCGGAAGTAAGAATGGGGAAGGAAGATTGGATGTGTGAGGACAGAGAGAAGGTATGTAAGAGTCACCCAGGCCAGGAGGAGGCTGAGAGTGAGCCATGCAGGGAGAGGGTGATTGCTGGCTATGGTGGGGGCTCCCCATGAGGTTTGGGTCGTGAATGTAGAGAGAACAGTCAGCATGCTGTGTGCTGCTCTCCAGCCTCCTGCAGCTTATGGGGGCAGGTGCAGTGTAGGCTGAGGTGGAATCCACTAGCTGTGTAGTTTTGCCAGGCAAGTGTGACAACGAAAGGGAGAGGCAAGGGAGGGATGGAAATTATTTACTACAGAATCCAAAATGGATGAGGAGGGAGGAGAGGACAACAAACACTAAGGGAGAAGGAATAGATAGCAGCATCACTGGATTGGGAATTTCAAGGGGGTGGAAAAATTATTGGAATAGATGTACTACAGAATGGACTCCATGCCTGGAAAGCAGGCACACATGCAATGAGTGGTTCACTGATGTTACATTATAGCATATGATCAAATTATAGCATCAGTGTCTTCAGAGCCTGTGGCTACCCTGCAAGGGGATGAGTGGAAAGATGGTCAGAGAGTGGGAAGTGTGAGATTGAGAGTGTGGAAGGGCTGGGGTTCTTTGCCATGATGAGGCCTAGGGGAGGACAAGGTCCTGAGATTCCGGCAGAGAGAGGAGATGGTAATGAAGAAAAGGAGTTCCAGGATCTGAGAGGCCAGGGAGTGAGGGCATCTTCTCTGCTGTATAGGTGTCTATTGCTGCCATAAAAATTACCACAAACCAAGCAGCTTTAAACAGCACCTAATTATCATGTCACAGTTGTGTGGGTTGCAAGTCCACCCAGTCTCACGGGGCTAAGATCAAGGTATGGGCAGGTCTGTGCTCCTTCCTGGAGAATCTGGGGAAGAGTCCACATCCAAGCTTATTCAGGTTCTTGTCTGAATTCACTTCCTGCAGATAGAACTGAGCTTCCCACTTCCTTTTTGGGAGCACCCTTAGATCCTAGAGACTTCTCTCTGGTGCCTAAAGCACATCCAATCCTCCTGCTTGGAACCACTGATCTCCCCTTTGCTGTGTCTCCTCTGCCTTCCTTCTCTGCAGCATGTGACTCCATCTAGAGCAGATTCTCTCCTTTTAATGGCTCATGTGATTTGATCGGGCCCACACAGAGAGTCCAGGATGATCTCCCTACTTTAAGGTCCTTTATCTTCATTACATGAGTAATGTCCCTTTTGCCATGCAATGCAACCTGTTCACCGACTCCAAGGACTAAGACTGGATCTCTCTGGGGACTAGTACTCAGCCCAGCACATCTGCATATGTTGAAGTCAGAAAGAATCAAGGAGACAGCACTGCTGGAGAGGGTGACAGTGATCTAGGAGCTACAAGAGTTAGGATTGACAGGAATGGCTTGGGGCCCACAGGGAATGGCTACAATGAGGGGAGCGGCGCCTTAGTCTGATGACAGCTTAGGGGTTTTAGGGAGGAGGGAGGCAGAAAGGTCTGAGAACCACAGTGAAGAGCAAGGACCCCACCTCACCTCTGAACCCAGGGGTATAAGTTGCTGGGAAACTCCCCCATGTAGGGGAACTTCAGAGCAGGTCACATCCTCAGGAAGACCTGGTTCCTGCTAGAGCTTCGAGGTGAGGGAGCATCCTGAGAGAGAATGAGGAGGTTTTGCTGATCATGGACTGAGGATTCCAGGGAGTACAGAGGGAAGATTTCTGGAGTTAGGTAGGGGACATGGTGGGGGGACAGAATAGAGCGTGCGGAGCCTTGTGGGGATGCAAGTGCTGGGTATATGGGGGACCCAGTGTGACTGACACAAACAGGGAAAGGGCATGAGGAGCTCAGTCCTGGTGGACTCGAGGCAGACGATGGTGCTGAGGCTGTGGGAGATGAGGGAGGAGGAGCAGGGGTGGCTGTCACCTGGGCTCTCTCCATGGAGGTGAAGACAGTGAGGTGGTTGGGTCTTAGTGCTGTGTGGACCTTCTGATGACTGGATGGAGTGTCTGAGGGAGGAGGGGTCTTAGAGGATTCACTCGTGACCCTGAGGGAGGGTATGTTCTCACTTCAGGTCTCAGGTGTGCCCTGACACCTTTCTTTGTGGCTTAGGGCTCCCTACTGTAAATTATTGGGGATTAGTACCTTTTGGAATTTGTAACTTAAAGCAGAAACTCAGATGGTCGAAATGTCATTTTCATGAAGGTTTGTTATTAGCGTATCATTTAGATTGTCTTGCAAAAGTCTCATTTTTTGTTGTTTTTCTAAAGGGCTGTCGATCTTGTTTTAAATTTACAAATATTGATAATTTATCTCCACTGTTAATTGGTTGGGGGTTGTTTAATTTTGTACTGCATAGTTTTACATATCTATAACAACAGTGGTTTGGGCCTCTTATGTTCTAATAATTAAGACTTTAAGCTGTGTACACATTGCAATTCAAGTATGAGTCATGCATAACCCTGGCACTAAGAGACAAGAGGGAAAGTCCTTCTCTCCTAAAATTTTGCAAAGGTTCTGGGTTCTTTTTCCACTGAGTGGGAACAAGTCAGCTAGTGAGGAACATGAGGTCTTTGGCCTCATCGAAAGGTGATTCATCTCCCAACTGTGAGAAGCACTGACCACTAGGAAGACCTCCCTGCCTGGTCCCTGGACCCCTACACCATGGTAGAGGCTATCTTCCCTCCCACTGCAAAGTGGTATCCCAGATAGCAAGCTGGTTAGCTGCTGCCAGCTCTTGGGTAGTTTTGTCTTCTAAGGCATGGGTTTTTATCTGAAAATCTTCCCCTTCCCAGATGACCCAAACTGGGGCCACCCACTCTTTTCTGAGCCACCTCTGCCCAGAGACCTGTGGCTATGCCCTCCAGTCACAACAGAACACCCTTTCAGAACACCCTGCAGGAAGCTGAGATCTCTACAGACTCACATGAATGGTGTGTGCACAGAGCTTTGGTTCTAGTTCAGGAGGTGTGGAGTGAGGCTCGCTAGTCCAACAGAGCTTGAGGCTAGTACTAGTGTCATATGCCAGGAGGCAAGGTTACAGGGAATACAAAGTGTCCAGACCTACCAGAGAAGGCAAACCCCTGTAACAGGCAGGGCTAGACAGGGACAAGAAACAAGGTCATTCTGGGCCAGCAAGAAGAGGGAAAGGGAAATTACAGACATATCTCAGAGAGATTGCAGATTTGGTTTCAGATCATGCAAACAAAACAAGTCACACAATTTTTTTGTTTTTGTAGTGTACATAAAAGTTATATTTATACTTTAGCCTATTAAGTATACAATAGCATTATGTATAAAATAGATATGTACATACCTTAATTAAAAATTACACTACTGCTAAAAAATGCTAACAGTCATCTGAGGCTTCAGCTAATACTAATGTTTTTGCTGGAGTAGGGTCTTGCCTCAATGTTGATGACTGCTGACTGATCACAAGGTGGCTGCTGAAGGCTGCTGTGGCAACTTCTTAAGACAATAAAGTTTGTGGCATGGATTATAAAGTGGGAATTAGTACATAAGTAAGGTCAATATGAGTTTTCAAGTCAAGTGGACCTGAATATGAACCCTTCAGGCCTTTCCACCAGCTAGCTATAGAACCCTGGGCACATCTGGCCCACAATTGGCCCTGACAGACACTTTCACAGTGAATGAGTGCTGAATGAAACCATATGAGTCAGTTTCCTCATCTGCAAACCAGTGATGTAATTCCTGCCTTGCCAATTCAGAAGAATACATGAGAAGAAACATAGTGCCAAGAAAAACAGACACAAGACCTGTGGAAGGCTGGGCACCAGTGCTCTAAAGCAAGATCTGCCTAAACTGGCAGGAACATTTTTCACAGCAGACAGGAGTTGGTCTGGATTCTGTCTGGGGCCAGGCTGAGAGGGAGGTGGGGGCAGCAGAACGGGACAGGGGCAGGGGCCTATGCAGGGCCAGGCACTGAAGCAAAGCCCAGGCCTGGAAGGGCGGGCTCCTGATGTCTGCTAGGAAACTCAGACAGCTCCCTGCCTCACCCGCCATGGTTTTTCCTCTTCCAGGATCTCTCAGAGCTGTTGCCTTCACTTTTCCTGCCTTGGAAAGTGGAGATGATAACGAAAAGCTGTTGCCAAATTAAAGGAGGCTATTGCCTCCTCTCCCCTCCTGGTCCCTAGCACTCCAGGACTCACAAAGATGCTGCTCTGAAAACCCCAAGGCAAGCGTGGAAGAGTAGAACAGCTCCAGGGGCAGTGGGAAGATGAGGGCACCCCCGCATGTTGACAGACACCAAGGGTGGGGGTGGAGGAGATGAAGGGGATCAGCACAGGAGTCTGGGGGAAATCCTCTAAATCCCACCCTGCACCAACCTCACCCCTGCAGCTCCTTGTGTAGTTACAGCTCTCAGCTCTCAGCTCCTTCCCAACCACACCCCAGCCCAGACCTCAGGGCTCCTCCCTCTCCCTACCCCCTCCAGAGCAGCACAGTCCACAGAGCCCTTGAAAAGGAATTCCCCCTCATCTAACAGTTAATTATTTCTTAGTGGGGAGGGACAGCCGGTCCTCTCTTTCCAGTGACCCCATATCTTTGTTCAAGGCATCCAGTTATACTCCCTGAGCCAGGGATCTCTAGGCCAGCTGGGACCTAACAGCTTCTCCAGTTGCTCAGGGGCCAGCACTTATGCAACCTGGCATCTGTGCCTGGCACTTCCTTCAGATGTCTGGCTGTCCTCGGAGGGCTGGAGTCCAAGGAGTTGGGGCAAGTAGGTGGTAACCAGGCAAAGTTTGAGTTGCAAGAAGACAGGGATATCGGCCATCCTGGTCATTGTAGTCTTATCAGGTCCTTGTCCCTTGTGGAGGCAGAATTCACCACATGTTAGTTTTTCCTGCTGTAATGAACATGAACTTGGGGTTGGTGCACTGATACAATAAGGTTTGCTCTGCTGCAGTAGTGTTGCCTCCGTGTAAGAGAAACAAAGGCTTCAATATAACATTTGCCTGTGTATCTCACAGCCTAAGGGCTAACAGAGCATCTGTGGGAACACAGTGGCCCACACCCTAGTCAGGACCCCACAAGGACTGAACCAAATGTAGGGTCATTAGCTTTTCCTGGCCTCAAATAGGAGTCTCACCCTGCCTTAGCCATGACTCCCATGCCATGTACATGTGGTAGGGGCCTGTGTGCCCAGCAAGGACACAGTTCAGAGAGCTTTCTTCATTACCTAGGGTGAGTGGCTGGAAAAAAAAAAAAGTTGCCCACGCCCATGAGGCCCTGGAGGGAAGCATAGAACCTACTACTAAATTCTTCTGGGATGACCCATTTCAGGCATGGTTTCCTCTGTATCAAAGTTGCTCTCTCACTGATCTACTGACAGCTAGCTCTTAACAAAAGAGTGTGTGGAGCAGTAAAACTCATGTCGGCCTGAGAGGGCCCCAGACATGTAATGATGTCTGGTGGCTTTGGCTGGGGCCACCCCATGGCTGTCCTCCTTCTTGGGTGTTCCCCGCTCCCATCTCACTGGAGCCATGGTGGGTTCACCTGTCCTCTCTTCTCACTCCCATTCTTCAGGGTGGGATGCAGTGGTGTGCTCCTCTCTCCCCAACAGAGCACTGGTGTCCCTTTTGGAGTCTAGTTTCTCTTTTCACCCCCAAGCCTGCTGGGGAGGTCTCAATTCCAGGAAGTTGGCTGCTGGGCATCCACTATGGGCTCCAGCCCTGGACCACAGGCGCTGTCATATTTTGGGTGGAAAGGAATTTGTTTCTTTTCTGCAAAGTAAAGGAAAATGGAATGAGGGCAATTAGGTTGATCTCATGATGTCCATGGGTCCATGGGAACTTGAAAGACTCATCCCCTTCCCCCTGCTTTAAGAAGATAAATGGAGAAAAGGAGCTCCCATTAAGGGAAAACATTGACTCTATTCCTATTGACTCTATCCTTGAAATGGAATTTGGATTCAACTTCAAAACTGAATTCATTTTTAGGGATAGAGTCAAATTCAAATATTGACTCTATCCCTGAAATTAAATCACAAGCAAATAAGAAATTTATGAGATCCAAACTAAGCCATTTAAGTAAACTATTCCAGAATTTAAAGCTCAGCAATGACAAGATATCAGGAAACAGTGACAATTCTCCCACTCCACAGGTGAGTCCAGTGAGACTGGTCAGGGCTTGCTGCCTGCTCCTTGGTGCTGTCCTGGTACTTTGGAAGCATCTATGATTCTGTGAACCTCACCCACAGCTGCCCAGCAACTTCCTTTTGCTTATATGAGCCAGACTCTGCTTTTATGGCTTATACTCAAATAATTTAAGGTATTTATTTATGAGTTATACGTCCCATGTGGAGATAGGGAAGGAGAGTTAGGTACTCTTCAATGTTACTACCTGCTAAGCATATATACATGATTTTTTTTTTTTTTTTTTTTTGAGACGGAGTCTCACTCTGTCACTCAGGCTGGAGTGCAGTGGCATGATTTTGGCTCACTGCAGCCTCTGCCTACTGGGTTGAAGCAATTCTCTTACCTCAGCCTCTCAAGTAGCTGAGGTTACAGGCGCCCACCATCATGCCCAGCTAATTTTTGCATTTTTAGTGGAGACAGGGTTTCACCACTTTGGCCAGGCTAGTCTCGAACTCCCGACCTCAGGTGATCCACCCGCCTCGGCCTCCCAAAGTACTGGGATTACAGGCGTGAGTCATCATGCCTGGCCGAAACGTTGCTTTTTAAAGGTATAATTTTGGATTAGAGCAAATGCTAGTGTATTTAAGTAAATTCCATGAAGAATGTGAACACTGTAAGCAAGTGCATTATTCTCAGCTTCCATCTCCTCACAGAGCCATCATCCACTCTCTTCCATCCTGCCCCCTACACTGGGAGGCAACTATGACAGACAGACGACATGGCCTGTGCTCCTTCACCATCTGGCTTGTGCTTGGGTGTGGATGATAACAGGCACCTGCAGGAGATGGGAGTGTGGGAGGAGGAGTAACTCAGGGTTTTCATTTCCCTCACTTACTCTGGGCAGCTCTGTGATTCTGTAATCACTTCAGGCCTCTATCTACAGCCATAGGCATGGCGGGCTGCCCCTAGTGAAAGCTACAGATTTGCCTGAGTTCTAGAAACTGCTCCCTTCCTTGCTCTTTCAAGCTCAGAAATGCAAACCATTTCCTGCTACAGATCATCCCAGGGAGCTTCAGTGCCCCTTGTGACTTTCTTAGCCCTGCCAGAACCTCTTTAAAACGTGTCTTCCTTCTGTGCCATATCTTTCCTGCCAGGACCCAGACCACAGGGTGCTCCCACAGAAAAAGGGACAAGAATTTATTTATGACATGGCAATAACATATCTATTCACAATGCGAATTCAATTTGTTTTGGAAGAGACTGGGTCTTGTTATGTTGCCGAGGTTGGTCTTTAACTACTGGCCTCAAGCAATCCCTTTGCCTTAGCCTTCCCAAAGTGCTAAGATTACAGGCGTGAGTGAGTGTGCCCAGGCCTTAATTCAGAAATTTGACTTACTACAATAAAAGGGAAACAATAGAAGCATTCTGGAAATGGAACAGGAAAGAAGGCAGAGGTGGGAACGATCAATCTGTGTCATCTGAGAAGCCCCATGTGCAGAGGCTGTCCTGGGTCTTTAGGGGACGACAACAACAAAGCACACAGGATCCTGGTGTCAGGGACAGAGCATGGCCACTGTGGGACATAGCGGCTCTCCTACAAAATAATGCTCATATACATCCCTTATGAGGAGGATCAGATCAACATATAAAAATATGCCAGATAAAGTGGAGGCGAGGGCAGGATGGAGAGCTGCCAGTATCTGCCCTTGACCTCCATGGACTTGAAGAAAGGCTCAGCCTGGAGTTGTGTGAGGCCTCCGACCTGGAGCAGCACCCACCCCTAAAGACCAGGCACCAATCACAATGCAAGGAGAGATCCAGACAAATAAACAGGAAATGACCACAGCAGGAGCTTTGTTGAGCACAGAGCGAGGCCACACACCACTCAGCACCTGGCCCTCCACCCGCCCTTCTCTCCCCACCTGCCCCTGCCCCAGCACAGCAGATCCTCAGAATCCAAAAAGAGAACCTAACCTCCATGTTTTATTAATGGCTGATAATATTTTACCACAGCTTCAAAGAAATGATATGAGAACAATAACTAATAGAGTAAGAAGTCTATTCAGGGTGAGTGAGTGACAAGGGAAATCTAGGAGGGAGATATTGTAACCCTTTCATTCCCAGAAAAGAAATGATGGTCCAGGGAGATACACCAGGCCTGGATATTGAGATTACGTGGAAGGGGTTCTGGGGCATCAGAGGAGTGGGCCTCACTCCCACCATCCTCCCCTTGCTATGCTTGGGAGGAGATAGAGCTCATCAGCTGCACAGCTGGGGAAAGAGAAGTCAGGGTCTTCCAAGAGACAAGGGGAGCTGTGAACAATCTGTGTCTTGCTGGTCTGCACAAGGCAGCTCTCAAACAGTGGAGAACATGCTAATGAGCAGATTCAGCTCAGCCACTCTCAGCCTTGACACCCTGAGCATTACAGACAGCCCGTGACCAACCCCTACTTTCAAATCCAAAGATCCCCTACAGCTTGAAGCTTCTCCCCGGCCTCAACTCCTGTTGGTGTTGGGCCCCAAGGGTCATATTTCAGGAAGCTGTGAGCACCACATCAGCATCAGGGACCCGGTCACCACCTGGAGAATGATAATAAAAAGACCCAGCAGAGCCTGCAGGAGACTGTATTTGAGGCAGGACCATGGGATAAGTGAGGAATGAGACGGTGGCTCCATCCTGTCTATTTCAGGAGTTAGAGATGAGCTGCCCCTACCGCCCCTTCCATGCTGCTTTTTATTGAGTAGACCCCTCCTGAAGTTCTTTTGAGGAGAGAAGACCCTGTTAGGTGCCATGGTAGAGAGGGGCCCTGTGAGTCTTAAATAACTGGTTAATATAGCTACTTAGCTGAAATTAGGAAGGTAAACCCAGGATTCAGGAGAGGAGAAAGAGACAGCATGGGATCCTGCAGTCACCCTCCTGTACATCTGTTTGCAGGGAGGGTCTTTCCTGCAGGGTTGGGAGCACCCAGTATTGAGGTCCTCTGAGTATGGCTACCCTGTTGTTCTCATCTGTGAATGGGGCCAGGCCTGTTTCTTCCCCCAGTATAAACAGCCAGGGGAATCCATCCACAAAACACCTGCTAGCTTCACATTAATCCTGTATTAGTTTGATTTAATATTTCATATCTTATAAGAAATGAAATGGAAGGATGATCTCTTTGGTAAAGGTAATTCAGATTCCTGGGGCCCTGGATACCTTATCTCACTGTTTAAAATCCTCATGGAGGATCAGGAGAGTACAGAGCCCAGAAACAGTCACGAGACCTGAAGCTCCCTGGTGTAAAGGACCCTCCCCCGCACCCTGGGGCTTAGAGTGAACAGCCTCTACTGTCAGCCTGATTGTTCTCAGTCTTCCTGGCTGCCAAGCTTCTGGTTCCCAGCAGCCTCCTCTCTCACCCTTCACCTCTTCTGACTGGGGTCATTGGCCACTTGACAGGCAGTGCCCTCCTTGTCAGTCAGCCTGTCTACCTGGTTTCCTCTCAGGGTGTGTGGCTTGACTGGGTTAACCATCCCCAGCCCCAGCAGAAACAGGGAGAAGTGACTCAGCAAATCCCCCAAGAGCAGTGGGATCCCTACATGTGAGATGGGGCAAAGCCATCATTCTAGTCCCTCCCATACCTGAGAACTTCTTGCACATCACAAGTCCAAGGACCATAGCAGGAAGTAGCTCTAAGCCAGAGACAAGAACAGAGCAGTGACAAGAGGCTGGTATGAATGGAGACCAGCAAGCTCTATTGAGAGTAGTGGGATGAGGCCACAGATGCCCTGTGTTGAGGGGCTAGTAGGAAATGGTGGGAGACTGGGATTTCATTGCACTAAGAAAGGAAGAGGATGGAGTGTCTGTGGGATGTGATGGTGAGGATGTGCCGTAATTCCCATTTGAAAGGCTCGCTCTGCCTGTTGCATGGGTGATGGACAGCAGGTGTGAGAAGCAGCAGGCAGCCCAGCTGGAAGGCCCATCTGATTTACTATCCTAGAGAGGATTGGCTCTGGGGTAAAGTAGTAGAGGAGTGAGAAGTGATTGGATTTGGGGTCAAATATTTAAGATGGTGTTAGCAATAAGTCAATGGAGAATCACACATTTATTTACTTAACTTATTTCTACAGTTCATTCCCAGGAGTTTACAGCAACAAACCCATGGTAATAAATATACATGAATTATTTTAAAAACAACACCAAGGAAAATATAAACTTTAGAATGTTAAGGCTGGGGTAAAGCTAGCACATTGCTAGGCACGAAGGAGCATCTGAAACATTTGCTGAAATGGTTTACTGTTTACCTATCCATGGATTTGTTGGCTCACAATTTTATTGCATCAGAGCACCATGGAGAGGGGTGACAGTGCAGGTCACCAACCCTTAGTTTTCTGCTTCAGGAACAGTTCCTTGTTCTACACTTAGAGTCAAAGCAAATTATGTAACTGTAAGATGTTCAAAGATGAAGTCAACGAATGCAAAGTCAGTAACTAAGTATAAAAACCTCCCCCAAGGAGAGTCTACATTTCTTCCCCAGAAATGGCCTCACTGTGCACTGCTGAAGGGAGAGGGTCTTTTCAAAGAGCCCAAGAAGCAGGGGCTACTGGGCTGCAGCTCTAAATAGAGATGCCATTCTTTCTACCTGCAGGTCCTGCCAAGCCTAACAGCAGACTTCAGTGATCCCACCTGAACCAGGAATTCGGGATTTTTGATGCTGGTTCTATTTGAGCCATTGTGTAAGCTTAAAAATGTGACATGGAGATTTTGCTGTAATTGTTTCTTTGCTGGAATTTGACATCCACGGTGCCTCTGGCTTCCTGTCTGGTCCCAGGAGGGAATGGATTGTCCAGCACTTTTTTTCAGCATCTCTTTGTGGGGGGGGGGATCAGGAGATTTGGAGTCAGGGGCCCCTCCAATCTCACCCTCTTCTCTAATGCAGAGTCCCTTAAGCTTTCTGGGGTGGGGGCGTTGGCACTCTGCGGATCTCATGAATAAAATTGTTCCAGCTCCTGAAATAAAGGCACAGGTGCACATAAATACGCTGACTCTTGCATGCAGTGCCAAGGTGAGGAAGTTTCCTATGATAGATGCCGAGTTTAGCACTTTGACTCTCCATTAACATTTACACAGACACACACACAAGCGCGCGCGCGCACACACACACACACACACACACACACAGCCAAAGCCAGCGATGCGGGAGGGGCTGACCTCAGGGGCGGGGTCACAGGCATCCCTCAGGTCCTTCTCAGTGGACTTTGTCTCTTTTTCCTGGAGGTGGAGGAGTCTGTACTTCATGAGAAGTCCTCTGAAGAAAGCAGGAGATACTTAGGAGCGGGGAAGTGGAGACAAAGGGGAGGGGGCGAGGCAAGGGGGGAGCACGCAAGAAATGGGGAGGGGGAGGACCTTATAGTGGTCAGAAAAGTCACACGCAGAATTTGGCTCTTGGTTTTTGTGTTTCATTAGGATGGATTTAGAAAACCAGACGGAGTGCGAGATAAGGAGTCTACCTTGCAAAAGACACGTCTTAGTGTCCTCCTAGTTTGAACTCATCAGTAGTAGCTGGGAGAAGGGAGCCGGGACGCCTGTGTGGGGCACGCCCTCTCTAGTTGTTCCCATTCTCTGCACCCCACCGGCTGGTGCCCTTCAACCCCAACAGGAAGGAAAGGAAGGAGGGGTCGGAAGGCTTTGGGTCTTCCCTCGCGCGCCTTCTTCCTCTGCCATTTATTCCGAGTGTCCTTGCCTTCCCTCCGCTACCTGATCCCCACCTTAACAAAGCACACTCTGCGCTGTTGGGCCAGGATTCCTCCTTTGGCCTCTGACTCACTGGTACAATTTCGCTGCGTCCTGTCCTTACCGCAATTGCTACTGGGTAGAGCCGGAGAGAGCATCGCCCAGACCCGCTAGATTCATGCAGCGCCACTGCCCGCACATTCTTGACACTTCTTTAGATCCAAAGTCAGAGCCTGAGTTTTCAGACTAGTTCCGAAAGCCTTTAACCATTGGAAAGGGGAAATCAATACTCTAGGAACAAAATTTGCTTCGACTTTGTCTCAACCCAAAGACACCATGACGGCGCAGTTTTCAAAGTTGCTTTGAGTATAAATGGAACAGGGTCTCCTGTGTCAGACTCGATTTAGCGTTTCCCTCTTTATTATAGCCCTTCTGTAAATTTTATTACATGTATCTCTACTCCACTAAAAACATTTCTGTCAAAGACACTAAGAAAGAGTCAATGCCATGAAAATATGAAGGATACTCTTAAAAGAGAGTTTCTGGTGTTGAGTTTTAATTAACACTTTGGTATTTAAAAATCTCTAACTATTTGGGTTTGGGGCTTAGCTTCATAATGTTTCAAACTGAGATATACTCTTCCTTAACCTCCATACAAATTCAGGTTTATTTTTAATTTTAATTGCATTTATTTTTCTTTTTTTGAAACAATGTCTCCATTCGTCACCCAGGCTGGAGTGCAGTAACACAATCATAGCTCAATGCAGCCTCGAACTCCTGGTCTCAAGCAATTCTGCCTCACCTTCCAGAGCTGAAATTACAGGTACAAGCCACCGGGCCAAGCCAAATCCAAGTTAATACTGTAATATAAAATTCCAACATTTCAGAGAAAGTGAAAATCACCAAGTTATTGTAGTCCCTGGAGTCACTGTCAAGACTTTGGTGAGGGCTCAGTGGCTCACGCCTGTAATCCCAGCACTCTGGGAGGCTGAGGCGGGTGGATCACCTGAGGTCAGGAGTTCGAGACCAGCCTGTCCAACATGGCGAAACCCCATCTCTACTAAAAACACAAAAAATTAGATGGGTGTGGTGGCGAGTGACTGTAATTCCAGCTACTAGGGAGGCTGAGGCAGGAGAATCACTTGAACCCTGGAGGTGGAGGTTGCAGTGAGCCAAGATCGCACCACTGCACTCCAGCCTGGGCGACAAGAGCGAAACTCCGTCTCAGAAAAAAAAAAAAAAAAAAAAAAAAGGCCAGGCGTGGTGGCTCACGACTGTAATCCCAGCACTTTGGGAGGCCGAGGCGGGCAGATCACGAGGTCAGGAGATCGAGACTATCCTGGCCAACACGGTGAAACCCCGTCTCTACCAAAAAAAAAATACAAAAAAATACAAAAAATTAGTGTGGTGGCGGGCGTCTGTAGTCCCAGCTACTCGGGAGGCTGAGGCAGGAGGATGGCGTGAACCCAGGAGAATGGCGTGAACCCAGGAGGCGGAGCTTGCAGTGAGCCGAGATCACGCCACTGCACTCCAGCCTGGGCGACAGAGCTAGACTCTGTCTCAAAAAAAAAAAAAAAAAAAAAACTTTGGTGAGAAATCTTCCAGGTTTTTCCCTACTTAAAATATACATTATGGAAGTGGTATTACTGGCATTATAATTCAGTATATCCTCATCTTTTAAAAAATGGTTAAAAGTATGAGACGCACACATCTTCTCATAACAATACTTAAAACTGATCTTACCTCTTTTATTGACCCTATAAAATTGTATTGCATAGCAGTTCTTTGGAGGACGATGGAAATGTTCTACATCTTCATTGTGGTAGTGGAGATGTGGGTGTGTACAACAGCCAAAACACAACGAGCTATGCATTTCAAATAGATACAGTTTAGATACATTTGATTGTATGCAAAGCAAGTCCCAATAAAATGGCTTTTAAAATATATCTTCTTTGAGATTTGTACTTTGCTTATGTAAAACAAAACAAAACAAAAACCTTGTTTTTGTGCCCAAGAGACACACCCTGACACATCGGCAGGTAGAGGCTTACGTGTGTATATATATTACTGTATATTTACAGATTCAGAGAGACAGAGATAAAGCTATGTTAAGAATATTCATACATACCAAAACTAGATAAAAACCAAAAATAAAAGTTAGAAATAATAAAACTCTATATTTTAAATGTTATTCTCTTCTTCACCTTTTTTCTCCTCTTTCCTTCCTCTCTCTTCCCTTTTTTCTTCAACACGCTCCCCCCACCCCCACCCCCCAGCCATCCTTCCCTACTTTCTCCCTTCTCTGCACTTGATCCCCGGTGTATTCCAGCCTCGAGGCCAACACACGTCACCGCGTCCGCCTGGGGCAGGTCGGGGAAGGGACGCGAGGCGGCGCTGTCACCGCATTCTGAGGGCCGCAGCGCCCTGCGCCCCTGCTGGTCTTGTATCATTTCAGTCAACGTCGCTCCAGTCTTTGATGGGGCCACACTCGGGATGTAAATTTAGGATCCTCACTGAAGGGGCGGGACCCTGAGAGGCTTTCTCCTGGCCCCTTAGTTGTGAGTTTTCCTGCAGGCGGAGGAGCCAGTTTCCGTCAGAACCGCCCAGAGGCAGGCGCTGCCTTCCTGGGGTGGCGGAGCAGCTGGAAGCGTTTTCGGATCCTGGAATCCGTGGGCGGCCCGTGGGAGGGGCTGAGGCGCATTTCCCTACTCACCCGGATCCGAATCCACCGCGGTGCTGTTTCAAGCGAGTCAGATTCCACATCGCGCTCCACCCCGGACTCGGAATTCCTGCCCCACAGGTCTGCATTTTCACAGCGGCAGCTGTGAGTGCCCCGCGGCTGGAGACCAGAAGCCTGAAGGCAACTCCGTCCTCCCCAGCCCACAGCGCCGTTATTCCGTTTCTATATCAGCAAACACTTGTAGACCAGGGCGGGGTGACGGGTGATCTCAGTCCTCGCAGTGAACTCCGGGCCGCAGGCTTGAAAACGCGCGCGGGCGCCCAGCCCAACCGCGCCCTGGGTTCTGTAAGCGACCGCACTGGGTCCTTTCTCTTTCTTTTCCGGACCCAGCAGTGGCGCCTAAAGTCTGCGAGGAGGAAGTCGCCTCTGTGCCCCGGAGTTCAGAGGTCTAAGGCGAGTCCTGAGGAAGAAAACGTAGTTGATGGGGCAGAGCAGAAGGGGCTGGAGGTGGGGTGGAGGGAGAGGGCATTGGACAGAAGGCCTGGGAGACTTGGTGGGGGACGGGCAGCCAGGCCTGGACCCTGGGGAGTGCCTCACCCCGAGCGGAAGACCATCTGGGCTTCCCCTAGCCCAGAAAGGGTGGATTGGCTTCACCTCTGCTGGCCATCACCTCTACATGCCTTGGAACTAACCTTGTATATTATTATTATTGTCGTTATTTAAGTATTAAAAGTATTTTTTGGGGTGAGCTGAATGAGACCCTTTGCTAGAGCTGGCACAGGGAGGAAGGTCGTCCTGGAGGGAGGGTAGACACTGTGGAGGGAAGGGAGACCTCTGTCAGGAGAGCTGAGACCACCTCTCTGCCCCTCACTACTCTTGTAATCTTTAGGAGTGTAAATAATCCCCCTAAGGTGGGGACAGGACCCCAGTCCCTGCTGTGCGCAATAGATTATGATGATCAAAATAAATAATCAGTGAATGTGGATGGGAAATCTAAGTAATTGTTAAAACCCTGTGATGCTTAAATTTTCACTCACAGAAATGTGTAGGCTAGGAGTTTTAAGAGGAATGGTTAGTAATTATAGGTATAGTTCAGTTTTAAAAAATGTTTGTAAGAGTGACAAAGATAGAATGAACACAGTTCCAGATCATGGACTGTTCATCGTGTAGTGGGGGATGGTACAAGATGGTAGATGACAGCTGGGCATGGTGACACTCACCTACAGTCTCAGGTACTCAGGAGGCTGAAGTGGCTGGATTGCTTGGGCCCAGGCATCTGAAGCTGCAGTGAGCTGTGATCACACTGATGCCCTCCAACTGGCGGCAGAGTGAGATCTCCCCCTCTTAAAAATAAATAAATAAATAAATAGTAGATGGAGTTCAAGAATGCAGGCAAAGTTGGTACCCATCAGGGAGGTTCAAACCATGGGCTAGAACAGTGGTTCTAAAACTTGCCTACACATTGGAAGCACGTAGAGAGCTTTAAAAGATATTGAAGCTTAGGTCCAACCTAGCCTTACTGATTCAATTGGTTTTGGCTGTGACCTGGGACCGTGGATATTAAAAACTCTCCAGGTGGTTCTGTGAAGTGGCTAGGTTTGAGGACCACTGGCTAGATGTTCCAAAGAGTAAGAGACGTGTGTGTTGGGGACGAGATGATTCTTTCAGTAGAAAGAGGCTTTTGCATGGTGTTTTATTATCGAGATATAATTTATGTGCCACGTAATTTACCATTTAAAAATGTACAGTCCAGGGCCCACTCAGAACCATCCCAGCAACCTGACCACAGCTGGTCTTTGCTGGACACCATGAACCACACTGCCCAAACCTTCTTCATTCCTGCCAACAGTGGCTGCCCTCCCCCGCCCCCCAACCCCAGCTATGAGATGCTCAAGGAGGAGCATGAGGTGGCTGTGCTGGGGGCGCCCCACAACCCTGCTCCCCCAATGTCCACCATGATCCATATCTGCAGCGAGACCTCCCGTGTCTGACTATGTTGTCTGGTCCCTGTCCAACATCCTCTTCATGAACCCCCACTGCCTGGGATTCATAGCATTCACCTACTCCCTGAAGTCTAGGGACAGGAAGATGGTTGGAGACCTGACTGGGGCCCAGGCCTATGCCTCCACTGCCAAGTACCTGAACATCTGAGCCCTCATTGTGTGCATCATCATGACCATTCTGCTCACCATCATCATCCTAGTGTTGATCTTCCAAGTCTGTCGATAGATCAGGAGGCATCATCCAGGCCAGGAGCTCTGCCCATGACCTGTATTCCACATACTCCAACTTCCATTCCTCGTCCTGGCCCCAGAGCTGAGTTCTGTATCAGCCCTTTATCCTCACACACTTTTCTACAATGGCATTCAATAAAGTGCAGGTGTTCCTGGTTAAAAAAAAAAAATGTACTGGTCAGTGGCTTTTAGCATAATCACAACATCGTGCCACAGTCGCTATTATCTAATTGGGAAGATTTTCTTTTTTTAAAGGCTAGTCAAGTAAAGCAGTGGGAGCGGAGAAGGAAAAAAGAAATCTGTAATTGGTTGTGATCAATTAGTTGTAAACACCACTACACTCTGACCAGCCTAATTGGGAAGATTTAAGGATGTGACACGGTCTAATGGGCTCAGAGGCAGAAGCGACAGTAATCTGGAAGCAGGAGACTGCTTAGGCAGTGGCATCCCGGTGGGACAGGGCAAGGAGATTGGGGAGCCCACTTTTACTGCAACACTGGAAAGAGGGATGTCACCAGAGAAATGGGGGTGGTGACAGACAGGAGGTTGTGGCAGCTGTGGCTTCCATGGTAGAGACCTCACGTGTGACATTCAGCAGATGGGGTGCTGTGGGGGTCTTAGAGCACTCTGACTATAGCTGGGACAGTCACAGTGTTTAGGAAGCCTGTACAGTAATCTAGGCAGAATCCTGTGCAGTGATCTAGGCTGAAAGCCGAGACTAAAGTAGTGGCTGTGGGATCAAAATAGGGTTGGAGGAGCTTTGAGTACTTGAGAAGGAAAAGGGGGAAATCAGAAGGCACCACGGAAAGAGAAACAGGGGAGGAAGAGAGGATGATGTCATGCGAGACGTGTAGAGTGTCCTTGTAGACCTGTCACATTGGAAGCTACTATGGTCTCAGAGGTACAGATGTCCTAAAGCAGGCTGGAAAAGGGAGTCTGGGGAGAGCTTGGTGTTGGAGTGGACACTGGCAAGCTGCCTCCTTGGCCTTTTGATCACCCAGGGGCTGAATAGAGAGGCAGCCCCGGGAGACCTCACACACTTACAGGAAGTGACCATAAGAAAGGGGACCTAGCTTTGAGTAAAAGGGAGGAGAAGGAGATTGTAAAGCTGAAACGTCTAAGAGATTTGTCGTCTTAGCGGATCAGCTGGGGCAGGTGCTTCAGAAACAGAGGTAGCTGAGGTCTGGAAACAGGTCTGCAAATCTGGTCACTGGCCACATAGCCAGTAACGCTGTGCGCGGCTGAGGGGAGTGTGTTGGAAGAATAACCAGGCCTCGTCTCTTCTGTAAGTGTGTCCTGGAAAGAACAAGCGAATGACAGTCAGCTTGATGGGGTGGCTGGCGAAACGGTCTTGGTGAGGCACGCTATCCTAGGGGTGGGGGTGCGGGGATGGGGTGGTCGCAATACAGGGAGGGCGGCAGGGCCCAGGTCGTGCTCATGCGGTTGGGGCTGTACTCTCAGCTGCTCGGAGCCAGTCCCCGCATTTGGCGGCGCTTCCGCGCGCTCCCCCTTTTCTGGGCTCCAGGTCCCGCCAGCCAAGTTCTCCAGGTCTCCTGACCGCTGGAACGTTCCCTTCTGAGTGTGGCCCCGCCCTCCCAGCTCGTGATTGGCCCTAAGCTGCGGGCGCCAGTTTTCATTGGGTGAGCGGTCGCTGGGGTGGGGCCAGGTGACAGGAAATTTCTGGTGGGCCTTCGCGGCTCCGCTGGGTTGGCAGCCGCTTGAGCCACTGCGAGGAAAGCAAAGTCTGGGCCATGGAGATGAGCCTAGTCCTGCTGTTCCTGATCCGCACTGCCCTTTTTGCACCCCAGGGAGCTGCTGCTGGTAAGTGGGGTTCCTGGCGGTCCTCGGCGGAGCGGCAGCGGCGGGGCGTTTCTGGGGGTCCGGGTGGGTAGCGGCGAGCGCTGTGCGGCCGAGGCGGGGCTCAGGTGCGCTGTCGGGGGTGCGGGGAGTGGACGCGGCCCGTTCCCGCCACACCTCAACCCTGCTTCCACGTCTCTTTTCAGTCCTCCTCGGGATCGCTCATCACCCGCCCCCTGCATTTTCTGGTCTTGTCCTGCACTTTCTCTCCTCTCCTCTCCTCCGTCTCCTCTCACTTTTCGGACAAACCCGTCTTTCTGAGGCCCCTGGGTTCCTGGGCTGCTCCTGTGAATGGCATTCGAGGGCCCTTCCAGCGCGGCCGCTGAGGCAGCCACCTCCCTCGGTGCTGGGGGCGGCCCTAAGGTCCCTGAAGCCCTGTCCTCTCCCGGAGCCGACGTGTTCTCAGCTCCTGGGCCGCATCTCCTGGAGTTGGGGCCCTCCTTTCTCGGGACCCGGAGCTAGTGCTTCCTGCTGCTGTGGGGACTGTGGGGCTCTTGACCCTCACGCTGAGGGGTTGGAGTCTGCAGGCTCCGGGCAGAGGATTCTTCCTGCGACTTCTCTCATCCCCAGCTCATTCTCCCCTGGCCTCCCGCTGCCGGGGATCCTCTCTTGTCTTGCATCCTTCCCTGCTACTATTAACTCCGGTGATCTAAGGACACCAGATTCCCTCCCACCTCCTCCCCTGCCCTCAGGGCACCTTGGGTCCTGTTGCCCTCCCAGCTCCCTGTTACCCCTTCCTATCTGCAGTTCTCTGATACATTTCTAGGATGTCCTCTGCCTCATTCCCTGCCCCCGCCACCGCAGGTCCCTCCTGCCTCCCTTATGGGCCTTTCCTAGAAGCAGCCTTAACCCAGGGCTGCCCCTATGCCTCCCACTCCCAACTCTCCCTGACCCTAACTCTCTGGTGCCGCCTTTTGTCTCAGGGTCTTCCCTCCGTCCCACTCCCCTCTAGACCACCCAAGGGGAGCCCTAGTGCTAATGTTGGTTGGGCCTTAGGCAGGGCACAGGGCAGGGCAGATGCCCCCTCCCCTCTAGTGCAGGTGCCTGCTCTGGGCCCTGCCTCACGGTGGCCCCTTCCCTACTCCTTCATCCTCAGCCCCACCCTCTTGAGGACCCCCCACTCCAGCCCACGGGTGCTGGACCATCCCTCCCTGGTCCCTCCGCCCCTCTCCGCCTTGGGACCTTGTGCTGCTCCTACCTCTTGCCCAGCTGCCTTGGGCCCTCAGCAAGTTCTCATCTTTCCCAAGCCCCACCCTCACTCAGAGCACCCTCCCCTCCTGTCCTCACCCTAACCAAAGTTCCCCCAGGGTCACCCCCACACCATGCTCACCCCATCCTCCAGTCCTTGCCCTGCACATCTGTCCTCCTCTACCCAGACCCAACACAGGCCGTGTGTCCAACTGCTTCTTTTTTTTTTTTTTTTTTTTGAGACGGCGCCTCCCTCTGTCGCCAAAGTTGGAGTGCAGTGGCGCGGTCTCGGCTCACTGCAAGCTCCGCCTCCCGGATTCAAGTGATTCCCCTGCCTTAGCCTCCTAAGTAGCTGGGATTACAAGTGCCCACCACCACACCCAGCTAATATTTTGTATTTTAATAGAGACTGGGTTTCACCATGTTGACCGGGATGGTCTCAATCTCCTGACCTCGTGATCTGCCTGCCTAAGCCTCCCAAAGTGCTGGGATTACAGGCGTGAGCCACCACACCTAGCTGGTAATTCATTTTTTAATTTTTGGAGGAATCAACACACTGTTTTCCATAACAGGTGCCCTATTTTGTATTTCCAAATGCATTACACAAAGGTTCCAGTTTCGCAACCTGTTTGCCAAACTTGATATTTCTGTGTGTGTGTGTGTGTGTGTGTGTGTGTTTGATAATAGCCAAACTAATTGGTGTAAAGTAATAGTTCATTGTGGTTTTGATTTGCATTTCCCTAATGACTGCTGATGCTGAGCATCTTTTCATGTGTCTGTTGGCCATTTGTACATCTTGTTTGGGGAATTGGCTATGCAAGTCCTTTGCCTACTTTTGTATTAGTTGAATGTCTCCTGTTTGAGTTGTAGGAGTTCTTTATGTGTTCTGGATATTAATCTCTTATCAGATATATATGATTTGCAAATATTTTCTTTCATTCTGGGGGTTGCTTTTTCACTGTGTTTATTGTGTTTTTAATGAACTTTTTTATTTTGATGAGTCCAATTTATCAATTTTTTCTTTGTTGTTGTATCTTTGGTGTTATATCCAAGAAAGTGCTATCAAATTCTATGGCATGAAGATAATTCCCTATGTTTTATTGTAAGAGTTTTTCAGTTTTAGTTCTTGAGTTTAGGTCTTTGATGTTTTTCTTAGTTAATTTTCATATGTGGTGTAAGTTAGGGATCCAACTTCATTTTTTTTTTTTTTTTTGGCATGTGAACATCTGGTTTTCCTAGCACCATTTGTTGAAAAGATGCACTGACTCTTTAAGACCCTTGCCACCAGCCCACCCCAGGGGACACCAACTGGTCCATCCACCTCCCTACTTGGGGCATTGCCATGCCACTCTGAAGCATTGCCATTGCTTCTCCCTGGGATACGGACCTAGTAGAAAACGTCTCTGGCACCACAGCCTACCTGCCCCTCCTGCCTCACAGCCAAGTCTCCCTTGCCCCCACCTTGTCCATGTTGAGCCTTCCTCAAAGGCAGTGGACCTTGCCTCCATCTCACCCTCACCTGTGCACCACAGCCATGGTGGTCATGGGTCCCTCTGAGCCTGGGTCCCTTACAGTTTCTGCTCTCCCCTCTGGCAAGACCTTCCTTCCACCACTGCCTTCATGCTCCTCCCTTGAACCTGCAGGGCAGCCCCTTCCATTGGCCTCCTCCCTATACCCTGAGGGGGCCTGTGGCTGCCCTGCCCTGGCACCTGGCCTACAAGTTTGCCATCCCCATTCCCCCTTCTTCTGTTCCTCAGTCCCCTCCTCTATCCTCCCACCTTCCCAGTTTTCCTTGCGTCTGAAATCCTCATTCTTGTCCCTTTGCCTGTTTGCATTTCCTGCCTCCTCAGGAAGGTCGGGACAGCAGACCTGTGTGTTAAACATTGATGTGAAGTTACTTCCAGGAAGAAGTTTCATCTGTGATTTCCTCTTCCCCAGAGCCCCACAGTCTTTGTTACAACCTCACGGTGCTGTCCCGGGATGGATCTGTGCAGTCAGGGTTTCTCGCTGAGGAACATCTGGATGGTCAGCTCTTCCTGCTCTGTGACAGGCAGAAAGGCAGGGCAGGGCCCCGGGGACAGTGGGCAGAAGCAGTCCTGGGAGCTGAGACCTGGGACACAGAGACTGAAGACTTGACAGAGAATGGGCAGGAGCTCAGGAGGACCCTGGCTCATATCAAGGGCCAGAAAGGAGGTGAGAGTGGGCAGTGGGCAAGAGTAATGGGAGAGGCCTTTTCCAGGAGAGTTGGGGGCAGAGAGCAGGACCTGTCTCTTCCCACTGGATTTGGGTGTGAGTAGGGGTGAGGAATGGTGCTCAGCGGGGCTCAGCCCACACAGGGAGGGATGGAAGAGGGCCAGGGAGGGGTCCTTCCTGGTCCGAGTTCCTCACTTGGACTGGAATGGAGAAATCACTGCTGGGTAGGGGCAGGCAGCCTTGCATTCCCTCCAGGAGATTACGGTTTGTGAGATCAGGAAGCCAGCAGCACCAGGGGCTTTAGGCATTTCTACACATATGGGAAGCTCTTCCTCTCTCCCAACCTGGAGACTCAGTAATGGACAGTGCCCCGGTCCTCCAGAGCTCAGACTTTGGCTATGAATGTCACAAATTTCTGGGAGGAAAATGCCATGCAGACCAAGACACACTATTGCCCTGTGCAGGCAGACTACATGCAAAAGCTATGGTGATATCTGAAATTCTGGAGGTATCAGAAAAACAGGTACTGTGAAAGTAGTGGGTCCCCCTATAGAAGCCTGAACCTGGGGTGGGCATTAGGCAGGAAAGGAAGGCCTCAAGGCCAGGGCTGCCTCATCTGCCTCCCAGCCTGCCCATCCTGGAGAGCTACCTCCTAGCCCCACGACCCAGGAGCCCACCCCTGACAACCCTCTCCTCAGCATCAAAGCCGGAGTCCCAGAGTGTGAGGCCACAGTCCTGAGGCCCATCTTCCAGCAAGCCTAGGGGAATTGGACCCCAGGTAAGGACCGATTTGCAGAAGGTCTGGGGTCAGTGTGGGTTTCAGCGAGAGTCAGAACAATAGAGAGGACCAGTCCTGTTCCCTGCATCTCCCTTAGAGGGGAGAAAGGCTTGGCCACATGCCTCACTGGCTCTGCCCTTTTGTCTCCAATGACCCCCACAGTGAATGAGATGCACAGTGGGGCCTTAGAAGGCAATGTCACCATGATGTGCTGGTCTCCATCTTCTATCCCTGGAATATCTCTCTGACCTGGCATCAGGATGAGGCATCTTTGAGCCAGGATGCCCAGCAGTCTACGGGTGTCCTGCCCAATGGGAATGGGACCTACCAGACCTGCATGGCCACCAGGATTCCCCGAGGAGAGGAGCAGAGGTTCACCTGCTACATGGGACACAGAGGGAATCACAGCACTCACCCTGTGCCCTCTGGTGAGCCTGGGGCAACTCTCAAGGGTTTCGACCTAGGGAGGTCAGGCCAGGGTGGGGATAGCAGGGACGGCTGTGGCTTTGCGTGCTCAGTGTGTCACAAGGCCCTTTTTTTAGAGAAGGCCCTGGTGCTTCAGAGTCAATGGCAGCCATTCTGTATGCTGCTATTGCTACTGTCATTATTATTAGTATTAGTAGTAGTAGTAGTATTCTCTGTGTCCTTTGGTGCAAGAAGAAGACAACATCAGCTGCAGAGTCCAGGTGAGAAAACGGGGCAGTGGCTGGAGATGGAAGGACTCCTCTCTGGGCAGCAGGGTCCCCTCATAGCTCCTGCACAGATAGACATGTAGGTAACAAGGTCCTGGAACAGGGGATGGACATTGGGGTATTTGGGAGGGGAATGGGAGCCACATCTCCATCTACACCCCTAAGTCCTGCCCAAGCCAGGGCTGGGCCACGGCCCTCAAATGTCCAGCGGTGGCCTTCTCCTGCTGCAGGTGAGGAGTGGGCAGCAGGGAGGGCCGTGGCACCTGCTCTGTCCCCATCCTGGTCTCTCTTGTTTCTTGGGCTCACCACGGTGCGTCCAGGTGGGGTGAGTTGAGAATCACGTGCTGATTGCTGAGGGCCTGGATGATCATGGCTTCAGTGGGAGTAAATAGTAAAGGCGGCTGTGATCTGGGGAGGAGCTAGAAACTGGAGAGGAATCCGAGGAGAGGCGGTGCCCCTAGTCTCTTCCTCTCTGCATCCCTCTCTCCTGTTTCTCCAGCCATCAGGAGGACACCAAGAAAAAGACCCACGAAGCCCAGACTGGGAGGCCTGCCTGTGCAGCCCCTTTGAGGTCCCCTTGTAACAGGGAGGGTCCTGAGTGCACACAGCCATCTCTGTCCACTTTGCAGCTCCCCATGGGCCTCCTCCAGGAGCTGTCTTGGGGGTATCATGTCCTCTGCATCACTGGAGGTTCCCACCACATGGCCCTGCCTCCCTGAGTTTCTGTGCAGATGTTATAGAGGAGTATATAAGCAGACATCCCTGGGCCATTTGGGAAGCAGGAACCAGCTCCTTGTCAGGGCAGCTGTGGTCCCTGTTTTCATCATATGTCCAAGTGTTACCTTGTCTAGCCCCCAGGAACACAGTCCCCAGGACCATGTTTTTTGGGGCACCCACAGCAGGGGCAGTGCAGGTCTGGTTGCTCCTGCTCTCACCTGCAGCATCTCCCGTAGAGGAATTGTCAGTTCTGGTTCCCTGTGGGCAGTAAAGGTTTCCTTGTAGGTCACTGGGGCATTGGCCAGAAAAAGGTTGTGAAAATCACATGCTAATTTCTCAAAATTCCTGCTTTCAATGTTGATGTCCAATAAAGATGTTCATAATTTCAGCTGGATATTCTTAATAGGATTTCCTCCAATACCGATGCTGTAAAGCATATTGAATGGAACAGGAATTCAAATTTGAAACTCTCTCTCTAGAAGGGTCCATGTGGGAGATGGTGGCTGTGGCTGTGGCAATCCCCAGGTGCAGAGTGGGCGGAGGCAGCCTCAGGCTGAGGGGTCTCAAGAAATCCCTTATTCCATAGGGAGAAGAAGAAGATCCTCTGTGGGTGTGAGGGCAGTGGCCTGGGTGGAATCCCTGCTAGGAACCAGACAGGAAGGCCTTGCAGCCTCACCAAGCAGCAGCCCTGGGGTGGAGCTGGATTTCCAGGGATGAGTGGACCAGGCAGGAGCAGGGCATCCCAAGTGCAGGTCATGGACCTGGGTGTCAAGGGAAGCAGAGCCTTCTTGAGCAAGGGGGTCTCCAGGGTCAGGTCAGGTGCAGACCCCATGGCAGCCACGTGTTTCCATCCTGGGCCTGACAGGCCTGCTGGGCTTCCTGGTGGGCTCTCCAGGTAGGAGCTGCCTGCTCAGGACTGGAAGGGGAGGAACACTGAGCTGTAGGTGGAGGGCGGAACCCACAGTGGGCAGGGCCTGCCCTGGTGTGCAGGTGCTTCTGCAGGAAAGGAGGGCCTGGGGAAAGAGGGAGAGAAAGGCCTTGTGTGTGACCCAGCCCAGGCCTGGAAGTACGTGGAGCCAGGGCCTCTCTCTGGGGAGGCCTCCCACTGTGTCCGAGCTGGCCAGGCTTGAGAGGAGGGGAGGGCACTGAGTTTCTTCTGGAGTCTTGTCATTTAGTCCTGCGGCCCTTTCAGTCCCTACAGAGTGCATAGTGGGCACAGGGCAAGTGCTGATCTTCATGAAGTCATGGGAGGGGACTGGCAGGGGCTGGGAAAAGTGCCATAGGAGGGAGAAAAATGTGGGAGCATCATCTTCCCTCAGAGAAAGGGTGAATCTGATTTTGGAGTGACTGAGGAGGGAGAAATCCTCAGGGAGTAAAAAGCAGCACTCTGCACCCAGGGGAGCATTTATTGGTTTCTCTATTTTCTCCAGAGCACGTGAGCCTGCAAGGCCCGGATCAACGCCCGGTTGGGACAGGAGACCACCAGGGCAGTGCACAGCTGGGATTTCAGTCTCTGGTGTCAACTCCTGGGTCTACTGGCTCCACTGAGGGCAGCTACACTCTGCAGCCAGATGGCCAGAATTCAACTCCCTGCCCAGGTCTCACCAGCACTTTCCCACTTGGTGCCTCAGTTTCCTCATCTATGAAATGGGGAAACTAACAGCATTTATTTCTTGTGGTTGGGTGGATGAAAAGCGTTAGTATATATGAGGGGTTTGCAGCTGTGCCACATTATTTTTGTTATCATTTGATTATATTTTAATATATTACATATGCGGTCATTGTATTATTATTATAAATGAGATTTATGAGTGAGTGTCCTGGTTACGGCTCCTTCTGGGGAGCCCAGGACCAGCTTTCCTGGCACCTTGAGGTCCCCTCACCCTGTCACACTCTCATGCATTACCTCATATCTACTATGTCTTCATAATTTTATACTATAGAAATTTACCCTTTAAGTAGACATTTCTGGTCTGTGTTTTATTTCAAGTGTCTGGGAAGGGATAGAGTATGAGGTTCAAGAGAGAAGGAGAGGTCTGTCTTGATGCCTTGACACAGCACAAAGAAATCTCCCCACCTCCCCCGCATCTCCCCACCAGTTCTCGGTGATGGACAGATTCACAGCAACACAGAAAGGGCTGGGAAGGGATGGAGGGGGACATCTGCAGCCAGTGTTTAGGGGCTGACCCTGTGGGAAGACACCTGCCTTGCAGAGGACCTCTGCATCTTGCAGATGCAGAGCTGAAGTCTGATATGAGGGAGAGGACAGGGAGTGCTTTGGACTTTCCTGATTAAGAAGAATAGAGATCAGTCTGCTTCTGGGGTTAAGTGACCACTGGGGAGATTGGACTGAATTAATGAAGAATAAATGAACTGGGAATGAGGATGAGTAAAGCAAGTATCAGCATCTCCCATTATCAGTTCAGACTGATTGGTAGGTGGGGAGGTGGGATAGTTCCTGACCCTGTTGTGAGGTTCCTTTTAACTTTCTGGCCTTGGGGCACAGATGGGTGGTGCTCTTCTTGGTCAGGGTAGCCTCAGCTCCACTCAGGTAAGGCAGTGGTGGCAGGGAGAGTTAGGGGATCACCTGTGAAACGGACCAAGGCAGGGATGGGAGCCCTCTGTGCAGCAAAAGTGGATGCAAGGCCTGCCTAGAAGCAAGAGGATGAAGGAACCTAGTTGGGTCCTGGTCCACTGCCTGCCTGTGTTCACAGGTCAACCAGTAAAGGAGGTGGGGTAGAGAATTCAATCGTGGGCTATCTATCCAGAGATGTGTTTACAGGTGTATTATTTCACATTTGTGTTCACGTTTGGTGTCAAAAACACATTTATACATGCCTGTTTCATGTTTAAGTATTTTCACATTTTAGTTAACCCTTAAATATCATTGTTGAATGCGGTTGTCATTAGACATAAACTTGCATATTCACTGAAGCTTTTGTTTTTATTTTAATCAAATTTATAATTGTGCACAATTGAAAGAGTCAAATATTTGTGCAGAATCTCTTGAGAAAAAATGAGAGTCCTCTCTGCCTTTTCTCAATTTCTGCCTTTCTAGGGGCCAACCACTTTCAAGTTTTTTAGCTGATTCTTTTGACTTTACTTCTGTATCTCTACCATTTCTTTATTATTATTGCTTGATTTTTTTCAGATGCACCCATTGTTGCACAGCGCAATGGTGGATGCAACAGTTAAGAGTACTTGTTCTCTTTCACTCTTCCCAGTATATTTATATAGTGATTATGTTTAGTTCAGCCATCTCTTGTTTCTTTTACCATGACTAATCCTCTCATATGTCAACTGGACTACTTTTCACTGCCTGTACAACATTGGTTCTTCTTGGAGTTAATACTTGCATTTGTTTTTGTTTATTTTATTAACTCTCATTAATTTAAGTTCAATATCTCTTTTGTTTGTATGATTCTTTCAAGACGTTGGACACTTTGGACATTCTGTTAATTTTATCTTCTTGGAAATGTCCCTCCTGGGCCCTTCTGGCTGCTCCCATCTGGACTGGAGGCTTCTCCCCATGGAGCAGAGTCACTGTCCTAGGATCTCCCTCCATCACTATCTGGGAAGGTGCTTTACATGCAGTGGAGCCACCTGGGTTCCAGCCAAAATGCAGACTGATTCAACATGTCAAGGCTGGGCCTGTGAGCCTTTCTGTCTAGTTTCAGGAGGTGCTGATTTTCCTGGTTCATGGGTGATAGCTGGGGTAGCAGGGATCTCTCTTTTTGTCTCATAGTTTTCTGCATCTAAGGTAAGCGCATACTAATATATTTTTAATGAATTCATGTACTTTTTCCCTAAATTAGTAACAGGGCTAATTAGTCTTTTCCTTGGGCCAAAAACTACATTATGTAAAATTTGGTATCTTAACTATTTTAAAGTATACAGTAGTACAGTATTAACTGTAAATACATAGTTGTGCAACAGATCTCTAGAACTTTTCATCTTGCAACACTGAAACTCTATGCCCATTGAACAAACATTCATCCATCCCCCTCACCGAGCCCTTAGCAGCCATTAGTCTACTTTCAGTTTAGACACCTCATATAAATGGAAATGTGCAGTATTGGGTTTTCTTTGTGATTGGCTTATTTTACTTAGCAGTGTCCTTCAGGTTCATCCCTGTTGCAGCCTGTGACCAGGTTTCCTTCTTAAGGCTGAATGATATTCCGTTGTCGATATATACCACATTTTCTTCATTCATGTGTTGGTGTGTGTTGTCTTGGCTATCGTGAATAATGCTGCTTTGAATATGGGTATACAATGTTTTTCTTTTCAAACCTTCCCTCACTTTGGTGGAATTAATCCTTTAGTAGCTACTTCTGACAGCACATATTTAAAGTATGTTTGTATGGTTCAGTTTTTCCATTGTTTTTATTCTCTCCAGGAAGAGGAGATAAATATATGAAGGTGCTGTTTGGCACAGAATTTAATAGGGAAGAAAGAGACAGTATAACTCACCAGTGCTGGGTCTCATCATCCTGCAATTTCAGAACAACTATGAATACAAAAAGAATTTTAAAATCCCAGTCCTGCCTAGAAAGGGGAAGTCATCTCTAAATATGGTGGCCCTGGGGCAGCTGGCCTCCCTGCCAGGCCTCTTCCATGGGGGCCCTTTCTGCAGTGACTGTGGTTTCTTCCCATTTTACTCTGTCCTGTGTCCTGACTGAAGCGACAAGGTGTGTCTGCAGCTGTGCTCACACCTGGAGGAAACCTCAATGGTGTGAGTAAATTGTAAATGTTTACTTATTATGGGTTATTTTATTATTTATGAAGTATGTATTTTGATTTCATTCTACTGACAACACAATAAACCAGGACATGGTGACCCTAGCAGCACATCCTCTTTCCTGTGTCAAGAAGCATCGTCTGGGGAGGTGAGAAGAAGACAGTCCTCCCTAGAATTGAAGAACCAGGGAGAACCAGATGGGCTGGGCAGGTGGGTTTTCACCTGGAACCTGGAGGATGAGCAATGACATCTCTCCACCCTGAGCTCAGCCCCGGCATCCACCTCCTGGGCTCATGAGCAGTGCAGTGGTGCCTCCTAGTGGTCTCTGCTCTTCCTTTTCCAGATCAAGCACAAACCTGAGATCCAACTGTCCCTCTTATGCGCCTGGGTTTCTTCACTGGACACCAGTATGAGTCAACTTTCCTGTAAAGCAGAACAAGCACGAGATTGGACCATGTTAGAGGAGGAATGGTGTCATCTCCACTTCTGGAGAGATCCCTGTCCCCGTGTTCGGGGGAAGGACCAAGCCTCACTCCCATGCAGAGAAGAGGCTCTGACTGTAACTGCACCTGTGGAGAGGTGAGGACCTGTCCCCTCTACACCGATGGCCAGAGCCTCCAGAGTGGGGCCAGGCTTTTCCCTCAGCTGTGTCCTGTCAGGTTTATCTAGGCCTCAAAGAATAGACCCTGGACATTGCCTCTGGCAATGTGAGCTGGACACACACCCAGATGTAAGGTAGCCCTGCCAAGTATCCTGGGGTTGCCAGTAGTTCTGGGTGCTCAGTGTCTGGAGCGGAGGGTGGGAAGGAGGCTTGGTGCAGAACAAGAACCATATGTCACATATTATTTTATTCTTTATTAGTGTTTTTGTCATAAAAAACCCCACGGGTACCATAAAAGATAAAAGATCTAAAAATGGTACCCTTTAATCAAAAGTAAACACCCTTTAACCATCAGAGAGAGGGAGAAGTTTGGCAGCTGACCTAGAAGCCCCATCAACTGCCCCAGCTCAATGATAAACTCTTCTCTTCTTCAAATAAAAGCACATCCTGGCTTACATGGCCATCACTTCTTTGTACAATTTTATATTTTTATCATCTAAAGTTATAGTTTAGTTTTACCTTTAAGAGTATATTTTTATCCTCATTTATTCCATAGATTCCTGCTTGAAATTTATATTGTCTGGTAGTTTCCTGTCCTTTGCATTTTGCAGATTGCACCCCAAGGTGTGGTTTAATATATCTCTATGACCTGTATTTTCTGTAAATTGGTAGTTTGTTATAGAGGTTTGCGTCTATTCAGGGTTTTTTTTTTTTTTTTTTTTTTTTTTTTTTGCCATGAGGATTGATGGTACTATATCATGTTTTTCATCAAGAGGAAGAATTCAATACTAGTTATTTCTTTTTTGTGATGTTAATTGCCATTGCTGTTCAGTGGCTAAATCTGTTAATTCATTACAAATTGCAAAAGTCTCAGTCTTTCATTTCTTTTCATATACTAGCTGCATAATTTCTAAAATAAAAGATTTACCCTCTTCCACCAGTTATCTATTCAGTAGAAACTTGTTTTTTGAGAGACTAAACCAAGTTTCTAATCACCTATGACCCAGCAATTCCACTTTTTGTTATATACCAATAGAAATGCATGCATTTGTGTGCCAAAATATATGAAAATATTATTTATAGCAGCACGATTTGTAGACTCTGAATACAACACAAATGTCTATCAACAGTGGAGAGACAAGAAGTGTGAGCTATTTATAAAGCTGAGCACCTGACTGCCACAGGAGTGAATAGTGACCACACACAGCAAGACCTGGGACATGGCAGTGACTGTGTCCAGAACTGACAGAACTAATCTATCATATTAGAAATCAAGAAAGTGTCTACTCTAGGGTTGGGGAGGGTGATTTATGACCAAGTAGAACCCAATGGTGTTTCCTGGAGGCTGGCAATGCTATTCCTTGATGTGGCTGCTATTTACCTGAGTGTTCACTTTGTGAAAATCCACGGCCCACTTATGGTTTGTCCACCTTTCTCCATGCATGTTGTCCTTCATTCAAGTATACATTTCTGATGTTTTGAAACAATTCTTTCTAAGCTAATATAGAATCTCCATTACTGAAAGTCCTTAGAAATGCTGCATTGGAAAAAATTAGTCCAATTATTAAAAATCTATGAAATAAATGCTGTGACTCAGACATTAAGAGGAGAATCTACAACAAGAGCAGTAGGCTTGGGAGCTAACACAAGAACAGCTTTGGAAATGGCTGTTGAGCCAGGAACTAGGAATCAAAACCCAAAAAGGCCCATGCAAGGTGGAGGGTGTGAAATGATGCCCCAGTAGTGCATGAATGAATGAGTCATGGGCAGTGGCTCATGGGTTGCTTGGTCAGTCAGGAACTTGAGCAAAATAAAGTTGGAAAACTGGGGGATGGAAGAGAGAGGTATGCACAGACCTCTTGACATGGGCAGAGCTTCAGAAGATGGTGGTTGCAGGTTTCCCCAGATAGAGAACATCAATAAAAAGGTAGAAATTTTACAAAGAGACCAGATAAAAAGTTTGGAGCTGAAAAGTGCAATAACTGAAATGAAAAATTCACTAGAGGGGCTCCAGAGCAAATTTCACCATGCAGAATGGAGAATCAGCAAGCTTGAAGATAAGACAATTGAAATTCTCTAGTTCAGTAGCAGAAAGAAAAAAAATTATGAAGAAAAATAAACAGAACTTTAAAGATCTGTGAGACAACATCAAGCACATGCACTTTGGGAGTCCTCAAAGAAAGGAGAGAGAGAAAGGAGAAGAATGACTATTTAAAGAATAACTCCAAACCTTCCAAATTTGATGAAAAACATTATTCATCCAACAAACTTGACAAATTTTAAGCAGCAAAAAAATTTAAATTTAAAGAGGTCCACACCAAGAGAACATTATAATCAACCTGTCAAAAGCCAATGACAAACAGAGCATATTGAAATGAATAACAGAGAAGGAACTTTTCAGGTTCAATGGATCCTCAATAAGATTGCAGCCCAGTTTTCTTCAGAAACCATAGAGTTCAGAAGGCATTGGAATGTTGACAAATTTAGAGGTCAGAAAAAAAAAGACTGTCATGCAGGAATTGTGTGTCTGGAAAAACTCTCCTTCAGAAATAATGGATTTTATATATATATAAATATATATATACACATATATATACATATATACATATATATGACTATACATAGTACTACATATATATAACTATATATAGTACTACTATGAAATTATATATATAGTACTATATATAGTAGTCATACTATAAAAACTAGTAGTAATATGTATATTTTTGGTGTTTATATGTGTGTGTGTGTGTGTGTGTGTGCATATATATATAGTACTATATATAGTAGTCCTATAAAAGCTAGTAGTAACATGTATATTTTTGGTGTTTAATTCTTCCTTTGTTTTTCCTATTTGGTTTAAAAGAAAATGCCCATTGACTAATGAATGAATAAACAACATGTAGTGTATTTCTACAATGGAATATGATTTAGCCATAAAAGGAATGAAATACTGATACATGCTACAACATTGCTGAATCTCAAAAACATGATAAGTGAAGGAAATCAGCCACAAAAGGATACATATTTCATGAACCCATTTTTGTGAAATCTTCAGAAGAGACCAATCTATAGAGAAAGAAAGCAGACTTGTGGTGACAGGGTCTGGTGGCAGGAGGAAATGGAGGGTGACTGCTTAATGGTGCAGAGTTTCCCCTGAGGTGATGAAATACTCTGGAACTAGAGAGTGATGATGGCTACATAACATTGCGAACCTACTAATTGTCACTGCATTGTACACCTATTGTACAATGGGTACAGTGGTAAATTTTGTGTTCATGTATATTGTATCACAGTAAAAAAGAGGCTGAAGAATAGATTCCAAAATCTTTTATATGGTAAACTCCTGAGTTTGCTTGAGCATCTGCCCATCTGTCTTTCCCCCTCAGGATGTCATCTCCTACTCAGAGCTCACCCTTGTTCTTCTGTAAGTAGAAAGCCTTTCTTCACAACACTCCCAGATCAGCCAGACCCAACCCCCAAAATGACTTTCTGTCTTGGATCCAAATGCTCAGGTGCAACTCTGGGGCAATTTCAGTGGGAGTGAAGAGATTATCCAACTAGGATGATTCATTTGGAGGGAAATGTTTGACCTTATGTTAGGAAAGTCATTTGCTTTCCTAAAAAGGATCCTGCTTACCAGTGAGTATATAATTTTTGTATGCCCGGGGTGGAGTTCACAGCAGAGGAACTAACAATAGCTCTAGGAACACCATACACCTCATGCGTAGCTGACTCACCCATCTGCCTCCCCCAGCTGAAGGAAGGAGCTGGATTGTTACCTTGGCCCATCCATCAACTGCATTTCACTGGATGTGCACCCTCTACAAGTGTGAACCTTCCAGGGTTCTCAGTTGCTCTTCCTGCTGTTGTGTGGCCTCCACTGGTGTGGCTCATGCCCAGGGGGCCTGCAGGAGACTAAGTGTCTCCTAATTCTCAAGGCCAACATTTTCAGTGAGCTCAAATGAAGATTTTATGTTCTCAGGGACTCATATTTTCATCTGTGGAAGGGAAAAATCCATCTCGCTGTCTTAGGTGTGATGGTAATTTTACATAAATGTATATATAATTATAGTATTTTTATGTCTATAAATGAGATAATCAGTATTTTATAAATTGATGGTATTCTTAGCATTGACTTCATTGCTCAGCTAAACGCTGTAACCAAAGGATGAGTCATGGAGTGGAGGAAGAATATTTTTCTACTCTCTGGAGGTGCCATAATCGGCATTTCTGCCCTATGGATTTCAAATGAGAAATTTGCTTTAGGCTGAGGTTGGAAGGAGATCTGAACTTCTTTGTATTACTATTATTTTAGATGGGGTCTTGCTATGTTGTCCAAGCTGGAGAGAAGTGACTATTCACAGGTGTGATAATAGCACACGACAGCCTCAAAATCCTGGGCTCAAGTGATTCTCCCATCTCAGCCTCCTGAGTAGCTGGGACTACAGGTGTGCACTCAGCCACTTTTCATTGTTATTTTACTTCAAATGCTTTATTTTGAATATTAGAAATGTGAAAATCTATTTGATCACAGAAGACTTTAAAATACACAGATCAATGCCTACTTGAATTAAAAAAAATAAAATACACAGAAGAAATACCACCTAGGTCTCCCCTCAAAAATATCACTGCTATTGTATTGTTGAACCTTCCTGGACTCAGTGTGACTGTTGGTCCCTGGAGCTGTCCTTTGCATGGTGCTGATTTCCATTTTGTTGGTGGTGGTTTGTTTTTGTTTTTGTTTTTGTTTCTGAAACACAATTTCACTTTGTCACTGAGGCTGGAGTGCAGTGGTGCGACCTCAGCTCACTGCAACCTCCGCCTCTCGGGTTCAAGTGATTTCCATGCCTCAGCCTCCTGAGTAGCTGAGATTACACGCATGCGCCACCAGGCCCAGCAAATTTTTTGTATTTTTAGTAGAGACAGGGTTTTGCCATATTGGCCAGTCTGGTCTGGAACTCCCGACCTCAAGTGATCCACCTGCCTCAGCTTCTCAAAGTGCTGGGATTACAGGAATGAGCCAAGGCGCCTGGCCCATTTTGTTGTTCTCTATGTATATATTTTTATAGGTATCTTTATTGTACAAGGTTGCATTCATATGTTATGGGTTATCTTGAATGTTGCTTTTTGAATGTATTATTATACAAGTAGTTTTCCATGTTGTAAACTCTGTATAAAGTTTACATGCTTTTTCGGCCGGCATGGTGGCTCACGCCTGTAATCCCAGCACTTTGGGAGGCCGAGGTGGGTGGATCACTTGAGGTCAGGAATTCGAGACCAGACTGGCCAACATGGTGAAACCCCATCTGTACTAAAAAATACAAAAAATTAGCCAGGAGTCTAGGCATGTGCCTGTAGTCCCAGCTACTCAGGATGCTGAGCCAGGAGAATTGCTTGAACCCAGGAGGCAGATGTTGCAGTGAGCCGAGATCACTGCCACTGTACTCCAGCCTGGGTGACAGAATGAGACTCCATCTAAAAAAATTTTTAAATTTAAAAAGTTGACACACTTTTACAAGCTGCATCCCATCTCAGATAAGGAGGTGATGTAACTGAGTTCTTTTAGATCCATCTGCTTTCATCTTATCTTTTTGTAGGTAATATTTTGACAAGCATGTTTGTACATAAAGATTCTCCTATGGTTGGGATTTTAAAAATTCATAGACTACTCAGGCCAGGTGCGGTGCCTCAAGCCTGTAATCTCAACACATTGGAAGGCCAAGGAGGGTGGATTGTCTGAGCCCAGAAGTTCAAGACCAGCCTGGGCAACATGGCAAAATCCTGTCTCTACAAAAAATACAAAAAAAAAAAATTAGCTGGGCATGGTGGCATGAGCCTGTAGTCCTAGGTACCCCAGTGTTTGAGGTGGGAAGATTGTTCGAGCCTGGAAGGTTGAGGCTGAAGTGAGCTGTGATCATGCCACTGCCCTCCAGACCAGGCTACAGAGTGAGAATTTGTCTCCAAAAATAAATAAATTCATAGACTACTCAAGTGATAAATATTAAACCAGAGACTGCTTTAAACATTTTAAAGCCTTATTATACTGTCATACTGTGATTGTACTGACATATTTATTCATTTAACAAATACTTACTGAGAGCTATTTACTGATTATGATGGTGAGAAACAATGGTAAGGAAACAGACCAGATCCCTTTATCAAAGAACATACATTTCAGTGATACTGACTGTAATGGTTAATTTTAGGTGTCATATTGACTGGGTTAAGGGATGCCTAGATAGCTGGTATAACATTATTTCTGGGTGTGCCTGTGAGGGTGTTTCTGGAAGGGATTGGCATGTGAGTGACTGAGCGGGGAAAATCCTCTCTCGCTGCGGGCAGCCACAATCCAATCACCTAGGGGCCCAGATAGAACAAAAAAGCAGAAAGGAGTCAAATTTTCTCTCTCTCTCTCAATCTGGGACACTTTTCCTGCCCTTGGACATCAGAACTCCAGGTTGTATGGTCTTTGGACTCTTGATTGAGTGTTGCACCAGTCAACCCTTTATCCTCCCACCTCCTCCTCTGGCCCCTCAGGCCTTTGGCCTTGGACTGAGCCAGGCTACTGTCTTCCTTGGTTCTCCAGCTTGCAGGTGGCCTCTCATGGATCTTATCAGCCTCCATAACTATGTGAGCCATTTCCACTAATAAATCCCCTCTTGTCTCTCTATCTATCTATCTATCTATCTATCTATCTATCTATCTATCTATCTATCATCTATCCATCCATCTACTCTATTGGGTCTTTCTGTCTTGGTAACCCTGATACACCAACAGACAATAAACAAATAGAATCTGTCACAGTATCAGTGATAATTGCCACTGATAAAAAATACACCTAGGCTAGAAGATTGGTGGGAGTGGCGGGAATGGCAGGGAATAGATTTCAGAAAAGGTAACTGGGCATGACATTTCTGAGAACTTGACCATGGGACATTTGAACAGAGACTCGAATGGTGTGAGGAGTGAGCCATGTGGACCCCCGGGGAGCAGGTGCATGTGGGAGTCACAGCAGGGGCAGGTAGCAGAGACAGGATGGAGCAGTGACAAAAGGCTGGTGTGAGTGGAGACGAGTGAGCTGGGCTGAGAATGGCGGGATGAGGCCACAGGGGTCCTATGATGAGGGGCTTGTAGGAAACGGTGAGAGACTGAGGTTTCATTGTGCCTAGGAAAGAAAAGGGCTGAGGTGTTCATAGGATATGTCCTAATTTTCGTTTGAGAGGCTCACTCTGCCTTTGTGTGAGTAATGGACAGTGGGCATGAGAGGCAGCAGGCAGCCCAGCTGGAAAGCCCTTCTGGTTTACAATTCTTGAGAGGGTGGCTCTCGCGTGGTGGCAGGAGAGGAGTGAAAAGTGATTGGATTTAGTGTTGATATACTTGTTAATATTGTGGTAAAACATACATACCATGTAATTTACCTTCTAACCACTTTTTCAGTGTACAATTCGGTGGCCTAAAGCACATTTACAATGTTGTGTAACCACCACCAATATGCATTTCCAGAACATTTTCATCATCCCAACAGAAACTGGACCCATTAAACCAAAGCTGCCCATTCTCCCTACCCTCAATTTCTGGTAAATTCTATTTTACTCTCTGTTTCTATGAATTTGCCTATTTTAGCTGCATCACATAAGTGAAATATTATATTTGTCTTTTTGTTTCTGGCTCATTTCACTTATAGTGTTCTCAAGGGTCATCCAACCTGAATTTCATTCACTTTTAAGGCTGAATAATATTCCATGCTATGTGCACCATGGGTCGTTTATCTAATCATCCTCCGATGGACACTCGGTTGCTTCCACCTTTTGGCCATTGGGAATAGTGCTGCTATGAGCATGAGTGTACAATTATCTGTGTGAGTTCCTGCTTTCAATTCTTTTGGGTATATGCCCAAAAGTGGAATTGTTGGCTCCTATGGAAATTGTGTTTTTACTTTCTTGAGGAAGCATCATACTGTTTTTCATGGTCGCTGTACCACTGTACACTCTCACCAGCAGTGTACAAGTGTTGTGACTTCTCCACATCTTCGCCAACACTTGGACTAGTGAAGTTCAGCATATTTTCATGTGCCTATTGCCCATTTGTATATCTTCTTTGGAGAATTGTCTATTCATGTTGTTCACTCATTTTTGAATGAGATTGTTTGTTTTTCTGTTGTTAAGTCATAGTTCTTTATGTATTCTGGATATTAATTCTTTATCAGGTATATAATTGGCAAATATTTCCTCCCATTCTGTGCATTTTCTTTTAACTCTCTTAATAGTGTCCCTTGATATATAAAAAAGGTTTTTAAATTTTGATAGTCTAATTTATTGTTTTTCTTTTATTGGTTGTGCTTTTGCTCACCAGCCAAGAAGCCATTGCCACATCCAATGTTCCTAAGATTTTCTTCAATGTTTTCTTCTAAAAGATTTATAGGTTGAACTCCTAAGTTGAGTTCCTTGAACCATTCTGAGTTAATTGAGTTAATTTTTGAATATGGTGTAAGGTGATGCTATGAATTTTGTCCAACATCATTATTTTGTATGTGGGTATTAAGGTTTCCTGGTACTATCAGCTGAAGTGGGGCTGATACACTTGTAAGATGCAGTGAGCACTGATAAATGGGAACACCATGCATTTATTTACTTGTCTTTACTCCACAGGTGATTGGAGGAGGCTTTTGGTGACAAACCCAAAAGAAATGAATACATATGAATTCTTATTAAATCAAAATCAAATAAAATTATAAATTTTAAAATGTTAAGAGTGAGGCAAGACTAGAACATCACTAGACAGGCTGAAACATGCTGAAATGGAGGGTTTACTGCTTTCCTTGCTTTAAATTTTGCTGGCTCACAATGGCTTATGTTTATTGCATAAGGGGGCCACAGGGAGGGGTGCTTGCTCACATAAGGAGCCCCTGGTTTTCTTCAGAAACAAGTTCAAATTCTCCACTTAGAGCCAAAAAAAATTAATTGCAAGATGTTCAAACTGAAGTTGGCTTCTATAAAGTCAAAGAATAAGCAGTAAGTGTAAAATAAACCTCAGGAATCCAAGGAAATTCTACCTTTTTACCTAGAAATGGCCTCACAGTGCGTCGCTGAAGGGAGAGGGTCCCTTCCAGGAACCCCATGATGTAGGGGTTTCTGCTGCAGTCCCAAATTGAGTTGTCCCTTCTCTCTAACTGCAGGTCCCACAAGACCTTACTGCAGCTTCAATAATTTCACCTGGTCTAAGATTTGAGGGGTTTAATGCTTTTTATTTTGAGCTGCTGTCTGGGACTTAGAAAGGTGACTTGCATTTTTTGTCAAAATATTATTTCTTTGATGGAATTTGACATTGGTGGACACTCTGCCTTCCTGTGTGGTTCCTACAAGGGCAGATGACCTTGCACTTCTTTTTGGCACTTCACTAGCAGTGATAGAAGGTTTGAAGTTAGGGCCTCCCTCAATCTTTACCCTCTCTCTAATGCAGAGGATTGCGGCCTGTTGGCAGAAGAGTGGTGTCTTGGGCCCCAGCTGACCTGATGAATATCAATATCCAATGCCCTGTAATGAAGTCATGTGTGCACATATCATCACTTCTGCATGCAGTCTCATGGGAAGGTGGGTTCCTGGACCCCAGGTTAAGGGCCTAAGCACTACAGGCATACAGATGGAGCTCCAGGGAAGGGAGAGATGACTGGGGTGGGACCACACTTTTCCTTCAGGGTGTCCCTCAGTTCAAGGAAGCTTGTACTCAAGGGAGAGAAAGTCCTGGCAGGCCTCCTACCCTTGGCAATCTTGGTATTGGGGCTGGATAATTATCTGTTATGTGGGTGATTGGGCTGACTTGTGCACTGCAGGATGTTCAGCATCCCTGGTCATTCCCCACAAGATGCTGGTAGCACCTCCTCCTCACTCCAGTCATGGCAACAAAACATTTTTCCAGACATAGCTAATGTCCTCTGGTGGGAAAATTGCTCCTGGATGAGAATACTTGTTTGAGAGGTAGAGACACTCAGGAGCTGGGCCTGTAGAGGGAAAGTGATCCGGAAGTAGATACAAAGCAGAGTGGGGCTGGAGAAGACAGGAAGGGAGTCTAGGTCTGGAGGGGCCTGGCCTGATGGTTGAAGGTCTGGAGCTCAGAACCTCAGGGTATGGGGACCTAAAGCTCGTGAGGAATGGGGAGAGTGGCAGAACCTCCTATTGCCAGAATATCACACTCATACCCACTAAACACCCAGCCCATGGTTCTGCATCTCTGGGAAGTCAGGATAAATTTGGCTGTATGGGGTCAGAAAGAGTCCTGGTAACCCTAGGCTTTGTGTGCCTCCTGATGTGATGAATGTGCGGTCACAGCTCCTCCTGTAAACATTGCTGCCAAATGTTTAACCCAGAGCTACATAGGTCCTTAGGAGGCATAGCAGTTAGAGGAAAAAAGTTAAAGGCATCAGGGGAAATAATATGATAAATTCAGTGTGGAGAAGATTCCACAGGTATTTGGCCTCATCTCTGAAACAGGTAATGCCATTCTAAAAGAAAAAAGATGGGTTGATTGTTATAGATTGTAGGTAATTAAAGAAACATAACCAAAGGCAACGAGTGGACATTTTAAGAAAACAAGCTATAAAAAATAGGTACAAAAATGTACTGAAAGAAGTGGAGATATTTGAACATAAAAGGACTTTAAATAATATTATGGAATTATTTATTTTCTTTGGTGTGATAATGTTGGTTCTTATTCTTAGGAGGTGTGTGATGAAGTATTTAGTGGTCTAGTATCATGGGTCTTGCAACTTACTTTAGAATGACTCAGTCAAAAATCTTAATCTGGACCCTTTTCATAAGATGGTGCCAAGAACGAAGAAGGAAGCTCCTGCCCCTCCTAAAGCCGAAGCCAAAGCGAAGGCTTTGCAAGGCCAAGAAGGCAGTGTTGAAAGATGTCCACAGCCACAAAAAAAACAAGATCCACATGTCACCCACCTTCCGGCGGCCCAAGACACTGTGACTCCGGAGGCAGCCCAAATATCCTTGGAAGAGCACCCCCAGGAGAAATAAGCTTGACCACCATGTTATCATCAAGAGTCCGCTGACCACTGAGTAGGCTGTGAAGAAGATAGAAAACAACAGCCTACTTGTGTTCACTGTGGATGTTAAAGCCAACAAGCACCAGATCAAACAGGCTGTGAAGAAGCTTGTGACATTGATGTGGCCAAAGTCAACACTCTGATTCAGTCTGATGGAGAGAGGAAGGCATATGTTCGACTGGCTCCTGACTACGATGCTTTGGTTGTTGCCACCAAAATTGGGATCACCTAAACTGAGTCAAGCTGGCTAATTCCAAATATATGTATATCTTTTCACCATTAAAAGAATCTTAATCTCTCTATTCACTCTTTCTCTTCACACACACACACACACACACTTACGTGCATGCTATAAAAACATATCTACCTGTATCTATAAAAAGATATATTTTTATTCTTTATTTTTAAAATTTATGTATGTTCGTGAGGCACAAGTGCAATTCTGCTACATTGATATCTTGCTTCTCAGTCCCACACAAGGAAGCTGTCTCACACTATAGAGAAAATATTCATGAACAAATTCGTATCAGTCACAGTGAGAGGTAACACTCTAAATAGCCCATTTCATGCTCAAGACATCCAAGTCAAAGAAACCCAATAGCACAGCTGAGTCCCCTCTGTTCCCCCCCCAACACCCCACTCACATCAGGGCCCCTGCCCTGGAGTGTCACCTTTATTAGCTGTGAGAGACACCCCAGAGCCCTGGGCACTGTCAGTGATTGGGGTAGAACAAAAACAGGACCTGGTCAGAGCCCACAGATGTGGCTAGAGGAACTGTGGGGTGGGTGAGCTCCCTCATAGGCTCCTGACCACAATATCCCAACAATCTCAGGGATCAGCCTCCTTCATCTTACCTGCAGCCTGAGAGTAGCTCCCTCTGTTTCTATCTATGGGAAGAAAATGTCCTGTGAGAGGCCAGAAAGGAGGCAGGGCCATAAGGTCCTAGAGCAAACCCCTAGTCTTTGATCCCAGAGAAGTTTCCAGAAAAGTGTAACTGTAGATCCAGGGCAGGATCAAGAAATATGAAGAAAGCAGATGTGGGTCCTGGACCAACTGCCCTCCTGAGGTCTGTCATCAGCAGGGACCTTCCCCTGTGATTTGTGACTGCTGGGATCAGGTCCCATCACCACCATAATCATCGAAGTGAAGAATCTGTCCTTCATTTTCACAGGAGCCTTACAAATGAGTAGGTGCTGGCACACAGGGCCCAGGCTGGGTAGACCCATGAGTGTGGATGGTGCTTCCCAGTAATGAGGCAGGGCACACTTCTACTTGGGGCTTGCAACCCCCAGTGGGACAAGAAAACTCAGACTCCACTCCTCACCCCTTCCTACCTGAGCTCTTCTTCCTCCACATCACAGCAGCGACCACAGCTCCAGTGACCACAGCTCCAAGGACAACAAGGCCAGCAACGATGCCCACGATGGGGATGGTGGGCTGGGGAGACTGCTCTGGGAAAGGAAGGGAAGGTGAGGGGCCCTGATCTCCAGGCCTCAGCCCTGACCCTGCTGAAGAGCTCCAGAAGGGCTCCTGCTTTCCCTGAGAAAAGACATGACCCCTCATTCCCCTCTTTACCCATCTCCCTCCTTACCCCATCTCAGGATGAGGGGCTGGGGCAGCCCCTCGTGCTGCACATGGCATGTGTATCTCTGTTCCTCTCCAGAAGGCACCACCACAGCGGCCCACTTCTGGAAGGTTCCATCCCCTGCAGGCCTGGTCTCCACAAGCTCTGTGTCCTGGGTCTGTTCCTCCCCATCCCGCTGCCAGGTCAGCGTGATCTCCGCAGGGTAGAAGCCCAGGGCCCAGCACCTCAGGGTGGCCTCATGGTCAGAGATGGGGTGGTGGGCAACGTGTGCCTTTGGAGGATCTGAGAAGAGTCAGAAAATTCAGGCACTTTGCACTCCTCATGGGAAACCCCAGCAGCACCCATGTGACCAACCTGAGACTGGACAGGACACCTGGGGTGGGGAAGGGAGCACAGAACCCAGACACCAGCCTGGACACAGACACCTGGGAAAATCTCCTATTCCTTGGAAAGTTCGAGTCTCTGAGCGGGGAGCAGGGACTTCTGGCCCTGACCTAAGTGGAGGCCGAGGGACTGGAATCAGAGCCCCAAACACATTGAGTGTGAGGCAGAGAACAAAACTTGAGAGAAAAGTCACGGGGCCCAAGGCTGTTGGAGGGCTCAAAGGGGACCAGGGACTGTCTTCCCTCCATTTCATCCCTTAATTGTCCCAGAGAGCAGGGCGGACTCTCACAGTCACTCTCTGGTACCGGATCTCGAAAGCCAGGAAGATTCTTCCTACTCAGGACCAGAGGGAGGGCGATATCCTAGCATTGGGCCCACTTTCCTCCCAACCTTGTGCGAGGCCATCCCAAGAGATCTACAGGAGATAGGGAAGGCGCCCATGGCCCCTGGTACCTGCGCGCTGTAGCGTCTCCTTCCCATTCTCCAAGTATCTGCGGAGCAACTCCAGGCACTCGCCCTCCAGGTAGGTCCTGAACTCCTCTGCATATTCCTCTGCCTCATAGAAGCGCTGGGTGATCTGAGCCACGGTGTCCGCCGCGGTCCAGGAGCGCAGGTCCTCGTTCAGGGAGATGTAATCCTTGCCGTCGTACGCGTGCTGGTGATACCCGCGGAGGAGGCGTCCGTCGGGCCCCATGTCGCAGCCATTCATTCCCTGGAGGGTGTGAGACCCTAGCCGGTCCCCGCAGTCAGCCCCGCCCAGCTAGCCCCGCCCCCTCCCCGCCCAACCCGCGGGGATTTTGGCCTAAACTGAAAATGAACCTGGGTAAAGGCGCCTGGGACTCTCCCGGGTGGAGGGTCTGGGCGGGTCCCGCTGCCTCGGGGTAGATTTCGGATCCGGAGACTCTGAGGGACCCGGGCGGTCCGTGGCGGATGGCGGGTGGTCGTGACCTGCGCCCCCGGCCGGGGTCACTCACCAGCCTCGCTCTGGTTGTAGCGGCGGAGCAGGTTCCTCAGGGCCACTCGGTCAGTCTGTGCGTTGGCCTTGGCGTACCCTGTGGTCCACTCCCAATACTGCGGCCCCTCTTGCTCCACCCACGGCTCCCGCGGCTCCATCCTCGGAATCGCGGCGTCGCTGTCGAACCGCAGGAATTGCGTGTCGTCTACGTACTCCACGGCGATGTAGCGGGGCTCCCCGCGGCCGGGCCGCGACACAGCGGTGCTGAAATACCTCAAGGAGTGGGAGCCTGGGGGCGAGGAGGGGCTGAGACCCGCCAGACCCTCCTCCGGGCGCGGCTCCCTGAGTCCTGCGCCCCCACCGGGCGGGCCCCTCACTCCTCCCCACAGAGGCCGTTTCTCTCTGGACCCCGCACTCACCTGCCCAAGTATCGGTCAGGGCCAGGGCCCCTGAGAGCAGCAGGAGGAGGCTTCGGGGCGCCATGACCCCAACCTCCGCGTCTGGGAAAAATATGAGTCCCGCGGGGTGCGTGGGACTTTAGAACCTGGGAACTGCGGCGACACTGATTGGCTTCTCTAGAAACCCGACGCCCAATGGGAGTGAGAAATGGGGCCGCGTTATGAGTAACCAGGAAGAAGGACCTGACACGGGTTGGGAGAGAAAGAGAAACTCTGGGGAGATGGGGAATTCTCAATACTGAGCCTCCCAACCCCAGACACCGCCTCGGGGCCTGAGCCCTTGAGAGCCACTCCTGGGGCCCTGGGACTTTGCCCTCCCCCTCCCCCTCCCCCTCCTGTGCAGGGTGTGTCTCAATGTCTCCCTGAGTCTTCGCCCGGGGGCTGAGAAACCAGGGAGAAACCTTCGGCATGGACCCAGTCCATCTCCCTTCATTATTCATTCCGAAATCCCAGTCCCTTGATTGAACTTTCTGCCTCCCATTCCATACCTGGACTCCCCGGACTCTTTTGGAAGAAAATTCACCCCAAGGAGCTTGGTGCCAGACAATGAACTTGTCCTGAGAATGAAGGTGTAGAGACAGTTTCTTCTTCTTCTTCTTCTTCTCCTTCTCCTTCTCCTTCTCCTCCTTCTTTCCTCCTCCTCCTGCTCCTCCCCGCCCCCCTCCTCTTCTTCTCTGGAAAAGTTGTACCTGAGCATATGAAATAGGACAGAGACCAGTTTCTTTCTTTCTTTTTTTTTTATTAGCTGCAGTGAGTAGTAGAATCTTGGTAACCCCTGAATTATCAGGAACCTTTTTTTTTTTTTTTTTTTTGAGACGGAGTCTCTCTGCCGCCCAGGCTGGAGTGCAGTGGCGCGATCTCGGCTCACTGCAAGCTCTGCCTCCCGGGTTCACGCCATTCTTCTGCTTCAGCCTCCCGAGTAGCTGAGACTACAGATGCCCGCCACCACGCCCGGCTAATTTTTTTGTAGAGACGGGTTTCACTGTGTTAGCCAGGATGGTCTCGATCTCCTGACCTCGTGATCCTCCCGCCTCGGCCTCCCAAAGTGCTGCGATTACAGGCATGAGCCACCGCGCCCGACCGATCAGGAATCTTATGTGTAAAAAATGTTACTTTGGCCCCTTGATATATAAATATGTCTAAATGCATTACAGTTGTACAACTCTCAGAGCTCCTAAGTTTTGCTTTCCCAGACTATGTATCTGTGACTCTTGTTGTATTCTAAAATTACCTTCATTCCATAGCCCTGAGTTTCTGTGGGAGTCCAGGACATCTCCTGACAATACAAAGTAGCACAACGTGTGATTGTATATTGCAACCAGGAGCCAATACATTCATTCACCTCAAAGTTGCAAGTGTTCAACGCAGTCACAATGCCCCTCACCAGTGCTAATGCACTTCCTGTTTTTAGGAAGTATCCGCATCCTAAGTGGTGTGCATGTTTTATTGGAACACTTAGTATTTTTTTAAACCTGAAAAAAAGCAGAAAAAGCAATTAATTTTTAGGCAGTCCCACATACGGTGTTAAAGGCCAAATGCAAGGAACACCCTGCTAGGCTCTGTAGATGGATGTATTACAAATTTATAAAACAATGTGTTTAAAGCTAAGAATTCTGCTGCTTTCAAATTCTGTCCCTCTGCTCCTTCTCCTCACCTCCTGCTTCTCCAGCCCTTCCCTCCGTCCCTCTCATCCCTCAGGCCCTCCTCTTCCCTTAGTCCCCACCACTCTGTCACTCCTGAATAGTGGCTCTAGCACTGTTCCATTACCTGCCACCTGAGTGTTCTCTCCACAGTGGTCCTGCTACTGTGAGTCAAAGTGTGTCGTTTCTTCACCTAAAACACTCCAGTGGCTCCACTTCGCTCTTGTGAAGCTTCTAGAATGTCAGGCACTTGAGCATATGAGGGCAAACCTGGTTCAGCATAGGCACTAAATTAATTTTTGTTGACTAGTTGAATGAAATATGATTGTATAAAAATTTAATAGCATCATGGAATATTATAAAATGAAAAATACTGGAAAAAGGAAATATTTTATTTTACTCATGTAGTGTGCTTATCAATTTATAAATTCATTCCATGTGTCTGTTGAGTCTGTGTATGACTTTTATATGACTGCATAACAAATTACCACAAACATTGGCTTTAAACAACACCCATTTATTGTATTTATTTATTTATTTTTAGAGACATGGTCTCCCTCTGTTATCCAGGGTGAAGTGCAGTTGTATGATCATGGTTCCTTGCAACCTCAAACTCCTGGCCTCTAGAGGTCCCCCTGCCTCAGTGTCTGGAGTAGCTGGGACTACAGGCAAGTACCACCGTGCTCAGGTAAATTAAAAAAAAAAAAATTCCTTTTTGTAGAGAGGAAGGTCTCCTCAAATTGCCCAGGCTAGTCTCACTCCTGGCTGCAAGTAATCCTCCTGTGTCATTCCCACAAACCTTAGGATTACAGGCATGAGCTACCACGCTTGACCAAACAACACTTATTTATTTATTTACAGTTCCTTAGTCAGAAATCTGAGCATGATTGGAGGGTTCTCTGTTTAGGGTTTCCCAAAACTGTGTTTTCATTTTGAGGGCCTCCTTCAGGCTTATACAGAGGCGACAGAATTCAGTTTCTGCCCGTTGTAGGACTAAGGTTCCTGTTCCTTGCCTACTGTCAAGGTAGAGAGAGGCTGCTCTCAATTCCTGGTGCCCACCAGCATTCTTTGCCACACAGCCCCTTCATTTTTAGAATCCACATTGGAGGAACCCCCTCACACTGAATCCCTCTCACACTGTGAATCTCTCTGATCAGGAAGAACCCAGTCCTTTCAGGGGCTCCCCAGATGAGGACAGCCCGACCAGGGATAATCCCTGTCTTAAAGTCAATTGATTTAGGACCTTAATTATATATGCAAAAATCCCTTCAAGGCAGGACTTACATTACTGTTGGTTGAATAACTGGGGTCAGGTGAATGACCAAGGTTACACGTCTATCATGGGGGGGATGATAGAATCAGCCTAGCATGGCTTGGGTCTTTCTTTTGAGTTTAATTGGGACACAGTTGGAAATTGAAGTTCAAATAAAGCAATAATTGTGAATGATAATAAAATACATCCTATTTAGCCATGGAAATTCCTCTTACCTCTTAAAACCAAATGACATGTTTAATATTTTATAATTAATTTAGGTTGGGTGTGGTGGTGGCTCATGCCTGTAATCCCAGCACTTTTGGAGGTGGAGTCAGGCAGAGAGCTTGATTTCATGAGTTCGAGATCAGCCTAGGCAGCATGGCAAAACCCTTGTCTCTACCAAAAATACAAAAATTTTAGCCAGGCATGGTGGTGCATGTCTGTACTGCCAGCTACTCAGACAGCTGAGGTGGGAAGATCACATGAGCCTAGGAGGTAGAGGCTGCAGTGAGCTGTCCTCCTGCCACAGCACTGCAGCCTGAGTGACAGAGCAAGACCCTGTCTCAATAATAATGACAATAACAATAACACTAATAAATTTAGAGCAAGTGAAAATTAAAGTGCAACTATTCATCCTCTCTTGTGAAGCTGTATTTTTTTTTACTGTTACATTACAAATTACTGAAAATGTAACAGCTCAAAGCAACAAATATTTATCATCTCCCACAGTTTCCAATGCTCAGGAATCCAGGAGAGGTTTCCCTGAGTGTTTCTGGCTCAGGGCCTCTCACAAGGTTGCAGTCCAGTTGTCAGCCAGGGCTGCATCATCTGAGGGCTCAACTGGGCTGGGGATTTGCATGAAAAATGGCTCACTCACATGGCTATTGGAAAAGGCCTCAGTTCCTTGTTGTCTGGTCCCGGGAGGCCTCGGTCCTAGCCACATGGACCTTTCCACAGGTCTGCTTATGACACAGCAGCTGGCTTCCCCCAGAGTTCATGATCCCAGAGACAGAGAGAGCAAAGGTAGAAGCTACGGTAAGTTTTTTGTTCTACACCAACAGTCACTCCATCAGATAGAAGTGAATCATTAAGTCCAGGCCACACTCACAGGGAGGGAATGAACCTGCACCTCTGCAAAGTGGAGAGTATCAAAGAATTTGCATATATGTTAAAAGCAAAATTAAAATTATTGTTTCAGAATTTTATAAATCCAAAGCTGCTTTCATCTGATTATAATTCTTTAATGCTTTAAACTTCTCTTTTTAAAGTAATGATTAAAATTTGAGACATCACAGAGCCTTGGGTATTGAGGGGAAAAAAGTTTGAGACAGAGAAAGGAGATACTATAGTATCTCTAAGTTTTTCTTGCAAATACCTTTAATAACAATATTCTCTTTAATGAGTTGCAACACAGCTGAGAACTTACAGTAACTAGATCAAATAGTTCCAAGACTTCAGTGCCATAACAATAGTGCCTTAAAAATAAGTATTTGTTTTGCCTAAGATGTCTCAAATTTAGTTTAAGAATGTCCCAAATGCCAATTTTCTCATTCAAATATCATCTTTAAAAATATTTGCCAAATCAGATTGCTTTTAAGGTAGAAAAAATGTGAATCTCATACCTCAGCCAACACATCTAGCTTAGCATGATGTCAGTAACTTTGGTTGGATACAGTAGCCCAAAATGCTTAGCTCCAACTTAGGAACAAGATTTTCCAAAAACTGGCTACTGGGTGGGCATTCCATAATAAACTTGACATCTTTCGCTCTGGTTTTTAATGAGACGTGGTAGACATGATTTGGACATCACTATGATTCTAAATAGCACTGCTATTCTGTACTTCTACAGTATTTTTTAAGCAATCCTATTGTGTTTTCCATTCCTATTTGCTATTCTATCACTGGTTATTCCTATATAATTTTTTCCTGTTTAATTTATTTTGATCAGTAATGTGCATTTCCAATTCTGTAAAAGTTTAATTCAGGTGTGTGTGTGGTAGAATGTAACATCGAATCCTTTGCAAGATGGAATTACCTTGCACATCAGACCGAACATTGTACACCGAAAATCTATGGAGATGTCAATGAGCCAAGGATCAAATGACCTATTTCTGGTCAAGGCCACTTTCATAGCATTCTGGCTCTCTCCATCACATGGATCATTACAATTGGCTTTGGTCCAATGTGAATAGTTCTTGGTAAGAATTATTGTAATGGCAAAAACTGCAATTATTTTTGCATCAGCCTGTAAGAGTTCAAAGTCACTGTCTTGGCCGCAGAATTACACCAGGCACTTTTTACTCAGACTCTGTTAATAACTTCCTGTTCTTTACTTGTATCCCATACACTGTGGCATTAAACTTTTAACATACAGATTCAGAAAATGCTTCCTTATATCATAACCACATAGGGTTATTTTATATGTTAGGAATATTTCATGAGAAGTAGGAAAAAATGGTGGGAAGGAAAAGAAAAATCAAGAAGAGAATAGGTGGAGAGAAACGGGAAACATTATGTATGGATAATATTATAAAAATAGAAGGAAATAAATCAGATGTAGATAACCACTATGGAATAATCGAAACATAAGAGAGGTTTATTAGCTATCTGTTGCTGTGTAACAAACTACCCCAAGACTTAGTGACTTAAAACAGTGAACATCAATTTACTCAAAGAAAACAACACAAATACCAGCAAAACTGGAGCAGGTGGAAGAAGTTGGATAATAAAAAGGATTTTACAAACTGGAAAAGTAAGAGGTCACTGGTGTGTAAATGGAAATGATTTTGTTGGTCCATGTTCTCCAAGAAGCAGATGACATGAGATTAAAGTTGCAGTATTTTATTAGAGGACTCACCTGCCAGAAAATATGGGAAAAGATCCAGGAAACCCTGGGAGAGACAGCAGACTGAGATGCAAGCGTGACCCCCAAGTGAGGGACAGGAGAGGAGGTTTGTTGGACACATCCTAGACCACAGGCAATCTAAGGAGAGTTGAGCAAGGCCATAGAGGAGTCCTCTAGCCACAGTTGGCCCTTGTCTTCCAGACATAGGCCTCCCTTAGTGTCCCTCTTGTCACCCATCACTGGTTGGGAACAGCCCATGGGAAGCAGGGTGTCTGCACCAATGCTGCTGAGGATGTCAGAGCACAGGAGCAGGGCCTTGGGAGATTATCTGGGAGCATGGTTCAAATCTTCCTTCCTGAGGTTTCTGGGCCCTTGGAAATCAAATTCCCTCAGGATTGGTTGCTGGACAATTCCACTAACACTTACAATGGGACAAGGGGAACCAGGAGACCCCTCAAGTGGATCACTGGGTTCCACACACATTCCTCCTGCCCTCATTGTGACAGCAGCCCAACCTCCTCCTGGAGATTAGGATCTATTACCTGTGCCTGGAGAGGAGGGGACTCCTCACTTGCTGGTCTCTGGGCACATACTGTCCAAATCTCTCTGGGGGCAATAGTAATGTGTTCTTCAGTAGGCTCTCATTTGTCCTGATTTAAGAGTACCTTCCTTTAGAATCCAGGACCTTCTACCCTGCAGAGCACAGGTTTGGGAGATGAGAAGTGCAAAATCCCACAGCAGGTGAATCTAAGGAATGAGACATGGAGCCATACCCACTTTCACTCCTTAGTTTCTGGACCCACATGTTCTTCCTACTGAGAACACGGCACTGTAGAGATGTCTCTGATTTAATAAATGCACCATGTCCCGAAAGACAGCACCCACCCCTCAGAGTGCTTCCTCCAGGCTGGCACTGAGTTGTGCCTGTAGAAGACCTGTCCAGCATTCTTAGTGGCTGGCAGACCCTGGGTGGTGCAGATGGTGATAGAACCAGTGGATCCCATGGCCATGAAAATGCTGCACCTGCTTCCCTGTCAAGTGGGTTCCACCAGGAAGACAGTGTGCTAAGAGCAATGCCATGCCTGTGAATCAGGAATGTCAACAGTCCCTGGAGAGTGGTGCTGACTGAGGGTCTGAGAGCAGGACAGGAAAACCCACTCATGGAATGGTGCCTAACCCTGTAAAGATGAACCTCTGGCCCTTCCAGAATGGAAGTGGCTCAACTAATCACTTAGCAGCGAGTGTTGCTTTAGTCACCTAAAGAAATATAGCCCCACTGAGGCACATCATTGGCCTCAAATGCTAATGAGTTGGACATTCAGAGGTGGCAGCAGCTGGATCTGTCTTGGTAGGTGGTAGTCAGTGCTTCTGGACCCATATTTAGCCTCATTCCTGCCACTGTGCTTGCTCCATTCATGAACTCATCCTGCCAGGCCTGGGCTGCCCGATGGTGAGGGCTGGCTAACTTCAATTTGTCTGCTTGGTTGTTTAGTGCCACTTCAGGTTTGGATGTTTTCTGGAGGTGTCAACATAGGATTCATGCTCAATCCAGATGGACCATTTCTATCTCATGATGGATGCTTTGGGGTCTGTCCGATCTATGACTTTCTGAGTTACAGAAGCCAATTCATATGGGCATTTGAAATCACATGGTTGTTTGATGTCCCATGGCAAGGATTCTATCTTATCAAGGCCAGTAACATACCAAAAGTTGCTTCTAACAGGGGCATATGTCTCTGCTGTGGATGACATGGCCTTACTCCAGAATCCCAGGCCCTCCGTGTGACTCCCCCACTGGTGCTTGTTTCAGCTCCATCCTGCATCTTTCCCCACGACTGACACCTCTAGGTGGGTCTGAGGGATGGCGCTGCCTCATGGCCTGAATCTGCCAGTGTCCTTTCCTCAGCAGGCCTAATTGAAGCAAGTCCCCTCCTATTTCTCCTAGAGTGTAGGTCAAAGCAATAGATGTGGGATGTGGTGTTGTCAGAATTCAAAGAGGCTCACCAGGCAGTGTGCTTCCTTCCTTGTAGTGAGGATGCAAGATGCAACACTTTGTCTTTTACTGTGGAGGAGAAACTCCTGGATGTCCTGAACCACTGGATGAATAAAACTTCACCACAGTGGCCACTCCTGAATCTCTGTGTGGTTTATCTTCCATCTGCTGGAGAGCACGTGTTTTGCCAAGGCCTTCAGCATACTTCCCATCTCCTACTCATCCATCCTAGTCAACATGATGTTGTTGATGAAATAAGCTGATTTACCATTCTATAGGATGCCAGGTTCTTCAGATCTCTTAAGACTATACTATAGAGGGCAGGTCAGTTACAATAACCCTGAGGCCAATTATCAATAAATGTGTTGTGGATCCCACATGAATCACTTCATGTATAGTTTTTCTCATTGGAATGGAAAGGAATGCACTCACCAAATCCACAGCTGCACACTTTGTGCCTGAGGCCTTATCAATCTGCTCTACCAGTGATATCCAGCCAGCATGGCAGCTGCAATTATGACTCCTACTTTTTCAAGTCTGAAGTAATCTCATTCATTCTTTAGGCCCCATCAGGCTTCCTTGGGGACAGATTGCTGGATTACGTGAAGATAACAGGCAACTCCAACAGCACCCCTCATCCTTCAGCTCTCTAATGGTGGTGCTACACCTAAAATACCTACAGTACCTTTCATAAGACTCACCCTGGGACTCAATATCATTTTTTATTTGGCCAGGATGAAGTCAGTTGCAGAGGTTTCCCTTTGGCTTTCAGACAATGACAGCCCTTATTCCAGAGACTTGGGACCCAATGTGGGGGTTACTCCAGCTGCCAGGGCATCAATGCCAATTACACACTTGGAGAATGGGGAGATAAACAGGGCTGGGTCTGTGGACCCAGTAGTCCCTTTGTGATGTGTCCAGATTTATTCCCAGCTTCTGTAAGCCCCACTGTGGTAGGGACATAATGGTGCTGTAGGCCTGTAGGCATCAATATCAGCTCACACCCAATGTCAACACTCCCCCAAATTCTGCCTGTTTCCCTTTCCTAGTGTACAGTCCCCTGAGTAAATGACTGTAGGCTCCTTTGCAGAAAGACAGAGGGAATTGTTCCAGCATATACTTGCCATGAGGTTTCAGGGTCCTTCCTCCTGGAATAGGGACTCCTTCTCTGTAACTGGGATCTGAATCTGAAACTTGGTTGACGTTTAGGAATTGAGAATGGGATCATGACTTTGTATTGAGTTAAACACCCTCAGCCCCCTGCTCATCAATTCTTGCTTTCTCATCACAGATGTCAAGCAGTGCCCTTGTTGGCTGCTGCCTGTTCTGACACCACCGTCTATTAACCTTCCCCACAACTCCCTGCAGATCAAGCTGCCTCAGCTGCTCCTCTGAGATTGTCAAGTTAACCGTGCCCTCTGGCTTTTGCAGGCCACTGTCACCATTTAGTTCTCTGCCTTTTCAAGGCCACACTTTCCTCAGGAATATCAATGAGCCCAACTATAGGACCTCCTTCCTGCCATCACACCCAGCCTGCAGAGGACACCACCCCGACGCTTCTTAGCCATGCAAGTCCCTCTCACCGGCACATTCCTGAGGCTCTGGTGGAAGTTGTGCCCTATGGGTCCTCTGTGGAGCATGGCCCTAGTGGGCATTCTGGTTCACATGATGTCTCCATCCCACACACCCACTTCCCTCAGCCTCATTGTCCATCCTCTACATGTTCCAGGACAACTAAGTCATGTCTAACTTACTGAGAGTTGGACATCATTTTTTCCAGTCTACATGGGTCCACCCCAGCAGTGGGTTTGCCCCATGCCCTGAGGTCCTTGATAAACCCATACCCTGAGAAAGTGCTCCCAAGCCAAAGGTGTTTTTTTTTAATTTATCCAGCTTGATTCTGGCCCTTTGATCAAACACCCTTAAATTCCAATCCCAGAACTGCTCCTCAGGCTCCTAAGGGGACATAACGGCTGTTACTGCAAAGCTCCTGAGTGGAATTCCCACTGCATCATAGGGGTGAGGTTTCTGCAGCATCTTCCAGTGTAGGAAGTGGGAACCATTACTAGAGAAGGGCGAGCCTCCTCTGCATGCCCAGAGAGTTCTAAAGGGCACCCATAGGATAACCCTGTTCCAGTTTGCAGAATCTTAGGTTTCCGCACCAAGGCCTTGACTTTCCCACAGCAGGTCTGCCTCTGATGAGTGTCCAAACATCTCTGTAGTACTGTGACTTTTAAAATGATGTCATCAGCTATCATTCCACTCTGCAAGGGGAGAGGGGCAGATGCCCCTCCTCGGTCTGTCTCCACCAGGCCCTGTGAGGGTGGGTGGAGGCTCTCTCCAAGCCCTCGTTTGGCCCCACCCCAGCATGTCTCCAGGTTCCTCTCAGCCCTGGTTCCTTTTGGCCCTGCAGTCACAATGGGCAACACTGTGACGCACCCTGTCCTGTGTCACAGTGTCATACACTCAGGCTCACATTGCCCCTAGGCCACTTGCCAGCCAAGGGACATGGCCACATTTTGTGTCTTCTGCACCTCAGCCTTGCTTTCAAGTGCAGGTGATGATGGCACCCACGCAGAACAAATGTTATTTGCTATCTTCGTCGAGTTTAGTCATCCAATTTTCCAACCCTCACTGGGCAAGGAAGAGTGTGGTTTCCACCAGAAGGCAGGATGTCAGCAGTCACAGGGGCAACCAACAGGGAAAGCCACTGGAAAATAGACCCCACAGGAAGCACAGGTGTCCAGTGGAGATGGGAACCCTGCAGATTTGACCGTCTTTAAGCAGATTAGAGAGATTACCATTACTAACAACTTAGCCATAAAAGTTTATTAGCTATTTTCAAAAAGCATAAAATTATGTAATATAATTTTTTTTTAATTTCCATCAATACAAAACTAATCTGGGCACTGCAACTTCTGGTGGGCAACTGGGATAGGCGGCATCATCAGGAAGGCGAGCCCTGCTGTGCCCCATGTGCCAGTGCCCCAGATGGCGGCAGCCTCCCCAGAAGCACCTTGTATCTCCCCTGCACAGGGCCAGGGTCCCAGCTTCCCATACACCTTCTCCTGCTTTTTCTTTTCTGTCCTTTCCTTTTTCAATAAACCACCTGCAAAAAGGAAAAACCATTCTGAGGACAAGAAACATGTCAATGGGAAATACACAGTTGCCAGAGGGTAAAAGGCCCTGTTCATTCTCATTGAAAAGCTCAGGTATTTCTGTTAAAGTCTCTCCTTTTACTTTAGGATGCTGACTCCTGCGTCCATCTCAACCTGGGCATCGTGCCACCACCTTCAAGAAGAGAAAAACTAAGTAGTGCTTTGCAAAGGGGCAGCAGCATTTCTCATTTCTGACCATGTCAGGCACACGGCCATGCAGATGAGCAGGTGGGGGACACAGGTGAGTCTCCAGACCTGCTCTCCTCCCACAGTACATTCTTGAGTCTTTTTAAACAGTTGTGAAAATGCCACAGATGCAAGCACCTGTGGGCCACTCCCATGGGGACCGTTGCACAAGGCAGTGCCACTCATTCTCAGAACCTCCTACCATGGGCTATGCTTAGTGACCCGAGGCCAAGCCAAGGAAGACGCCAGCCACAGGGTGCCATCCTCAGGGGCATGCTGCCAGCAGGGGCAAAGTTATCCCTAGCAACAAGATACAGAAAGAAAGAAAAAAGGAAGGAAATGTAGCCAATGGGCCGGTTCAGGTTCTTGACTTTGCCACACAAAAGAATTTGAGAGCAAGTCCAAAGTAAAAGTCAGCAAGAGAATTTATTGCAAAGTGAAAGTACACTCTGACAGCTGATCAGAGCAGCTGCTCAAAAGAGAGACAGTACCCTCCCCTCACGGGAGTCTTACATGATTATTCATGAATAGGTGGGAAGGGGTATTGTTTTAAGCATGTTCTGTGGTCTCTTGAACGTGCATGCACTGTGGTTGTACATATCAGCACACACATCTTACGTCTCATTAGCATCTTAACTTCCCTCTCAGAGTTGTGTTTGCTACTATTGTAATGAGCATAGGTCAGCCCAAGGACGCTATTCATGGGTTTCTGGGCTTCCTCAGATGTGGGGATGCCTCCCTTGGCTCTTCTACCTCTTTGCTGCAGGATGTTCTAACCACAAGCCCAGGATATGGTTTGCGCACTGTCGAACAGCTTGTTCTCTCCATCAACCTGACAAGTCTCTTGTTTCCTTTCAAGTGAGGCTGTGAACACCCTATCTCACTGACCTCAGAAGGACAGTACAGCAGTAGCCACCATGACCAAAAAGATGATTCCAGAAGTGCAGGACAACTCCCTACCCAGAGGCTGTGGCTGTGCAGTAACACACCAAGAGGGGAGTCCAGCTGGCTCTCAGGGTGCTCACTACCCTCATCTGGGGGCCTGGAGGACGTCAATTCCTGAGAACGCCACGTTCTAGTGAGTAGAATGAACTAAGAGATACACAGCAAAGCTCCACATACTTTTCCTTTTCTTTGTGCCCGCAGTGTTCTTCATCAGTGTGCTCTCGCTTTTCAGCTACTACTGTTGGCTGGCTGGAAAAAATAGAACAATAGTAAAAATTAGAGACCAGTCTTTGGTGATGAAGAGAAATATTGGCTACTTCCAGTATTTTCTAGCTTTGGTTATGGTTGCAGTTTTCCAGCTCACCTTGTGGGGATGAATTCAGAAAAAAGTTACAAATTGAAATGAACATGCCAGAAGTATTGGCTCAAATCAACGTTGTCCTATTAAGCCACTTAGTGAATCAAAAGACCGCTTGTTGGACTGTTAATCTCGGTGGCCAGAGAAAGGAGCTGAAGAAGGTGTTGCCAGATCAGGAACAAATAATTACAGCGGCAATAGAAAATGGAAGACCACTTGTTCATAACCATTTGAATAAGGGCAAGGTGTATGGAAACACATTATGAACTGATATTTTCAGTTTTGTTTGCAAGAAAATGATTAATAAGGTGAAATAATTGAAGTATCACGGAAGATACATTAAAAAAAAAAAAAAGCCTTTGTACAGTTTGCTGGAGCCACAGATGTCCTACTCCAGAGCAGAACAATGCCTGAATCTTCAGGGTCCATTTGTGCCGCATTCACTAGCAACCACAAATGTGACTTAATTTTACTTTGGAAATAATGCTTACCTATTGTGAGATGCTGTAATATGAACCATCATTACATGTTAACATGGCACATGGAATTTTGAGTGTCTAAGTTACATTTTTAGAGTTGTTTCTTAGTAGCCATGTGAGTTTCCACTCCAAAAACACAAGCTAAAAACTTGTTTTGAGTGAAGGACATCTAGGGCAAATGGTGGCTGAAAGTGAATGAGATCCCAATTACTCTTTCTTGTACTGTATAAGGAAAAGAAAATAAGTGCTTTTCTTGTTGGGTGTTTGCTAATTTATAATTACCGTTTTATGCTTTTCAACATTTTTAATAAAGTTTTTTATTGTTGGCTATAAACGTTTTAAAAGGATTCTCTTCCTCTAGAATCACTCTAAGTACCAAAATCTGTATTATTCTGGATTCATCAGAGAAACAGAACCAATAAGGGGTGTGTGTGTGTGTGTGTGTGTGTGTGTGTGTGTGTGTATGTGTGTGTTTTATTCGTGTTATGAAACTGACTCATGCAATTATTACGGTGGCAAGTGTGAAATCTGTAGGATACGCCAGCAGGCTGAAAATGCAGACAGAAGTTGATATGGTAGTCTTAAGACAGAATTTCTTCTTTTCTGGGAAACTGTAGTTTCTGCTCTTAAAGCCTTCTACTGATTGGATGAGGTCCATCTACATTATTGAGGGTAATTTCCTTTTCATAAAGTCAACTGATTGTAAATGTTAACCACATGTACTAAATATCTTCACAGCAACATCTAGATTAGGTTTTGATTAAATGACTGGGTACTATGTCCTAGCCAAGTTTATTGGCATTGACTCTGGGTCAAGGCACCGTGTCTCCCTCCCATCGAGTTTTCCATCATCTACACGAGACCTAGATGACTACTTTGATATCTACTGCAGGCCACAGCCTTGTCAAAGCCAGCCCCAGCTGAAATGCACTCACCTGCATTCCCACACAATTTTACATACAATTCGGGGGAGGTTATGGGATCTATGAAGACCAAGGGTCTGTGGTCCTGTGACACTTTCTCTCAGAGGGTGAAGAAGGAGTTCCTTGGGGCAGCAACTCCCCAGGGGTCTCCTGCCTGCCTCTCCTCCCCTCTCAGCCCCAATCCTCTTTCCTGCTGTTGATCATCATGCAGTTTTTAAATCCCTACTCCCTGCCCCACCAAGGTTGGGCTCTAGGACCTGCCTATTGGGAACCTGCGGTTGGGAGAAAGTATGAAGTGACCCACCTGAATTTAGAGGAGGGAAGTGAGGAATTTGGAGACATCTAAAAACATTTTGTCCCTGTGGTTTGACTTCAAATTATTATCTATTTTTATTGGAGATTTGTTTGAAATTATAACCGGTATCTCATGATTATTCAGCATATGCCATGCCCCCTGGTAACCCTGGTTCTTATTTTTTTAAACTTGTACAAATATTTTAAGCAAACACAGAAGTAGACAGAAGAGTAAAGTGACCTTCACTGTACCCTTCACTCAGTAACACCCACTCTTGATTTATCTACATCCTCAACCATAGCCCAACACCAGGTTATTTTCAACTAAATCCTAGACAATATATTATTTCACATGTTAGCAATTTTCTTTTGAAGGTGCCAATGTTCAGCTTCTTTAAAAAGAGAAACAGAGACGGGCAGGAGAAGGATTGAACTGACAAAATATATTTTCAAATGCAATTAAGGCAGAGGACAATGCAGGAACCCTTGAGTCCCGTTTTAACTGAATGCTCAGCACCTCTTAGATTCTCAATAAAAGAAAGCAGCAGCCCAGAGCCAAGGAGCCCAGGGAGGCACATCATGGTTTGATTTTGTGACTGTTTTCAGGGCAGTATCTGTCATCTCTGAATGGTTACACTGGACATTTCTATTCCCACCCTTGCAATGGGACTCCCCAGCTCAGAGAAAGGGAAATTATCACCCATTCTCATTTATACCTTTAATGCCTTCATCCATTCCCTTGGTCCTGACTTTCCGGTTGGAGGAGGGGGAGGAAAAGCAGAGGCACGAAATTGAAATGTCTTCTCTGCCATCTGCTGGGGATATGCTTGAATAACAGGAAAGGCCTACATAAAAGATATGCAGCGAGGAATAGAGGTTCCTTTTCCTGTTTCCTTCAGGAAATTTCCCCTAGGGCAGACAGAGCAAGAGCGATGGACAGAGGAATGGGAGCAGGACCCAGGGGGAGGTCTGGTCATATGTGTGCCTTTCTGCCTCCCCGTCTGTCATTGTCCTTCCTCACCAGGCCTGCAGACCACCTGCGATGACCTGGCCTCTTGCCATCCCTAGCTGGGCCAAAATTCCATCACAGGGACACACAGGATGGCAGAAGCGCAAGGCCTCATACCCGCTGGGGCAGCCTCCTGGAGATGGCCTCAGAAGGGCTTCTGGGAGCTTCTTTAAAACCTGCACTACAGGCACCAATTTCCCCAGTTATCCCATCCTTAAGTGAAAAATCAACCACAGAGATGATTTATTGTAATAGCCTTATTTCAGTACAAGCAGACGAAAAGTGTTTCTCTTCACTGGCCCGTTAGTTACAATGGGGAGGGGTCACTGAGTGAGCAGCGGGTGGTGGCAGTGACGACCACACCCTCTCACTGCGGCCCAACACTTTTGAGACAAGTTCCCACCTCTCCATTAGACGTGTCTTCTCCACATGCAGAAAATGTGGTCTCGTAGCTTCCCTTCTCAGTGCTGGATTGCTGGCATTTCTTTTCTTTATCAGAGACATGAATATCTTTTTTCTTTATGGATTTCTAAGACTTCAGGGTTTTTCAGGGAGAAGTTGCTTAAGGAGGCTCCTGCGTGGACCGAGTCCTTCCTGAGGGTTTGCTGGATGCCCCCGGACACTGTGCAGCTGTGTCCTCCGGGGTCCCTAAAGCTGGCACGTTCTGCTGTGTACCCAGAGGTGGGGACAGATGCTGCCAGCTCCACCTTACAGCTGCTACATGAAATTTGAGGTCAGAGAATTCTCTTGTCTTTAAGGGCACCCACATTTGCCTTCTTCGATGTTTCAGGAAATCATAACTGAATTTAGAAAGGTTCCCTTTTCAGTTTACTCTCTGGAAGGAAATATACTGAAAATTCAGTTTATTTTCAGGTATTGAATAGAATTGAAAAGTCAAACTGTCAGTTTGCTTGCAGTGCACACAGAGAAATTGAGTGTTCCAAGCCATTGGGACATTTCTAGAAATCCATCCTTTTCCAGTAGGACATGAGTAAAGTCAGTGAGGAGCGAACCTGCAGTCCACGGGCACCTCCAGGATTGTGGGAGGAGACGCACATGTCTTTCTGATGTGTGGAGTCCTGAGGACAGAGGCTGAGACCCTGCATTTCCCAAAGTACTTGTTTTCTAAGCAAGTGTTTCTGCTACTTGAAATAAACTTGGGGGTGTGGAAGCCACCTTGCAACCAACCAAACACAGGTGAGAAAATGAATATGAAGTGTTCTGGGAGAAAGCAGAAAACCCCATTGCCATCATGTTTCCTTATTTTTACAATTCTCTTAAACAACGTGCCTAAGGTTATAACCCCTCCCGTTTGTAACAACTTCTAAATTGAAAGGGCATTAGTAAGTGTGGATACAGAATAAATGCTGAAAATCAGTGCTTTATTCAAAGTAGCGATAGAGTCTCCCAGGTGTCAATAGAGAGGTGGGCCAGGGACTTTTCCCAGTGACCAGAAACAAGAGCCTCAGGGAGATGAGGATGTCTCACAGCCAGGGACGGGACAGTGAAGGGCATCCCAGGACGGGAGTGCATCCCAGGGGTCTGTTCCTGTTTAGACTCCAATGCTCAGCACCCAGTGCGGCACGTGGCAAGACCTCAGCAAATATGTCAGTTGGCTGGATGAAGGAGGGCAGGTGTGAGCCAAAAAAAGATTTTTGCTGGGGCATAAATGTAAAAGTGTTGATGAACCTACCTTGCAAGGAGATAGAAAGGTGGATGGGTGGATGGGTGGATGGGTAGATGGATGGATGGATGGATGGATAGATGGATGGATGGATGGATGGATATTCATTTTCTCTATGTGTGTGTGTACGTGTGTATCTATCTCTGTCTGTCTCTCTGCTCTTTCTCTCCATTTGCCATTGTTCCTTCACAATCATGATTTCACTAACTTTTTTTTTTTTTCTTTGAGACAGAGTCTCACTCTGTCGCCCAGGCTGGAGTGCAATGTCACAATCTCTGCTCACTGTAGCCTCCACCTCCCGGGTTCAAGCGATTATCCTGCCTCAGCCTCCTGAGTAGCTGGGATTATAGGCACATGCCACCACGCCCGGCTAAATTTTGTATTTTTATTTTGATTTTTTTTGTAGAGATGGGGTTTCACCATGTTGGCCAGGCTGGTCTCAAACTCCTGACCTTGTGATTCGCCCACCTCAGCCTTCCAAAGTGCATCAGTAACATCTTTTACCTGGTCTTACAGGACCTTGCCTGTCTATTCTATTCGTGGTCACAAGACAGAAAAAGAAAAGGAGTGTGTGGAAAACAAGATAAGGAAACATGCTTCTGATCTGGGGCAGTGGGGAGACAGGGGCTGCGCCTCACTGCAGAGTCCATCCTGCTGAACACAGAGGGGCAAAAGCGCCCAGACAGCCATACCTGTGCTGATCAGAAGGGAGGGCTGCGCCTCGCGATCCTTCTACCTGTGTCTTTCAGGCTTTGCTGTCTAGGTCCAAGTTACTGCTATGAAAAGAGATTTGAGAATTCCCAGAGGGGCCTTTCAGCCTCTTTCCATGGCTCTTCCTGCCCTTTCGAAAGCACAGCCAGAGACATCAGAAATGAAATTGTACATAATTCTTTTGGACTTTGATGCAATCTTTGGAAAGAATTTTTGTAAATGCCAAGCTACATTTTGGCAACCCCATCAAGAGTCAGGTGTGCCCAGGGCAGTCAACCCAGGCCCTGGACTCTCATTCTAGTTGGATTCTATGACAGCTATTTTGCCATAAGAATTCTAGAGCCAGATCTTGCTACACCACAATTGCCTCACGTTGCAAGACAAACAAATCTAACCTGAGTCCTGTGGATTCCAGAGGTGCTCAGGAGGAACCTCCGTCTCAGCGTGGTTGACCTCAGGTTCAGCCCCGTCTGCCCATTCAGCCCGCAGCCCCGTCCCGGAGAGCACTCAGAATCCGAGAGCAGCGCAGCGGCGCCCCCGTGTGGCCACAGGGCCGAGGACAGAGACCCCGCTCCCCTTTCTCCCTAGCCAGGACCTCCCAGGCTCTCCTGTTCCCAGCACCTGGACAGGGCTCTGCATACAAGGGGGTTCCCGATCTCAAGTCAGGCTCTGAGTCCATCCAGCTTCCCAAAATCCATGTTGACACTGACGTTTCCTCCCACCACTGAGTGACTCTGGATTTTGGCTTTAGGGAAGAGATACCTCCAGGCCAAAACAGTGGGATCATATCTGGGGCTCATCCACCCCCAAACCATTGCTACCACATGACCTAGTCCCTCAGCCTCCAAAATGGGGCCTTGCCCTCCTGTCCCCTCCCTTGTTCCTGCTGCTGCTCCTGCAGGTGGAGGCTGCTCATCCCAGGAATCAGCCTGTGAGCTCCAAGCCTGGAGTCCGGGCCTGGGGCCTTGGTCCAGAGAGCAGAAGGGAGATGAAATGGATCATAAGAGAAGGGGGAGAGTGGAAGGAACCAGGGGGGAGAGAAAAACGAGAAGGGCCCTGTTAGAAGTTGTGTGTGCATGTGTGTGTGTGTGTGTGTAGATCAGGAGGGGGTTTCTAGGGACCTGGGGAAAGGAGAGCTAAGGGCAGGTGCTAAGGGGCCCAGCCCTGTTAATTCCAAGGTCCGGAATTAATTCCAGGATACTGCACTTCCTACAGTACCACTTTATGGCCATATCCAAGTCCAGCCCTGAGCAGCCTATGGTCACAGAAAATCGTGAGAATAATCAGAGAAAAATGACACGTTACATACATGAGAACAATTATGAGAATGACCAGTCCATGTGTTCATAATTTGTCATCAGAAACTATGGTGGTCAGAAGACAATGAAATGGCATTTTTTTGAGTGCTGTAAGAAAACAACCTAACTCAGAATTGCACATCCAGTAAAAATATTTTCAGGGAAGAAAAATGAAAAGGTGTCTCCAGATAAAATAAAACTAGGATAATTTGTTGCAAACATAACTCTACTGCAAGAAAAATACTGAAGGAGTTTCCCAGGTTGAAAGAAGTCATACCAGATGGTAACTTGAGTCTTCAGATAGGAGTGACCAACACTGGAAATGCCAAATATATGGTGGGAAGTTAAAGATGCTCTATTTTTTCTTAGTTTTTTTTTTATTAATTTTTTTTTGAGATGGAGTTTCGTTCTTGTTGCCCAGGCTGGAGTGCAATGGCACAATCTCCGCTCACTGCAACCTCTGCCTCCTGGGTTCAAGCGATTATCCTGCCTCAGCCTCCCGAGTAGCTGGGATTACAGGCATGCACCACCACGCCCAGCTAATTTTGTATTTTTAGTAGAGACGTGGTTTCTCCACGTTGGTTAGGCTGGTCTCGAACTCCCGACCTGAGGTGATCCACACGTCTTGGCCTCCCAAAGTGCTGGGATTACAGGCGTGAGCCACCGCGCCCAGCTTTTTCTTAGTTTTTTAAAAATACAAATGAACAACACTATCAACCGTCTTGATCTGACATTTACAGTCACTGTGTTCAACAGCTCCAGAATATATATTTTGTAAAGTGAATATGGTACATTCACTAACACAGGTCATATGTTGAGACATAAAACAAGTAACAACATATTTCAAAGGACTGAAATCATACAGAATATGTACTCTGACCAAAATAGATTTTATTGGAAATCAATAATAAGTTGTCTAGGGGCAAAAAAGTATTGAAAATTTTAAATCTTCCTTCTAAATAACCTACGGATCAAAGAAGAAAACATAAGGGAAGTTAGATAATATTTTCAACTGAATGATGATGAAAACATACCTTTCAAAATTATTAGATACTATTTCCAGTCTTTCTGCAAAGGACAGTGATCAAGAGAGTGTGGTATTGGCAAAAGGACAGACACATAGATCAACAGAACAGAATGGAGAGGCCAGAAATGGAAGGACAAAAATAGAGTCACTTGATTTTGAATACAAGTACAAAGGTCATCCAATGAAGAAGGGAATCTCCTTTCAATAATGATGCTGAAACAATTGGCATCCATCTACTTTGGGAGGCTGGGGCAGGTGGATCACTTGAGGTCAGGAGTTTGAGACTGGCTTGGCCAACATGGTGAAACCCTGCCTCTACTAAAGTTACAAAAATTAGCTGGTGTGGTGGCTCATGCCTGTAATCCCAGCTACTCGGGAGGCTGAGGTAGAAGAATCACTTGAACCTGGGAGGCAGAGGTTGCAGTGAGCAGAGATCACGCCATTGCACTCCAGCCTGGGCCACAGGGTAAGACTCAATCACAAAAAAAAAAAAAAAAAAAAAAAAAAACTTGACAATACTTCACACCTATAAAAAAGTAACTCAAAATGTATCATAGACTTAAAAATAATATGCACAGCCATAAAACTTCTGGAAGAATATAAAGGAGAAAATCTTAACCTTGAGTTTGAGTTTTTAGATAAAACACCAAAAATACAATCCATGAAAGAGAAAACAAATCAATTAGACTTTATCATAATTAATAGTTTTTGCTTTACAAAAACACTGGTAAGTGAATGAAAAGAAGACAAGGCACAGACTGGAAGAAAATACTTGTCAAAAAACTGGAAGTTATAGATGTGACAAAGGACTTGTAAAGATAATATGTGAACAAAATTAAAACACAATAATTGGGGAAAAAAATCTTGATTTTAGAAGTGGGTGAAAGATCTCAACAGACACCACCAAAGAAGATATATGGGTGGTAAATAATACTTGAAAATATGCTTAAGATCATCTGTCATTAGGGAAATGCCAACAGGGTGCAGTGGCTCATGCCTTCAATGCCAACACTTTGGTAGGCTAAGGCAGAAGGATCACTTGAGCCCAGGAGCTCAAGACCAGCCTGGGTAACATGGCGAGACAATGTCTCAACAAACAAACAAACAAACAAACAAACATTAACCAGGTGTGGTGGCATGCGCCAGTGATTCCAGCCACTTGGGAGAGTGAGACGGGAGGATTGCTTGAACCTGGGAGGTGGAGGCTGAAGTGAGCTGTGATCGCACCACTTTACTCCAGCCTGGGCAACAGAGTGAGACTCTGTCTCAAAAAACAAAACAAAACAGAACACCAAAACAAAGTACTGCTACACTATTAGAGTAGCTAAAATTTTTTAAACTTACAATAAAAAATGCTGAAAATATACAGAGCAACAAGAATTCCCACTCACTGCTAATGGGAATGGAAAACGGTAAAGCCACTTTGAAAGACAGTTTAGAAGTTTCTTATAAAGTTAAGGAGAGACTTACCATCAATCATGCTCTTAGGTATTTACCCAAGTTAATTCAAGGTTGATATCCACACAAAAACCTGTACATGAATATTTATAGCAGCTTTACATATGTTCACTAAAAACTGTAAACAACCAAGATATCTTTCAGCCATGCAAGACTAAGCAAACTGTGGTATAACCATATGGATCATAAGAAATGAGCTATTGTCAGGCCAGATGAGGTGGCTTACACCTGTAATCCCAGCACTTTGGGAGGCTGAGGCAGGTGGATCACCTGAGGTCAGGAGTTTGAGACCAGCCTGGGCAACATGGCAAAACTCCGTCTCTAGTAAAAATACAAAAAGAAAAAATTAGCTAGGCGTGGTGGCGAGCAACTGTAGTCCCAGCTCCTCGGGAGGCTGAGGCAGGAGAATCACTTGAACCTGGGAGGCAGAGGTTGGAGTGAGCCAAGACTGCATCATTGCACTCTAGTCTGGGCAACAGAGCAAGGATCTGTCTAAAAAAAAAAAAAAAGCTGTTGCCCTGGTGCAGTGGCTCATTTTGGGAGGCCAAGGTGGAAGGATCGATTGTGGCCAGGGTTCAAGACCAGTCTGGGCAACATACCGAGATGCTGTCTATGTTTATTTAAAAAAAAAAACAAATTGGCCAGGCGCAGTGGCTCACACCTGTAATCCCAGCACTCTGGGAGGCCGAGGCATGTGGATCACCTGAGGTCAGGAGTTCGAGACAAGCCTGGCCAACATGAAGAAACCCCGTCTCTACTAAAAATACAAAATTAGCCGGGAGTGGTGGCGCATGCCTGTAATCCCAGCTACTCAGGAAGCTGAAGCAGAAGAATCATTTGAACCTGGGAGGCAGAGGTTGCAGCGAGCTAATATCGCGCCATTGCACTCCAGCCTGGGCAACAAGGGCAAAACTCTGTCTCAAAAAAAAAAAAAAAAAAATATATATATATATATGTAAATAAGCTATTAATCCATACATCAATTAATCTTAAATGCGTTTTACCAGGTGAAAAAAATGTCAGACACAAAAGGCTTCATTTTATCTGACTCAATTCATATACCATTCTGGAAAAAGCAGATCTATGGGGACAGAAAACAGGTTAATGGTTATCAAAGGTTGGAGGGAGAAGGGATAAAGAACATTCAAAGGGAAATTTTTAGGATGAAGGAACTGTTGTAGATGGTACTAGGGTAGTGGATATATGATTCTATACATTTTTCAAAATCCAGGCTGGGTGTGGTTGCTCATGCCTGTAATCCCAGCACTTTGGGAGGCCGAGGCGGGTGGATCACCTGAGGTCAGGGGTTCAAGACCAGCCTGGCCAACATGGTGAAACCCCGCCTCTACCAAAAATACAAAAATTAGCCGGGACTGTTGATGGACGCCTGTAATCCCAGCTACTCGGGAGGTTGAGGCAGGAGATGGAGGTTGCAGTGAGCCCAGATAGCACCATTGCACTCCAGCCTGGGCCACAAGAGTGAGACTTCATCTCAAAAAAAAAAAAAAAAAAAAGTCATTGTTGTAAAAAGGGCACAGGCTTTGCTACAGATTTTTCTACCAGTGAAAAGATGTATACACTTGCCTGGCCTCATCATTCAGACCAATTCATAAAATAACAAATGCATGGAAAAAAAAACTTAAAAACACAATCATCATGTGACTGACTTCCAAATTAGATTCTCCTTCAAATCAGAGAGTATTGCTTGTTAATAGTGTTTATAAATTTTAATTCCTGATTGCTGAGACAATATGTACATAAAATATTTAGCCAAAGAGTTCAAAATGAAATTACCCAAATTACCTATTTGTTATTTTATACATAGTAATTATTTTTTAAAAATCATTTGGCTGGGTGCGGTGGCTCATGCCTGTAATCCCAGCATTTTGGGAGGCCAAGGCGGGCGGATCATGAGGTCGGGAGTTCGAGACCAGCCTGACCAACATGGTGAAACACTGTTTCTACTAAAACAACAAAAATTAGCCGAGCATGGTGTTGCGCGCCTGTAATCCCACCTACTTGGGAGGCTGAGGCAGGAGAATCGCTTGAACCCAGGAGGCAGAGGTTGCGGTGAGCCGAGATCACACCATTGCACTCCAGCCTGGGCAACAAGAGCAAAACTCCATCTCAAAAAAATTTTTTTAAAAAGCATAAATTAAAAAATAAAATAAAACTTTTAAGATGTTAAGCCCCTGAAGCTCCAACTACAAAGTAGGGTAAAAGGCTGCCTAAAGCAGTGAAGATCAAGGAATGACCTTGGAGGCAGCAGAGGGAGACTGTATTAGTCCATTTGCGTTGTTGTAAAGGAATACCTGGGTTTAAGTAATTTATAAAGAAAAGAGATTTATTTGGCTCACAGTTCTGCAGGCTGTACAATCATGGGGCCAGCTCCACTAGGATTCTGGTGAAGTCTCAGGAAGCTTTTACTTGTGGCAGAAGGCAAAGGAAGAGCAGGTGTGTCACATGGAGAGAGAAAGAGCAAGAGAGCTGCTAGGCTCTTTTAAATAATCAGCTCTCGTGTGAACGAATAGAGTGAAAGCTCACTCATTACCATGGGCAGGGTACTAAGCCACTCAAGAGAGAACCGGTCCCATGACCCAAACGCCTCCCACTAGGCCCCAGCTCCAACACTGGGGATCTTTCAACATGAGATTTGGAGGGGACAAACACCCAAACCTTATCAGAGATGATCCCAGCCACAGGTCTCAGAGAACCAGCAGAGGGCACTCCTCCAGGGCCCAGCCTGAGTGTGGAAATAGCTGTCAGAATCACATCAGAATGTTTCAGAACTCATGGGGAAAAGCTGAGACAGAAAAAAAGAAGAAAGTAAGAAGCTGGCAGAAATCAGCTAGGAACCTTGAGAGACTTGGTATTTCATTGAAAGGTAAGATAGGAGTGTTTTGACTCCCGTCGTCCCTAAGGAAGACCACCAGTATCTGAACTGTCGGAGAGCTCCTCTGCCCTCACAAAGCCAAACACTGATGTGCATGGCGATTTGGGAACTTCTGGAGGGCATCACACCAGACAACCAACTTGCGCTGGGTCACTTGTCCCTCCTCCAGACTCGGGCAGTGTTGGCAGGGTGCCATATTAGGAGTGTAGCCATCAGGGGACTGTGTCCTTCCCAGGGAACCCCAACCTTTGTATATTCACATCACAGAAGCTCCTGCAGCCATGCCCCCAGTGCCCACTTGGATTGTGGCAGCCACACAGGGCTGGCTGGACCCAGTGGAGCTGCAGGGTTCCCAGTGGTCTAGCCATCAGGGATTGCTGCTCCTAAGGAAAGGGAGACTGCAGTACACAAAAAAAGTACCAGTTGGGACAAAGGAGGCCAGACCATGTACTCATCTGTGTCCAAGAGCTCCTTGTTTGTGGGCTGAGTGACTGCACCACTTCCAGCAGAGTCGTGGACACTGTGTTCAGCTCTGCGCTGAAGGAGTGTAGTTCCATCCCAGCAGCCAAGCAGCCCCAGTGCTTAGAATCAGGCATGGAAAGGGGAAATTCTCCTGCCCTTCCCCCATCCACCACTGCTTCAAACACAGCATGGCCACTCCCATGGGAAATTGGCACGTGTGCCAGAGAAGAGCCTTTCTAGGGCTATCAGGGGTGACTGTGTTTCCACTGGCAGTGTGGCCATTTGGGCCAGGCTTGTGTGAAAGACAGGGCCCTTTCCCCTCTCTACAGGGAGTGCTAGCATTCCTGCAGTGGAGAGCAGGAAAGCTGAAAAGCTATGTGCAGGCCAGGCGCGGTGGCTCACGCCTGTAATCCCAGCACTTTGGGAGGCCGAGGTGGGCGGATCATCTGAGGTCAGGAGTTCGAGACCAGCCTGACCAACATGGAGAAACCCTGTCTCTACTAAAACTACAAAAACAATTAGCCAGGCGTGGTGGCGCATGCCTGTAATCCCAGGTACTCGAGAGGCTGAGGCAGGAGAATTGCTTGAACCTGGGAGGTGGAGGTTGCGGTGAGCTGAGATCACGCCATTGCACTCCAGCCTGGGCAACAAGAGCAAAACTCCATCTCAAAAAAAAAAAGAAAAAGAAAAGCTATGTGTTTGGGGTTGAGGGAGGATGCTCTGCACCAAAGACATTTAAATGGTGAGCTGAGGAGAAGACATCTTTAATGAGTCTCAACTACATTGCAGTTGGAGATAGAGAGTAGTGTCTGGTCAATTTGAGTTTCCCCGATGCCAGGACTAGGGAATGACAGGGAAATGGATGGCATTCCTGCCTGGCCAGGTCATGAAGCTGGGGCAGCCCTCTCCTCATCTGTGGAGACCTAGGCACGTTTCACCAGAAGTTTCCCATGCCATCACTCCTGCCTGAAAGCTGCTGCCTGTGCTCACCATTGTGGGGCAGGCTTGGGGATCCAGCTCTACTCAGCTATGTCCCCCTCTCTGGTGCTGAGCAGGGAGCCCAGGCTGCTGTACATTCCACTTACCAGCACATTTCCTGAGGCAACAGAGAACTTTTCTAGGTATACAATGATGAAGCATATACTCACGTGCTTCTGCCACATAGGCTTTTAGGCATAAGCCCACCTACTGTTCTGGAGGCTGAACCACGCACCTCAATACAAATCAGTTGACAAAAGGGCACATGAGTGGAAATAAACTTCTCATCTCTTCCAAAAGAGGAAATGAGATAAACTTCTTAAACCTCTGCCATCCTGGCCCTGCAGGAGGCTGTGAGCCTGTTCACACTCCCAGTACATCACCACCACAACTGGCATTTGAGAAAGCCACCATACAAAGGCTATCTATAACCAGGGGACAACTACAGCGTCTTTGCCACTGAAAGCATTCACAACCAAATGCAAAGGACCTTAAACAACATACATTATAGTCACATAGTAAAGGGAAAAAAAAATCCTGCCCAAATGAAATAAATTCAAAAATAAGAAGAGAAAGTTTCTACAGATGAGAAGGAACCAAAGAAATGATTCTGGAACTCTCTATGTTTTCTATTTTTTAAGTAAGTCCTTTGTTTCTCTGTTGAAAACAGTAGAATGTTTTGAAAACATACTCTGAAAAAAGAGTGTTATGACATCCCCAAAACATTACACTAACTTTCTAGCAATAGATCCTAACAAAAATAAAATCTTTGAAATACCAAATAAATAATTCAAAATAATGATTATAAAGAAGCTCAATGAAATCCAAGAGAAAGTTGAAAACAACACAAAGAAATGTAAAAAATCAATTCAGCATATGAATAAAAAATTTACCAAGAGATAAATATTTTTAAAAAAGTAAACCACCTGGGCTGGGCGCGGTGGCTCATGCCTGTAATCCCAGCATTTTGGGAGGCTGAGGCGGGCAGATCACGAGGTCAGGAGATCTAGACCATCCTGGCTAACACAGTGAAACCTCGTCTCTACTCAAAATACAAAAAATTAGCCGGGCCTGGTTGCAGGCGCCTGTAGTCCCAGCTACTCAGGAGGCTGAGGCAGGAGAATGGTCTGAACCCGGGAGGCAGAGCTTGCAGTGAGCCGAGATTGCGCCACTGCACTCCAGCCTGGGCGACAGAGCGAGACTCCTTCTCAAAAGAAAAAAAAAAAAAAAATTAAACCACCTGGAAATAAAAAATTCATCAAAGTAGTTCCAAATGCAGCTGAAAGCTTTAACAATAGACTAGACCAAGCAGAAGAAAGAATTTCAGAGCTTGAAGACAGGTCTTTCAAATTAACCCAGTCAGACAAAAAGAAAGAAAAGAGAATTAAAATATGAACAAAGCCTTCAGGAAGTATGGGGTTATGTAAAACATCTGTACCCATGAATCATAGGTATTCCTAAGGGAGAATGAAGGGTAAAAAGTGTGGAAAATCTACTTGAGGAAATAATTGAGGAAAACTTCCCTAACCCTGGCTACAGATTTAAAATCCAGATAGAAGATACTTAGAGAACTCCTGGAAAATACATTGCAAGATGGACTTCACCAAGACAAATAGTCATCAGACAATCTAAACTCAATGTAAAGGAAAAAAAATCTTAAAATGAGCAAGAGAAGAGAAAAAGTGTCCTAAAAACCTATGTAGGAAATTCCATCAGTCTAACAGTGGATTTTTCAGGCCGGGCACGGTGGGTCACGCCTGTAATCCCAGTACTTTGGGAGGCTAAGGTGGGTGGATCACGAGGTCAGGAGATCGATACTGTCCTGGGTAACACAGTGAAACCCCGTCTCTACTAAAAATACAAAAAATTAGCCGGGCGTGGTTGCAGGCGCCTGTAGTCCCAGCTACTCCCGAAGCTGAGGCAGGAAGGAGAATGGCGAGAACCCGGGAGGTGGAGCTTGCAGTGAGCCGAGATCGCGCCACTGCACGCCAGCCTGGACAACGGAGCGAGACTCCGTCTCAAAAAAAAAAAAAAAAAAAAAAAAAGCACTGTGAAAATCCCTATCCTGTTTGTTCCGATCTAATTACTGGGACATGCAGCCCCTAGTCACATAACCCCTGCTTGCTCAATCGATCACGGCCCTCTCAAGCGCACCCCCTTAGAGTTGTGATCCCTTAAAAGGGACAGAAATTGCTCACTGGGGGAGCTCGGCTCCTGACACAGGAGTCTTGCCGATGCCCCCGGCCGAATAAACCCATTCCTTCTTTAACTCGGTGTCTGAGGAGTTTTGTCTGCGGCTCGTCCTGCTACAATATGGCGCCATTGCACTCTAGCCTGGGCAACAAGAGCCAGACTCCTTCTCAAAAAAAAAAAAAAAAAAAAAAAAAAAAAAAAAAAAAAAAAAAAATTGCGGCCGGGCGCGGTGACTCACACCTGTAATCCTAGCTCTTTGGGAGGCTGAGGTGGGCGGATCACGAGATCAGGAGTTAGAGACCAGCCTGGCCAGTATGGAGAAACTCCACCTCTATTAAAAATACAAAAATTAGCTGGGCATGGTGGCACGCACCTGTAGTCCCAGCTGCTCAGGAGGCTGAGGCAGGAGAATCGCTTCAACCTGGGAGGCGGAGCTTGCAGTGAGCCGAGATCGTGCCACTGCACTCCAGCCTGGCTGACAGAGCGAGATTCTGTCTCAAAAAAAAAAAAAGAAAAGAAAAGAAAAAAAGAAAAACAAGCAAAGAGTGGTGATGAAATTTGAAAGAAGGGACTAGGCCGGGCGAGGTGGCTCACGACTAATCCCAGCGCTTTGGGAGGCTGAGACAGGCAGATCACCTGAGATCAGGAATTCAAGACCAGCCTGGCCAACGTGGTGAAAACCTGCCTCTATTAAAAATACAAAATTAGCCGGGTATGGTGGTGCGTGCCTATAAATCCCAGCTACTTGGGAGGCTGAGGCAGGAGAATCGCTTGAACCCAGGAGGCAGAGGTTGCAGTGAGCCCAGATCGCGCCATTGCACTCCAGCCTGGGCGACAAGAGTGAAATTCCCTCTCAAAAAAAACAAAAAAGTAAAGGAAAAGAAAAGAAAAGAAATAGCATATAGTAGCATATAAATTCCCAAACATTAAACAATTGCCTTTGTTCATATAAACAATAAAAAGTTAAAATTTTTGTGAGGCGATAACCTCATATATAATAGAAACAAAAAGGTTTTTAATGAAAAAATTACTAAGAAGTGTGCAAACTTTAAATGAAAACATTAAAACACATCTGAAATTTAAAAATTAGATATGAACAAATCGGGCCGGGTGCGGTGTCTCACGCCTGTAATCTCAGCACTTTGGCAGGCTGAGGTTGGAGGATCACCTGAGATCAGGAGTTTGAGACCAGCCTGGCCAAGTGGTGAAACCCTGCTTCTACTAAAAATACAAAAATTAGCCGGGTGTGGTGGTGTGAGCCTATAATCCCAACTACCTGGGAGGCTGAGGCAGGAGAATGGCTTGAACCTGGGAAGTGGAGGTTGTGGTGAGCCGAGGTCACACCACTGCACTCCAGCCTGGGTGACAGAATGAGAGTCCATTTCAAAAAAAAAAAAAAAAAAAAAATGAAGAACTTTTTTTTTTCTTTTCCGTAAGTTCTTGGGGTACAGGTGGTATTCGGTTACACGAGTAAGTTCTTTAGTGGTGATTTGTGAGATTTCGATGCACTTATCACCCGAGCAGTATACACTGCACCTTGTAGTCTTCTGTCCCTTGCCCCCTCCTATTCTTCCTCTCAAGTCCCCAAAGTCCATTGCATCATTCATATGCCTTTGTGTCTTCATAACTCAGCTTCTACATATCAGTGAGAACATACAATGTTTGGTTTCCCATTCCTGAGTTATTTCACTTAGAATAACAGTCTCCAATCTCATCCAGGTCACTGAAAATGCTGTTAATTCATTCCTTTTTATGGCTGTGTAGTACAGAAGAACATTCTCAAATAGGAAGACTATACAGCACATTTGCAGAGTAAATTTTCAAATGTAATACCTCCTAATCAAAATGCCAACAACTACTTTTTTTCTCAAGCTAGACAAGTAGATTATAAAGTTCACATGAGAAAATAAATAAGAATAATTAGAAAATCCCTTGGGGGAAAAAAACAAATTGAGAATTGGGTGTCTAGTTATGCCTAATAGTTAAATATTTTACAAATTCCCTGTCACTAGAACAGTGTGGCACTGGTGAATGAATAGACCAACCAATGGAACAGCACAGGAAGTCCAGAAACAGCCAAGTGCATAGCAACCTAGTCCTCATTTAATGACTTTAATTCATTCCTGGGCATTGTGCCACTAAATAAAAAGTATTAAACCAGGCTGGGTGCGGTGGCTCACGCCTGTAATCCCAGGAAATTGGGAGGCCAAGGCCGGCGGATCACCTGAGGTTGGGAGTTTGAGACCAGCCTGACCAACATGGAGAAACCCCCTCTCTACTGAAAATACAAATTAGGCAGGCGTGGTGGTGCATGCCTGTAATCCCAGCTACTCGGAAGGCTGAGGCAGGAGAATCGCTTGACTTGAACCCAGGAGGCAGAGGTTGTGGTGGGCCAAGATCGGGCCATTGCACTCCAGCCTGGGCAACAAGAGCGAAACTCTGTCTTAAAAAGGCCGGGCGCGGTGGCTCACGCCTATCATCCCAGCACTTTGGGAGGCCGAGGTGGGCGGATCACTAGGTCAGGAGATCGAGACCATCCTGGCTAACGAGGTGAAACCTCGTCTCTACTAAAAATACAAAAAAATTAGCCGGGCGTGGTGGCGGGCACCTGTAGTCCCAGCTACTCTGGAGGCTGAGGCAGACGAATGGCGTGAACCCGGGAGGTGGAGCTTGCAGTGAGCCGAGATCCCGCCACTGCACTCCAGCCTGGGCGACAGAGAGAGACTCTGCCTCAAAGTGGAGAAAATGGTACAGAGGCCGGGCGCGGTGGCTCACGCCTGTAATCCTAGCACTTTGGGAAGCCGAGGAGGGCGGATCACGAGGTCAGGAGATCGAGACCATCCTGGCTAACAGGTGAAACTCAGTCTCTACTAAAAATACAAAGAATTAGCCCGGCACGGTGGCGGGCGCCTGTAGTCCCAGCTACTCGGGAGGCTGAGGCAGGAGAATGGCGTGAACCCGGGAGGCGGAGCTTGCAGTGAGCAGAGACAGCGCAACTGCACTTAAAGGGCGAGACTCCGTCTCAAAAAAGAAAGAAAGAAAGAAAGAAAGAAAGAAAGTGATACAGAAGTGAAAGAGATGTTTACCTATTGAGCAAAAGGTGTGAGGGTGTGTGTGTGTGATAAATGATACTAGAAAAAAAGAGAGCAAATGAATGATATTGTATTCTCTTCATAGTTAAGGTGTTCTGCTGTTTATTTTTTGTGGGGGGAGGGGGGCGCGGGGCGGACAGAGTCTCACTCTGTCGCCCAGGCTGGAGTGTAATGGCGCGATCTCGGCTCACTGCAAACTTCTGCCTCCCTGGTTCACGGGATTCTCCTGCCTCAGCCTCCTGAGTAGCTGGGATTACAGGCACGTGCCACCACGCCCGGCCAATTTTTGTATTTTTAGTAGAGATGGGGTTTCACCATTTTTGTCAGGCTGGTGTTTATATGATATTAATAAACAATGAAAGATAAAGAAAAGATCTGAATCATTTGCATTTTCAGGAAAATTGTTACACATCAGAAAATCTGTCAGGAAATATTTGAGACTCCATCACAATCATTGCCCCTTAAACACACCCATCAAGACGACTGTTCTTCCTCCTTTAGAGAGTAAAATGAACCTTCAGTACATTGAGTTTTGTGGAATTCTTACCTATTTACTCTGAAGTTTCTATTTACTACTTACATACCTTTGTTTTCATTGCTCTATTGATATATCTACCTGCAAAGTTTTCTGTGAGTCCTCTATTGTTATAGAATGCACCATAATTTTTTCCATTAGGAAAATTAAATTTTGTTTACTCTTTTTTTTTTTTCTTTGAGACAGAGTTTCACTCTTGTTGCCCAGGCTGGAGTGCAATGGCATGATCTTGGCTCACTGCAACTTCCACCTCCCGGGTTCAAGCAATTCTCCTGCCTCAGCCTCCTGAATAACTGGGATTACAGGCATGTGCCATCACACCTGGCTAATTTTCTATTTTTAGTAGAGACAGGGTTTATCCATGTTGGTGAGGCTGGTCTCAAACTCCCAACCTCAGGCAAAAAAAAAAAAGTTCTCAATGTGGTGGTGGTGTTGGAGGTGGGGCTTAGTGGGAGGCGTTTGGGTCATCAGGAGCAGATCCTTCATGAATAGATTAATGTCCTCCCACATGAGCGAGTAATTTATTACTCTGTTGGGGCTAGGTTAGTTACCAAAAAGCAGGTTGTTATAAAAGCAAGTTTGGTTTCCTAGACTCTCTCTTGCTTCCCTGTCTCCCCATGTGATGTTTTTGCACATGCCACTCACTTTTCCCCTTCTCCAAAATGTTTTGACCTAACATTTGGCCTTCACCAGAAGTTTGCCAGATCCAGCACTATCCTGTTGAACTTCCCAGCCTGCAAAATCATGAGCTAAATAAACATCTTCTCTTTATAAACTACCCAGTTTCAAGTTATTCTGTTATAGTAATACTCAACATACTAAGACAGTCATTGAAAACAAAGTCAACCTGGAGGAGCCTTAAGGAGACATGATTAGGACTAAATACAATGTGATATCCTCGATGAAATCCTGTGACAGAAAAAGGAAGTTAAAAGAACTAATGAAACCTGGCTGGGCATGGTGGCTCACACCTGTAATCCTAGCACTTTGGGAGGCCAAGGCGGGTGGATCACTTTAGGTCAGGAGTAAGAGACCAGCCTGACCAACATGGTGAAATCCTGTCTCTACTAAAAATACAGAAATCAGCCAGGCACGGTGGCATGTGTCTGTAGTCACAGCTATTCAGGAGGCTGAGGCATGAAAATCATTTGAACTTGGGAGGTGGAGGTTGCAGTGAGTGGACATCATGCCATTGCACTCCGGCCTGGGTGACAGAGCAAGACTTTGTTTCAAAACAGAAAGAGCTAATGAAATCGAAATAAAGTTTAGTGATACTATATTAATATTGTCTCACTGGTTGTGAAAAATGTATAATAGTGATATAAGATGTTAACAATGGGGCTGGGGGCAGTGGCACACACCTGTAATGCCAGCACTTTGGGAAGCTGAGCGGGTAGATCACCTGAGGTCAGGAGTTCGAGACCAGCCTGGCCAATGTGGTGGAACCCTGTCTTTACTAAAACTACAAAAACTAGCTGGGCATGGTGGCGCGCACCTGTAATCCTAGCTACTCAGGAGGCTGAGGCAGGAGAATGGCTTGAAACCCGGAGGCAGAGGTTGCAGTGAGCCGAAATCGTGCCACTGCACTTCAGCCTGGGTGACAGAGTGAGACTCCCTCAAAAAAAAAAAAAATATGTTAACAATGGGGAGCTGAGTGTGACATATGTGAGAACTATGTATTATCTTTTCAACTTTTGTGTAATCTAAAAGTATTCTAAAATTAATAAGTTTATTAAAAAAAAACAACAACAACAACCCTCAGAAGAGGAAAGGAATAGGGAGTTAAAGAAAAAACAGTATACTTTTTAGTTTTCCCAGGGTTTCCTATCAAGGGGCTGGGAAGAGGGAGAAAAGATTGGAACCTCAGAGACAGTGCGGGGCTCCAGAGTTCTCTTGTCCTCTGACTACTGGGGCTGCTCAGAAATTGTCTTCATCCCCCTATTGATGTCAGGTTCCAGGGTCAGCCACCTCTGCCCAACTCAGACCACAGACATCCCAGCCTTTTCTGATTGCTCAATTTGTGTCTGAGACACCAGAGAGGTGCCACCCCCAAGTGGCCATAGACCTGAGGACAGACGACCTGAGCCCCCTTTTCTTCTCGCTGTGGACCTCCCCTGCGTCTCCTTGGGCTCCCAGAAGTCAGACAGGGTTCTTCATGCAAGGGCAAGTGTTTTAGTCTTTTTGGGCTGCTATTAAAAATTATATATTATAGACTGGGAAACACTGCCCTAGCCAAGTGATGGAGGTTAACATAATCATTTGATACATCAACTGGGTAATATACACTCTTGGTATGTTGTATTGAGAGTATTGCATTTCATCTCTGTGCTCTTCTTCCCCCAAACCTATAGCCCTGTCAACCACACTCAAATTAAGGGACATTTTACAATATGCCTCACTAGTACTCCTCAAGAAATACCAAATTATCAAAAACGAGGTCTGAGAAATTGTCACAGACCAGAGGAGGCTAAGGAGATATAAAGGGGACTAAATGTAATGTATCCTGGATGGGATCCTGGAACATAAAAGTGATGTTAGGGAAAAGAATAAAATCCAAATAAAATAGGAGTTAGTAACAATGTATCAATATTGTTTCATAACCTGTCACAAATGTATAATAAAATAAGACATTAATAATAGAGGAAACTGAATGTGGAACATAGGAGAACTATGTACTATCTTTGCAACTTTTCTGTAAATCCAAAAATATTGTAGATTTGATTTGATTTGATTTGATTTGATTTTTGAGACGGAGTTTTGCTCTTGTTGCCCAGGCTGGAGTGCAATGGCGCGATCTTGGCTCACCGCAACCTCCACCTCCCAGGCTCAAGAGATTCTCCTGCCTCAGCCTCCTGAGTAGCTGGGATTACAGGAATGCACCACCATGCCCGGCTAATTTTGTATTTTTAGTAGAGAGAGGATTTCTCCATATTGGTCAGGCTGGTCTCAAACCCCCCACCTCAGGTAATCCATCTGCCTCGGCCTCCCAAAGTGCTGGGATTACAAGTGTGAGCCACCGTGCCTGGCCAATATTTTAGATTTTAAAAGGATATTTTTATAACTAGTGCTCAGGAAAGAAAAAGAAAGTGGAAGTAAAAATTATCTACTTTTCGGGCGGCTTACCTTCACTCCCTCATTGACAGCCAGCCTCCACACCAGCCATATCTGTCCAGTTTAGACTGCAGCCCAGTCCTCTCCCAGGCTGCTCAATCAGAATCCAAGAGAGCAGAACATCGGCACTTGTGTGTGGTCACCGGGCTGAGAACAGAAGACCGGACTCTTTTGGCCTCCTCCTCAGGTTGAGACCTCCCCATTGTCACCTTTGGCTTTCAGCAACTGGACAGGACAACGTACCCAAGGGGGCGCCCCAGTCCCGTGTTAGGCTCGGAATCTGAAGTGTTTCCCAAATCCACGCTGACATAGATGTTTCCTCTCCACCTAGTGACCGTGGATTCTGACCTCGGGACAGAGCGAGGTTTCCAGGCCAAAACAAGTGGTTCCCAGGTTACAAGTGGACCCCACAAACATACTGTCACTTCTGCTGCTGCTTCCAGGGATAAATGTGGCTTATCCTGGGGACCAACCCCTACTCTCCATCCCTAGGATGGGGGAGAGGAAGGGAAATTCTCAGGGCATTGGCCTAGGGAGTTGGAGAAGCTGCTGGTGAAGTGAAAACAGGAGCAGAATAGGGACATTAGAGATAAAGGGGCATAGAAAGGAATCAGCTCTGATGACACCTGTGTAGGATAAATGGGTTCTGCTTGGGGAGAGGCTCACAGGTTTCTAACTGGGATGGTGTTTTTAACATGGATGATAATTATAGCTGTGTCAGTTTTACAAGCGATCAGAAAACTACACTTAAATTTTAGGCAATTTTTGTGCTTACAGAGATAGTATAATGCGCTTACACACGAAGAAAGGGAAGAAGACAAGGGGAGAAGAAGTGATTATAGGAATTAGGTTCCTGTTTCCTTGCTAGCTGTCAACCAAGGGTTGCTCTCAGCTTCTGGAAGTTACCTGCATTCTTTTGCTCATGGCCACCTCCATCTTGAAACACAGCCATGGTACACTGAATACTTCTTTTGCTTTGAATCTTCCCAACTTCTCTTTGATCTTTGTTTTTTCTGCCCCTTAAGGAGTTCATGTGGTTAGATCAGGCCCAACCAGATAACCTGTTTTATGGTCAATTGTCTTGGGACTTCAATTACAACAGCATAATCCCTACATAGTGGTGCAGATGGTCCCTGATTTACGATGGCTCAACTTACAGTTTTTCAACTTTATGATGATGTGAAAGCAACACACATTCAGTATAAACTGTACTTTGAATTTTGATATTTTCCTGGGTTAGAGAGTATGATACTCTGTGACGGTGCTGGACAGCAGTAGTGAGCTGCAGCTCCCATCAGCCACACAATTATGATGGTAACAACTGATACTGTACTCTATACTGTACTGTATGCAACCAGTTACATGAGATAGTCAACACTTTATCATACAAGGGGATTTGTGTTAAGTGATTTTGCCCAACTGTAGGCAAATGTGTTCTGAGCACATTTAAGGTAGGCTAGGCTGAGCTAATATATTCAGTAGGTTAGGTGCATTAAATACATTTTCCACTTGAAAATATTTTTCAGTTACAATGGTTTTATTGAAACATAACCCCATTTTAAATTGAAGAGCATCTGTACTTTGATTAGTATTTGACTGAATAACCAGGGGAAGCAATCTTGAGGCGGAAAGCATCTTTAGAATTCTGCCTATCACAGTACCTTGGGGGACTACTGCAAATGAATGTATCCCATTAGAACTTCTCTACACCTCCAATCACCTTTTGTCTTAAAGTGGCTGAGGTGAGATAAAGGGATCTAAAGGGATTGGGAGCATGGAGGGAGAAACAAGTTCTGTTCCATTAAAGTCACGCATTTACTTTCAGTTTCTTTCTGCATGGCAAGCTTTCAGTGTTCTCAGCCCACCCAATACTTTATATTGGGCAGAAACATCCTGATGGCTGATGCCATCAGTTTTGGCCTTGGATCTAGCACCCACAGCCATAGGCTCTGGCTGAGTCCATGGGGTTTGCACCTTCAGGCTGACTTGAGCTTGACTTGCACAGGGGTAACCTTGAATGAGGAGGATTCCATCCATTACCAAGTTAACATTTTTAAAGTTCTCATCAGGTTTCAACATAAGGGCTAGGGGAATTTTTCAGAGGAACAGGGCTGACTGCAAGCATTTATTTACATTTCTTTAGGTCAGTTTGTTTTTCATCAATGGATCGCCTTCGTCAGTACGGTAACACCAACCCAGAGTACTAAGAGGCTGAATATGCACTTGATTTCCCATAGTACTTTGTCTCAGGGAAATCTTACCTAGAGGACCAAATCTTCCTGATGGCAGTCAGGGCTCACTGCGATGAAAATATGAGACCTTTTACTGTTGCCTACAAATGGATCTAAGGTTGGGCTCGCAGACTGCAGAAGGTGCTGATCTGTAAGGCAGCACAGTTGTTGCCATTCTTTCTTAACAAGCATTGACATGCTACCTCCTTATACCCTCAAGGTCTCAACTCCCAGATGATCCAGCTAAAGTGTAATGATTTGTTTGGCTCTGCCAATAGCTATTGTTAATTTCCCTCCTTTCACATTCACTGTGCGTCTCTGTAATTTTCTGCGGAAAAATTGCAGATACTAGGATGAAATAACTTTTGTCAGACCCAGATAAAATAGGGCCAGGCCAGGCACGGTGGCTTACGCTTGTAATCCCAGCACTTTGGGAGGCCGAGGCGAGCGGATCACCTGAGGTCAGGAGTTCGAGACCAGCCTGGCCTACATAGTGAAACCCCCATCTCTACTAAAAGTACAAAAATTAGTCGGACGTGCTGGCATGTGGTTGTAATCCCAGCTACTGGGGAGGCTGAGGCACGAGAATTGCTTGAACCTGGGAGGTGGAGGTTGCAGTGAGCCAAGATCACACCATTGCACGCTAGCCTAGGTGAAGAAGCGAGACTCTGTCTCAAAAAAAAAAAAAAAAAAAAAAAAGGCCAGGAAGGCATGAAGGAGAGGAACGTCATGCTTACATGTTTGAAGTAAGAATTGTTAAGTTGGGCGTGGTAGCTCATGCCTGTAATCCCAGCACTTTGGGAGGCCGAGGTGGGTGGATCACCTGAGGTTGGGAGTTCGAGAACAGCCTGACCAACATGGAGAAACCCCATCTCTACTAAAAATACAAAATTAGCCAAGCATGGTGGTGCATGCCTGTAATCCCAGCTACTAGGGAGGCTGAGGCAGGAGAATCGCTTGAACCCGGGAGGCGGAGGTTGCGGTGAGCCGAGATCATGCCATTGCACTCTAGCCTGGGCAACAAGAGCAAAACTCTGTATCGAAAAAAAAAAAAAAGGAAAAGAAAAGAATTGTTTCAAAGGACTTTTTAAAAACTCCACAAGAAATCTTTTCTAGGGAGTGGGGAGGGATAGCATTAGGAGATATATCTAATGTTAAATGATGAGTTATGGGTGCAGCACACCAACATGGCACATGTATACATATGTAACTAACCGGCATGTTGTGCATATGTACCCTAAAACTTACAGTATAATTAAAAAAAAAAAAGAAAAAAGAAAGAAATCTTTTCTAGCCGGGCGCGGTGGCTCACGCCTGTAATCCCAGCACTTTGGGAGGCTGAGGCAGGCAGATCATGAGGTCAGGAGTTTGAGACCAGCCTGACCAACATGGTGAAACCCTGTGTGTACTAAAAAAAAAAAAAAAAAAAAAAAAAATTAACCGGGTATGGTGGCACGCACCTGTAATCCCAGCTACTCAGGAGTTGGAGGTTGCAGTGAGCTGAGATGGCGCCACTGCACTCCAGCCGGGGCAACAGAGCGAGACTCTGTCTCAAAAAAATAAAAATAAAAAAATAAAAGAAATCTTTTCTTCATCCTTCATGAATGTCCTGTCACAAGGTTTATCAGCAGGCATTCTTTTTTTTTGTTCTGTTTAGAAATAGGGCCTCACTCCATTGCCAAGGCTGGAATGCAGTGGTGCAATCATAGCTCACTGTAACCTCAAACTCCTGAGCTCAAGCAATCCTCCCACCTCAACCTCCTAAGCACCTAGGACTAAAGGCATGTACCACAACACCTGGCCAAGTTGTTTTCATTTTTTCTAGAGAAAGGGTCTTGCTATGTTGCCCAGGTTGGTCTTGAACTCCTGGCCTCCAGCAATCCTCCCTCCTCAGCTTCCCAAAGTGTTAGCATTCCAGGAGTGAGCCACGGGGGCCCAGCCTAGACATTCTTTAGTACTATAGTAATTCAGATAAGATGCTCTTGAAAGAACACTTGCCCAGTAACGGCAATGTCTCCCAAGTAGCTGGGATTACAGGTGTGCGTCACCACCACCGGCTAACTTTTGTATTTTTAATAGGGACAAGGTTTCGCCATATTGGCCACGCTGAGGTCGAACTTCTGACCTCAGGTGATCCGCCCCCTCAGCCTCCCAAAGTGCTGGGATTACAGGTGTGAGCCACCGCTCTCAGCCGCGTGTTTTAATCATAATACTTTGGTCTTTTTTTTTTTTTTTCGTAAATACTTTCCTCTTTTTTTTTTTTTTTTTTTTTTTTGAGATGGAGTTTCACTCTTTTTGCCCAGGCTGGAGTGCAGTGGCGTGATCTGGGCTCACTGCAACCTCCACCTCCCGGATTCAAGCGATTCTCCTGCCTCAGCCTCCTGAGTAGCTGGGGTTACAGGCGCCCGCCACCACGCCTGGCTAATTTTTGTACTTTTAGTAGAGACGAGGTTTCGCCATGTTGGCCAGGGTGGTCTTGAACTCCTGACTTCAGGTAATTCACCAGCCTCGACCTCCCAAAGTGCCGGAATTACAGGTGTGAGCAATCGCGCCCAGGCTTTTTTTTCTTCTTCTTTTAGAGTCAATTAAGACTGGGAAAGCGAAAATCCTAGCGCTACTTGGGACCAGCAGCTATCAGTTGGTCGGAGGCTCGAAGTGGTGGTGCATGGCCGGGCTGTCTGTGATTCTTAGGATGGGAAGCTTGACCTTGGCGGGCTCACCCTCTCATCTGGGTCAAGGGGCACATTCTCGGTGGCCTGATGACTGGGAGGGAGCGGAAGAGGGCGGGGCCGGGGTGGGGCCGCGGCGCCGGGACTGCGGGTGCTCGGCCGGAGCGCTCCAGCCGCTGGTCCCCGGGAGACCCTGTGCCCCTAAATCGCGGTCCACTGCGCGCGTCAGGTGAGTAGAGCGGCGGCGGGGAGTCGCGCTAGCGGTAGTAGAGGCTGATGTTGGATGTTGTCCCCACTCCTCTGACTCTTCCGCAGGCCAGGGGAGCACTGCGCCCCTAATCTTGGAGGGGCTTCCAACCTCTGGGGTCCTCCGGGGAAACGTGGGTTAGTCTGGGGTGTATCCAGGTGCCCTGTCCACTGTGGGCACTCTGGGGATTCCGGGCCGAGGAAGGGCTCCTGGCACGTGTTGAAAAAGTCGGCATCCCAGAAGGAAGATTCTGGGCGGATGGGCATCGGGGAAGGTAGTCCCAACCAATGGGACCGTTTCTGAGCACATAAGCGCATTCAGTGGGTGCTAACAAGCGCCTGCTTTGCCAGGCGACAGTGAGCAAAACCGGCTTTGTTCCCGGCCACCGGAAGCTTCGAGGCTGGGGTTCCGGATCTGGGCGCCCAATGACAAACTAAGCGCGGAGGACAGGGCCAGGAGCGCCCACCAGGGCGGCGATCTGGTGGGTAGGTGCAGGGCAATGGCTGGAAAGGGTCCCCGAAGCCCTGAGCAGAGACCAAAGGGCCGTGCGACTGCAGGAAGGCCATTTTGCTTGGCTGACAGGCGGAAAACTCACGTGGCTGGAGTAGCAGGGTTGGTGACGACAAGGGTGAATCCCACTAAGCATTGCAACTGTTTGCGGTGTGAGGGGTGAGGGGGATTCTCATCATTCTCAGAATTGCTGTGGATAAAGGGTTTTGGGTTGGAGAGAGACTGGGTGCACTCAAAGGACTGAAAGATGGCGACGACACATTCCCTCAGAGGATTTACATTCTGGAAGGGTGGGGACAGGCCCGGGTACAGATAAGCCCGCAGGCGGCCTCCAGCTCTTACAGTCGAAAGTCTGATGAGTTATGCCCAGTCTCCTTCCTCCTCCCGCCGGCATGAGGTTTGGGGCCCTGTGGATGAAGGAAGTTCATGGGAGGCAAACGTGCCTGGGCAAGCAACAGCCGCAGAGATTCAGTCCCCACGGGGGTTAGAATCCACACTTAGGGCCTCTGCCTACCGCCTCCAGCAAATGCCATCTTGAGGACTAGCGGCAGCAGTAGGTCTTCTCTGCCAGAGAACTGGAAGGCCAGGTTCTTGAGGGCACTGTTACTAAGGCGTTTTTTTTTTTTTGTTTGTTTGTTTGTTTGTTTTTGAGACGGAGTTTCACTCTCATTTCCCTGGCTGGAGTGCAATGGCGCGATCTCCGCTCACCGCAACCTCTGCCTCCCGGGTTCAAGCGATTCTCCTGCCTCAGCCTCCCTAGTAGCTACGATTACAGGCATGCGCCACCACGCCGGGATAATTTTGTATTTTTAGTAGAGACGAGGTCCATGTTGGTCAGGCTGGTCTCAAACTCCTGACCTCAGGTGATCCGCCCGCCTCGGCCTCCCCAAGTGTTGGGATTACAGGCTGAGCCACCGTGCCCAGCCTTATTAAGGCTGTTTTGAAGTGCAGTTGGCTGGAAAGTGGAAGAATAATCCAAGATCTGCATGCCTCATAAAAGGAGTGCGAATGGTTTTGAAAGACAGGAAAGGAAAGGGAGAGAGAGGAAAGAAAGAGAGAGGAAGAAAGGAAGGAAATCAAATTCATATCCCAGGAATGCACCTTTCATGACAACATTTTGGAGATCCAATTAACTCTATTCCTCGAGGGCGTTTTTCCTTGCTGGTATTTTCAGTTCTATTAACACTTCTCAAAAAGTGAAAGGAAAAAATAGTCAACAGGGTTTTTTGGTCTTTATTCTTTTCTTTCTATCTCTAGTAAGGGAGATGTGGGTGAGTGGCTGTCAGCAGGAAAAGGTGAGAGTTCAGCTATGTTTGCATCTGAGCAGGAAATTTCCAAGGATGAGCAGGGAACTCCAGTGCTGGGCTCATTGTGAGCCCTGAATAAGTGATTGCTCTTGGGTTGTTAGCAGTATTCTTCACAAAGATCTGTATATACAGTGGTTCTCCTTATCCACAGGTGATATGTTCCAAGAGCTCTAGTGGATACTTTGTTTTTGTTGTTGTTTGAGGCAGAATCTCGCTCTGTCACCCAGGCTGGAGTACAGTGGCACAGTCTTGGCTCACTGCAACCTTCACCTCACGGGTTCAAGTAATTCTGCCTCAGCATCCTGAGCAGCTGGGACTACAGCGTGCCACCACGCCCAGCTAATTTTTGTATTTTCAGTAGAGACGGGGTTTCACCATGTTGGCCAGGCTGGTCTCAAATTCCTGCCCTGAAGTGATCCACCGCGCCCCACCCCAGTGGATACTTTGAAACCATGAATAGTACCAAACCCTGTATACACTATGGTTTTCTTTTTCTATACATACATAATAATGATAAAGTTTAATTTACAAATTAGGCATGGTAAGAGATTGACAACAATAACTAGTAATAAGATAGAACAATTACAGCAATATATTGTAATAAAAGTTGTATGAATGTGGTATCTCTCTCAAAATAATTTATATTGTAAATCTTAGCAACCTCAGCATATGATTATTTTTTCTTTCCTTAAGACAAGAATTTTTACCTTTTTATTTTATGGCTTCTCTTTGCATATCTGAATTTCCAGCGTCTCTACTCTTGTGCTTTTGGGTCATTATTAAGTAAAATAAGGCATTCTTGAGCACAGGCAACTGCTATACTACAGTAGTCAACCTGGTAACTGAGATGGCTAGCTACTAAGGAACTAATGGGCAGGTATTGTCTGCAGTGTGGATATGCTAGTCAAAGGGATGATTCACATCCTGGGCAGGCCAGAGAGAAAAGGTACAAGATTTCATCACACTACTCAGAATGTCAAGCAATTTAAAACTTAGGAATTGTTTATCTCTGGATTTTTTTTTGAGACGGAGTCTCGCTCTATGTCCCAGGCTGGAGTGCAGTGGCGCAGTCTTGGCTCATGGCAACGTCCACCTCCAGGGTTCAAGTGATTCTCCTGCCTCAGCCTCCTGAGTTGCTGGGATTACAGATGTGTGCCACTATGCCCAGCTATTTTCTTTTTGTATTTTTAGTAGAGACAGGGTTTCACCATGTTGACCAGGCTGATCTCGAACTCCTGACCTCAGATGATCTGCCTACCTCAGCCTCCCAAAATGCTGGGATTACAGGTGTGAGCCACTGTGCCTGTCCTCCGGAATTTTTCATTTAATATTTTTGAACCATGGTTGACCATGGGTAACTGAAGCATTGGAAAGCAAAACCATGATAAAGGGGAACTACTACATGTATTGAAAATCCAGATCACAGAATTGTGTGTGTGTGTGTGTGTGTGTGTGTGTATAATTTTGGTCATGGAAGAGATCTTAGAGAGTGTCTCCTTTATTCTCACATTTCTGATGAAACCAAGTCAGAAAGAATAAAGAGACTCACTCGAGGTGATCTGTGACAGATCCTAGCCTGGTTACCCCAGCTACATGATTTCCAATGGTACTGAGTCTAACATTAACATTAGGTTTAAACATTAACTTTTGTAGATCAAGAATGTCCACTTGTCCTTGGAAAATTATTTAGCATCTCTGCATTAGGTCCTTAAGACAGGGCCAGTAATTGTTACCTCATTGCTGAGAGCATCCAGTGGCACACTGTAGGGGTTTAGTAACTGCTGGCATTCCCTGACCAAATAAGGAAGCTGTTTCTTACCCTCCCTCTTGCTGATATGTTTTGTTTTTCTCTGACCTCAGGTTTCTAGAAGCAGGGTAGAACAGACGGCAGACACCTAGCCCAGGCTGGTGTTGTTACTAAACAATGGCAGCTGGTGAGCCAAGGGTGACCAGGGCCCTGAACTCGGTGGCCCAGCTTTGAGGGAAGCAAAATTGTTCTCAATTGTGGAAGAGGAGAATTTGGACAGCAGAACAAAAAAGGAAGACAGCCTCTTGGAGCAGATACATTTGTCACAGGAAGCCACATCAAACCCTGGGGCCTTTGCTGGGCCTCTCCATCTGCCCAGTTACTGGGAGGTAGATAGCCCCAGGAAGGAATCCAGTCAGGCCTGGGCACCAGGCCAGGAGTGGATAAAGCTAGAAAGAGACACCACAGAAGAGAAGATGTTTGAACAGCTGAAGCCAATCGAACCTGTACAGAAGACGCTCCCATGGGTGGGCGAGGTAGCTGCCACCCTGCAGGAAGCCATGAAGAGAGATTGCTGGAGGGAGGCACGGGTGAAGAAGGTGAGGAGACTAAGCTAGAGAGAGGTGGGGTCCAGGTCCTGGACTCCAGGAGCTCTTTCATACATACTCCTGCCTGCAGGTCAAATGAAATCTCAGATTGTTCCAGACTGAACGACATCCAGAAAAAGGAGCTGCAAGACCTTTCTCCATCTCCCGCACCATCCTGGCATCCTTCATGGAGTACTTCCTGAAATTTGTTAGAGTGGCAGCATTTTTTCCTTCGCTTTGCTTTCCTGTTTATATTCTGCATATCTGCATATCCTCTTTCCTCTCCCCCACATCTTATCTTTCTCCCTTTCTCTTCATCTTTCCTTTCCTTTTTTTTTTTTCTTTTTTTTTTTTTTGAGACGGAGTCTCGCTCTGTCACCCAGGCTGGAGTGCGGTGGCGCGATCTTGGCTCACTGCTACCTCTGCCTCCCGGGCTCAAGCAATTCTCCTGCCTCAGCCTCCTGAGTAGCTGGGATTACAGGCATGCGCCACCATGCCCAGCTAATTTTTGTGTTTTTAGCAGAGACCAGGTTTCACCATATTGGTCAGGCTGGTCTCGAACTCCCGACCTCGTGATCTGCCTGCCTCAGCCTCCCAAAGTGCTGGGATTACAGGCGTGAGCCACCGCGTCCGGCCTCCTTTCCTTTCTATACTTCACAGTTGCTGGCCTTGTGTCTGTCTTTTAATATTTCTCTCTTCCTTCCATGGTTTTATCTTTCTCTTAGGTTTTAATTCTCTGAATCTTGAGACTGGATGTTAATCTTGTACACACACACACACACACACACATATATATTTATATAAACTTCTTGAGTCTCTCCTGTTCTTCCAGAAGCCAGTCACCTTTGAGGATGTGGCAGTGAATTTCACCCAGGAAGAGTGGGACTGTCTAGATGCCAGCCAGAGGGTCCTTTACCAGGATGTTATGTCGGAAACCTTTAAGAATCTAACATCTGTGGGTAAGAGGCTGGGCTTCCCTCAGCAAGCCCCCTGTCCTAAGGGCCCTGGAACATCTGGTTTCCCTGGACAGGTAGATCAGCTTACAATTAGTTTCACTGACCCCTGGTTCTATGCTTTCCAGGTGTGAAAGATCTGAGTCACTAAGCTCAGTGGTAAAGAGAAGAAATGATAGCCTGCATGAAGGCAAAGATAACACTTGTAACATGATGACAGTGTTCTCAAAATATGCAAATTTTTCCATTCATCAAACAAATATTTACTAAGTCACTCCTGAGAACCAGGTACTTTGCTAGCAGCTGGCCTTTTAATGTCTCCTTTCCGCATCTACATGTCCCAGGTTATGGTTCTTAAACAAAGGCTACAGGAGGTAGCCTGTTGTCCCCATCAGATGTGAAGGGGCCATACCTGGGACCAACTCAACTCTTTCTCATTCCCACACATCAGCCAGAATCTTTCTGCATAAGCCAGAGCTAATCACCAAGCTTGAGCAAGAAGAGGAACAGTGGAGAGAGTTTGTCCATCTCCCAAACACAGAAGGCCTTTCAGGTAAGAATTGCCAAGCAGGGAGGAAGGGGAAAAGGGCCCAGGATAACCCCTGAAAGGATGGAGAGCTGATGAAGAGGATGAATGCTCTATAGATGCTCTCCTAGTGTACCTCTGTCCAGCCTGGTCAGACTTGGAGTTGAAAGAGAGCTTAATATCATAGGCTCAAGTCCCTTGACTTCAAGTTGAAGATCCAAGTCTCTCTCTCTCTCTCTTTTTTTTTTTTTTTTTTTTTTGAGACACAGTCTCGCTCTGTTGCCAGGCTGGAGTGCAGTGGCACAATCTTGGCTTACTGCAACCTCCACTTCCCGGGTTCAAGCGATTCTCCTGCCTCAGCCTCTCGAGTAGCTGGGACTACAGGCATGTGCCACCGTGTCCAGATAATTTTTGTATTTTTAGTAGAGACAGGGTTTCACCATGTTGGCCAGGATGGTCTTGATGTCTTGACCTCAGGTTATCCATCCACCTCGGCCTCCCAAAGTGCTGGGATTACAGGCATGAGCCACCGTGCCTGGCTGGCTGAAGATCTAAGTCTTTCAGGAGAAGTAGATGTCTTCAGTTTCTAGAGATTGAGAGATGACATGAAAGTTGCTTATGTCCATGATAGTGCTCTGATTAAAATGTTCTTTCCAAGAGAAAAGAGAAGCAAAGGAGACAGGTTTCATGCTGGGTTGGAGTAAGGGAGGCTTGTCCCTGGTAGTAAATAGTTGAGAGAGATATCAAGCCAGGCTGATACACTTTTTGGTTTTCCAGGACAGTCCTGGTTTATACTTCTCATCCCAGCTTGATTATTAATAACACCTCTTTTCACCCTCAAGTGGCCCAGTGTTCATGATGCATTATTATGTGGGTGTCTGTGGATTGTCTATGGGAGTTTGAGCAATATTGAGAATGAGATAAGATAGATTTCAAGAAGTGTTGTTGTAAGTTAAAATTTACATTTCTGACAGTGTTGAAAGATTCCAGTTAACTTTTTATTTGCTTCTAATTTGAAAAGCCAATTTTTTCTTTTTTTCTTCTTATTTCTAGCCTATGAGGCCCAAGGGTAAGGATGAATGTGTTGGGTGGGAGAGCAAGGGCAGAGACAAGAAGTGTGTTAGGCTGAATGGAGTGCTGTGTTGGAGTTCTTCTTCTTCCTCTTCTTCTTCTTCTTCGTCTTCGTCTTCTTCTTCTTCTTCTTTTCTTTTCTTCTTCTTCTTCTTCCTTCTTCTTCTTCTTCTCCTTCTCTTCTCCTTCTCCTTCTTCTCCTTCTCCTTCTTCTTCTTCTTTTTCTTTCTTTCTTTTTTTTTTTTTGAGACAGAGTTTCACTCTAGTTGCCCAGGCAGGAGTGCAGTGGCACCATCTTGGCTCACTGCAACCTCCGCCTCCCGGGTTCGAGTGATTGTCCTGCCTCAGTCTCCCTAGTAGCTGAGATTACAGGCAGATGCCATGACGCCCAGCTAATTTTTGTATTTGTAGTAGAGACAGGGTTTCACCATGTTGGTCAGGCTGGTTTCGAACTCCTAACCTCAGGTGATCCGCTGGCCTCGGCCTCCCAAAGTGCTGGGATTACAGGTGTGAGCCACCATGCCAAGCCTCTGTTGGAGTTCTTACAGTGAATTTTGTGTTATTCTTCCTCATTCACTGTAGAAGGCAAGAAGAAAGAGCTTCGAGAACAACATCCCAGTCTGAGAGATGAGGGGACTAGTGATGACAAGGTCTTCCTTGCATGCAGAGGGGCCGGCCAGTGCCCCCTATCTGCCCCAGCTGGGACTATGGACAGGACCCGGGTGCTTCAAGCATCCCAGGCTGGGCCACCCTTTTTTTGCTACACCTGTGGCAAATGTTTCAGCAGGCGCTCCTACCTCTATAGCCACCAGTTTGTTCACAATCCCAAGCTGACTAACAGCTGCAGTCAGTGTGGGAAGTTGTTTCGGAGCCCCAAGTCCCTCAGCTATCACAGACGCATGCATCTTGGGGAGAGGCCCTTCTGTTGCACGCTCTGTGACAAGACCTACTGTGATGCTTCTGGACTAAGTCGTCACCGCCGCGTCCATCTGGGTTACCGGCCCCATTCATGCTCTGTGTGTGGGAAGAGCTTCCGGGACCAGTCTGAGCTCAAACGCCACCAGAAGATACACCAAAACCAGGAGCCAGTGGATGGAAACCAGGAGTGTACTTTGAGGATTCCAGGCACCCAGGCTGAATTCCAGACACCCATCGCCAGAAGCCAGAGGTCCATCCAGGGGCTTTTGGATGTGAACCATGCACCAGTGGCCAGGTCCCAGGAACCCATATTTAGAACTGAGGGTCCTATGGCCCAGAACCAGGCATCTGTACTTAAGAACCAAGCACCTGTGACCAGGACCCAGGCACCCATCACTGGAACCCTCTGTCAGGATGCCAGATCCAACTCTCATCCAGTGAAGCCCTCAAGACTCAATGTCTTCTGTTGCCCCCATTGTTCTTTGACTTTTAGCAAGAAATCCTATCTCTCCAGACACCAGAAGGCCCACCTCACAGAGCCGCCCAACTACTGCTTCCATTGCAGCAAGTCTTTCAGCTCATTTTCCAGGCTGGTCAGACACCAGCAGACCCACTGGAAGCAGAAGAGCTACCTTTGCCCTATCTGTGACCTCTCCTTTGGGGAGAAAGAGGGCCTTATGGATCACTGGAGGGGCTATAAAGGCAAGGACCTGTGCCAGAGCAGCCACCATAAATGCCGGGTGATCCTGGGCCAGTGGCTTGGCTTCTCTCATGATGTCCCCACTATGGCTGGGGAGGAATGGAAGCATGGAGGTGATCAATCTCCCCCCAGGATCCATACCCCCAGGAGAAGAGGCCTAAGAGAGAAGGCCTGCAAAGGAGACAAAACAAAGGAGGCAGTGAGCATCTTGAAACATAAATAAATGGCCTTTCTGACTGAGCTCTTTCTTTGTGTTTAGTTTTCCTGAGGACTGACCTCTGGGGTAATGAGGCTGGAGTAGAGGGAGACAGGTGCGTGGATAAGGAAGGAAATACATAAAAGACAAGGGGTTAGAAGTGTGCTTATGAAAACTTGTATTATTATTTTTTATTTATTTATTTATTTATTTATTTATTTATTTATTTATTTATTTTTGAGACAGAGTCTTACTCTGTCACTCCGGCTAGAGTGCAGTGGCGCGATCTCAGCTCACTGCAACCTCTGCCTCCTGGGTTCAAGCGATTCTCCTGCCTCAGCCTCCGGAGTAGCTGGTATTATAGGTGCCCACCACTATGCTCAGTTAATTGTTTGTATTTTTAGTAGAGATGGGGTTTCACCATGTTGGCCAGGCTGGTCTTGAACTCCTGACCTCGTGATTCGCCCGCCTCGGCCTCCCAAAGTGCTGGGATTACAGGCGTGAGCCACCGCACCCGGCCAAAACTCGTATCTTTATTAATTAGCACCTAGCTTGTTTGTTTGTGTCTGACCATCAAGTAGTAGTTGTTGAATAAACAGTGGATACTCTGATAGATATGAAGATAGGAGAAAAGGATGAGAGGAAGGAAAGATTCTGAGACCTGTGGAAGATGTGTAAGTAGAAGGAAAACATTCTAAAGCAGGCATGTTGCCCAGCTTTCGTTTTTGCTTCCCCAGGTCCCTAGTAGGCTGCCAAGACAAGGAGGAGCTCTGGCTAGTATTCTGTAGGTTTCTCCCCATCTCCAGGTTTGGGTTGGGGCTACTCATATCCTCACTCTTCAGCTCACTCAGCTCTCTCTTCAATGTTTTGCACTCTTCCTCTTCCTTCCCTTCACATGCCTTTCAGTTTTGCGCAATCAGGGCTGGAGTCTTGGAAGAAACAACCACCATTTGCAAAGTTACCATACTGTAATTTTCAGTGAGGAGATTCCTGGCCTCCAGTTCATGGCAGAGACCATCCTGTGTTGCTCTCCAGTACAGGTGTCCTCTGATGGAGAGAGGGGCACCTGCCTGTCCTTAGCCAGAGAGGGCTTCCAGGTGGAAGACTGGAGAGAGAAATGGAAAGAAGGGTAATAAAAATGGGAAAATGAAGAGAAAAGGTAGATGACAGAAGAAGGGAAATCAATTCTACTTGGAATTCAGAGTGTTCCTGAAAGTGCAAATTGGAATGTCCCCATAGCAAAGATGCCAGTGAGTGTGCAACTTGATGGATGAGATGTCCCCAAGGACAAATCCCTGGGCAACCAGGCTCTCCTCCACCCCTGCCAAGATGTGACATCACTCAGAAGGGATTTCCTAGAAGAAGGAGAAAATAACTTGAAAAACGTATGTCAGTAGTTTGTATCATAAAACCATTGAACTAGGGAGAAGAAAAGCCCTTGGGGTCATCTTGTCTCCATTCCTGCCTCAATGGTTGATCTGAGAGGTGAGGCACTGGGCAGTTGCTGTGGAATGGGCAATGAGACCAGCTAGGGTTGGATTCCTGCTTAGGGGCAGTGAAGGAGGAATGGATCAGGTGGCAGATAGGAGTGCCTCCAGCTTCTCTGCCACCTGTAAATGTGTCTCTAACAGCTGGCTTCTTTGCCCTCTACCTCCCAGGAGGAGTCTTCCCTCCACCCAGGCTCTCCAGCTCCTCCTTTCCTCTGGGAATGTGATCCCTCAATAGCCCGCCTCTTCCTCTTGTTGCTTCTGTCTCCCTTTCCTGGCTTTTTATTCTCTGCTTATAACAGAGAGAAGAGAACTTACGTAGCTCTTCAAGGAATTGCCCTGAAAACAAAAAGAAACAAATATGTGATTAGTGGAAGATGAATAGCACCTTCCCCACATCCTCCCTATGGACATTTGGAGTGACCCACACTGCCCTTTCCACTGGGGGATCCCACAGATCCAGTAAGTGGTTCTCTTCACAGTTTCTCAGAAGAGCCTGGGGTTGGGCATGGGGACAGAGGAATAAGGAAATCCCAGCTCCCCTAATCTTGAGTCCTGGTTCTATTCTCTTTTGGCTTCCCATTCAGAGCTGACTTGGTCCCCCACTATTTGGTGGTCTTGCCTGCTGCCCAGCCACTGCACCTGCTAGTCTTCGATGTAGCCAGTTGTAGCAGATGATCAAGGCAACCAAGGGTCCAAGAACCGGCACAATTACAAACAGGGTTATCTTCCAGCAGGGCACCCTCAGAAAGTGGGGATCTGAATTGTTCACCAGAACAAACAGGGTTAACATGTGTTCCCCCTCATGCCCCACCCACCTGTCTTTTTTGGTTCCTTAACCTGGGGTCCTAGAACACCAAAGGACTCTGGGGACAAAATTCAGAAAGTCCATGAACTTGGATGAGAAAAGTACTGCCTCCTTATTTTCAATAACTGGATTTAACATTTTCTTTCATTAAAAATGTAACAACTGCCAGGTGTGGTGGCTCATGCCTGTAATCCCAACACTCTGGGAGTCCGAGACGGGTGGATCATGAGGCCAAGAGTTCAAGACCAGCCAGGCCAACATGGTGAAACCCCATCTCTACTAAAAATGTAAAAATTAGGTGGGCGTGGTGGCACATGCCTGTAATGCCAGCTACTCAGGAGGCTGAGGCAGGAGAATCGCTTGAACCTGGGAGGCGGAGGTTGCAGTGAGCCAAGATCCTGCCCCTGCACTCCAGCCTGGGCCACAGAGCAAGACTCTTGTTGATCCCACCAACACCCATTCCCCCAAGTCTTGGAAAAAACAAAACAAACCAAAACATTTTACAACTAACCACAATATGAGCAGTACCTGTGACTTAATTACCAATGGAAGCCACAGATGTTTTCATTCCCATTAGAGTTATTGCAGAAATCTTGAAATACTGTTTATGTTTATTAGTATGTTGAAATTAAAGGTTATTGGGCTGGGCCTGGTGGCTCATGCCTGTAATCCCAGCACTTTGGAAGGCCAAGGCAGGCAGATCACCTGAGGTCAGGGGTTCAAGACCAGCCTGGCCAACATGGTGAAACCCCGTCTCTACTAAAAATACAAAAATTAGCTGGGCATGGTGGCATGCGCCTGTAGTTCCAGCAACTTGGGAGGCTGAGGCAGGAGAATCGCTTGAACCCAGGAGGTGGAGGTTGCAGTGAGCCGAGATTGTGCCATTGCACTCCATCTCAAAAAAACTTCATCTCAAAAAAAAAAGAAAGAAAGAAAGAAAGAAAGAAATTACAGGTTATTAGACTTGCTGCTACATTACTTAATGTATTACTTTGGCTAAAGAAATATTTATGGCCGGGCACGGTGGCTCATGCCCGTAATCCCAGCACTTTGGGAGGCCAAGGCAGGTGGATCACCTGAGGTCAGGAGTTCGAGGCCAGCCTGGCCAACCTGGTGAAACCTAGTCTCTACTAAAAATACAAAAATTAGCTGGGTGTGGTGGCGGGCACCTGTAATCCCAGCTACTCAGGAGGCTGAGAATCGCTTGAACCCGGGAGGCAGAGGTTTCAGTGAGCCTAGATCGCGCCATTGCACTCCAGCCTGGGTGACAAGAGCAAAACTCTGCCTCAAAAAAAAAAAAAAAGAAACATTTATGTTACTATATCACAAATGTGATTATCGGTTGATAACTGTATTTTAGTACAATGATTGTTTTTGCAATCCTATGTGTTCTATTTTATGTGTATATTTAAAAACATTCTGCAAAGGGGTCCTTTAGACTTCACTGGAGTGCCAGAGAGATTCATGGTACAAAAAGGAGTTAAGACCTTTCATAGTCAAGTCCTCCAAAACAAAGATACTATTCCTCCTCTTTGGGTGTGTAAAGATGTGTGTGTGTGTGGTCCACACACTGGTCTAATTTCCTAAATCGTACGATAGAACTCTGTGTGCCAGGTGACAAGAGTAGAGTCACCTACAGCCTCGGGAGGAGGAGCTGTGAAGGAAGTTTGCTCAGAGAAGGTACCATCTGTGCCCTAATGACACCTTCTAGTGTCTGCAACATTTATCTAACAAATATTTGGGTGCTCTTCTGTTGCCATTATCTTTAGGCATTGGGCAATCTGCAGTGAACAAAAAGGCTAGAAACCATGTCCTTGAGGGGTCAATTCCTAGTGGGGCTTGGTGGCTTTTCTATTCCTCTATGAGGTCTTCTCTGATTAGTCATGTTCTGTACTCATGGAAACATCCTGAGTTTGTAAAGCAGAAATATAAGTACAGGTGATACAGTTGTGTCTTGTTTCTGTTTGTTTCACCTCCCCAACCAGACATCAGGTTTACGTGTAAACGATCTATTTACCTCTGTTTTGCCATTCCTGAAAAGAGAGATCATGTGCATAAGGAGTTAAACAGAATAAGATAACATTTTTGTAAAGTAGTTAGAATAGTGCCTGGCACATAAAAACAGTACATGAGTATTTTTATTATGATTTTACCAATCCTAAATGCAAATGACTTCTTATTTAAAGAAAGAAAAGAGAAGAGAGGAAGGGACTCAACCAGGAGCCAGGGGTCCTTGTTCCCCCAGGTGACTGGAACTAGAGTGAAATACCAAGTTGACCTGGGAGGGCCTAGACATGCCGGAACTTACCAAAAGTCCGGTGGAGATTCTCTGAAAGAGAAACAAATGGAAATGGATTTAGTAGGGCACTCAAAAAGGATCTTTTATCCTGAGTCTTTGTTATTTAATTACTTAAAACTTGTTCTAGGCACGACACACCCACTGTAGAGAAAGGGAAACTGAGGGGAAAACAGGGTATTGAGAGGGAGAGACGGTCCAAGAACGGGACCATTTCCGTTATGCCAAAAAACCAAAAGGCAAGAATTGGGAGAAACGATGACTGGAACTCACCTATCTCTGCTCGAAGTTTTCCTAAAATAGAAAAAGGCAACATTTTAGTTCCTGCATGTTCTGGCTCTCGGTGGGGACCCTCCCACACCCAGCGCCTGGGCCCCTTGTGCAGGCTATTTCTCTACAGCCTGGAAACAACCTCAGGAGAGTAGGAAGAGCACTGGATTTAAAGCCAATGGTTGCGGCTCTTTCTCTAGCTATAGTCTAGATACAATAGCGAATAAAGAATGTGAGCAATGCTCCAAGCCAGCACAAGCATCCAATACATCCCAGCTGCTCTTCGCCCCTTTTCTTGGATTCTCAGTTCACAGAGCTGCTCCAGCCCACTGCGTTGCCACTTTGTTTATCTAAAGCCACTTCCCATCTGAATGAGGAGGGAGGAGCTGAACATTTAGTGAGTAGCTAGCTACTTTGTGACTGGATTTGTAGTAGGCACTTTGCATGACTTTAATCCTCCCTACAATTTAGGACGAAGGATGTTTTCTCTATTTGACAGACAAGGCAACTGAAGCTTGGAGAATCTAAGAATTTTGCTATAGAGTTCAGTACCTGAGATGGAATTCAAACCCAGGCTGCCTGACTCTAACATTCAGATTCTTTCTGCTCAGCCATGAGGGCTGAAGGCCTTTTTTTGTGTGGAAGAAGTAAACAAGCAGGCATCTGGGATGAATTCAAGGTGAGAGAAAGGACTTTGTTGTTGATCGCACCAACACCCATTCCCCCAGAACATTCCCCATACCCTCCTTGCTACTTTCTCCTCTCCTCTTAGTAACAAATGGGAGGTGGGGCATGGGGAGGAGTGAAGACTCTTCCTGCTCTGGCATTGGGGAGACACTTGGTAGGAGGAGAAGGCTCAGAATGAAAGCTCTAGGCAAAAAAGAGGAGCTTCATCAGCAGCTGAACCTGAGTCCTCAGTGTTGAATGGAGAAAGAGGAAACAATTTTCGAACGCCTACTGTGTGGTAGAGACTTTCACTTCAGTATCTTTATTCAAAACTCCTAATAGCCTAGACCTGTCTGACTTCGAAGCTCACACTCTCCCAAGTTGCATGGAGCTGCTAGGTATGATACAGAGGCCTCAGCTCTACCACTTATAAGTTATATCGGTTTGAGTAAGTCACTGAACTACTCCTGGCCTCAGTTGTATCCTCTGTAAAATGGGGTTACTATATGGCATAGTTAGCTCATAGGGAAATGCTAGGTCCGATTATTCATATGAAAGCATTCCGTAAGATGTAAAACTCTTTCATCATGGAGTTATTTTTTTTCTTTATCACTCAATAGTGAGAAGAACTTCTGAACCCAGAAGTCACTCACAAATACATGTTAAGTGGTGTAGCTCCAAGAAGCCAGCTCATTTAAAGAAAGGATCCTGATCCACCCACCCTCTGCCCTGTACCTCTCAGTCTGTACTGCAGGCAGAGGAAGACGAGGCCAACAGTGATCTGCAGGAGGAGCACAGGCAGCACCGCGAGGAGAACCAGCACTCCAGGGCTCACCCAGTAGAAAGGATCTGAAAGGCAGGACTGACATTTGACATTGTCCAGAGCTGAATCCCCAACACTCAGCATGGTGTCTGGGGCCCAATAAATCAGGTCAAATAAAGAAGTGAATATCATCAGGATTCAAAGAAGGTGACACAGAATTGGTCCCTGAGCTTAGCCCTAAAGGAAAAATGGCTTTTTTTTCCAGGAAATGCTAGTGATTTAGAATGACAAGTGGTTTAAAGTCAAGATTGTGTATTGGGTCAGGCTGGGGGAGTTTTAACGAGCAGCTAAGGGACTTACATCTGAAGTCCCTCAAGGGACTTTTTATTGACGACAAAGTCAAAGGTTCTCTTCATATTATTGTGGTGTATCGCCTACAAGCATAATTAAAATAAACACTAAATTTCAGTTTAAAGTTTACTGAAAATAAATATGTATTTCAAATATGTAGTTCAAGGCTGTGGTGGTGCACTGAAGGATTCCAAGCTGAGAAGTGACCACGTCAGATTTAGCACCTACAGGACTGGAGAACATAGGGAGAAATGTTAAGAGACTGTGATAACAATTAAAGTAAAAAACAACATGAACCTGAACTAGGACAGTGGTAATGGTATAGGAAGTCAGGGGATTCAAAGCTTAAATAGGGAATAAAAAATACATATTTATTTTCAGTAAACTTTAAACTGAAATTTAGTGTTTATTTTAATTATGCTTGTAGGCGATACACCACAATAATATGAAGAGAACCTTTGACTTTGTCGTCAATAAAAATCACAAATATTGGCCAGGTGCGGTGGCTCACACCTGTAATCCCAGCACTTTGGGAGGCCGAGGCGGGCGGATCGCCTGAGGTTGGGAGTTCAAGACCAGCCTGACCAACATGGAGAAACCCTGTTTCTACTAAAAATACAAAATTAGCTGGACGTGGTGGCACAGTCCTGTAATCCCAGCTACTCAAGAGGCTGAGGCAGGAGAATCGCTTGAACCCAGGAGGCGGAGGTTGAGGTGAGCCGAGATCTTGCCATTGCACTCCAGCCTGGGCAACAAGAGCGAAACTCCATCTCAAAAAAAAAAAAAGAAAAAGAAAAATCACAAATATTTTCACGTCACATTAGAAAAGTCACAGAAATCTCAAACTATCACTTATGTTCATTACTATTTTGAAATTACACTAATTAATAGGGTCACCCTAACTCTTGTTAATTTAATATTTTGATAACTGTATTTTGGTATAAATGTTTTATTTGGTGTATTTAAAACATTCTTCTGGCTAGGTGTGGTGGCTCTCCCCTGTAATCCCACCACTTTGGGAGGCCAAGGCAGGAAGATTGCTTGAGCCCAGGAGTTCTCGAGGCCAGACTGGGCAACATAATGTGAGACCCTGCCTCTACGAAAAAAAATTAAAAATTACCTGGGCATGGTGACACAAGCCTGTGGTCTCAGCTATTCAAGAGGCTGAGTCAGGAGGATCACTTGAGCCTGGGAGGTGGAGGCTGCAATGAGCCATGATCGTGCCACTGCAACCAATCCTGGGTGACAGAGTGAGACACTGTCTCAAAAAAAAAAAAAAAATTCTGAGATGGGTCTATCAACTTCATCAGCTTGCGGAAGGTGCATGACACACAACAAAAGGTTAAGAGCCCTCTTCTAGAGCTTTTAAGAAGGTAGTTTACAGCGGGCATGGTGGCTCACACCTGTAATCCCAGCATTTTGGGAGGCCAAGGTGGGTGGATCACTTGAGGTCAGGAGTTCGAGACCGGCTTGGCCAACATGGTGAAACCCTCTCTCTACTGATAATACAAAAATTAGCCAGACATGGTGGTGCAGCCTGTAATCCCAGCTACTTGGAAGGCTGAGGGAGGAGAATTGCATGAACCTGGGAGTTGGAGGGTGCAGTGAGCCGAGATTGCACCATTGCACTCCAGCCTGGGTAACAAGAGCAAAACTCCATCTCAAAAAAAAAATAAATAAATAAATAAAAGAAAAAAGAAAAAGAAGGTAGCTTACACAGGATTCAGTAACTGAACAGATGTGCAGACCTGGAGATGTGGAGTAGGTTGAGCAATGAGGGAGGGGGACCTTCACTTCTGTGGCTCCCATCTATTTCCCATTCTAGGTCTGCTCCTCAGCATCCAAAAGCCCCACTCTAATCTCCATGTGCCATGCTGCAGCTGAAGCCCTTTTCATCTTGATCTCTGCTTTAAGGGAGCTAAGTAAGGATAATGACATCAAAGGTAGGGATACATCACAGCTAATAACATTAAACTGGTCCAGGAGGGTTGCTTAGGTATAATTACAATCCTTCAAGCTGTAGACTAAGGCTCCTGTCTATCATTGTGTTCCCTAGGGGAAAATGCAGCTACCTTTACTTTCAAGTTCTTAATGGAAGTTACCTGTAGCAATGTGATTTAGCGAGTATGTACTTAAGGGTTTTTTTCTCCCAACCCCCCACATTTTTCCTTTCACAAATAATTAGAAAAGAGAGAAAAGCAGACATTATCAGCCTCCGGATGTAAAGCAACAAGAAGTATAGAGTATCACTGATGAACTATATTTGCCAAAGTAAATCAAACACAAATGTCATTGCACCTCCACATCTATCAGTTTACAGAAAAACACAGGGCATGGAGGACCGTATTACATAGCAACATGGGAATGTCGTCAACAAAATTCAGACCCTGGGAAACCCTAAGGGCAAAGGTCAACAGGTGGGTCTCATTTGAATCTCGCTAAAAGAAACCAACTGTAAGAGTATATTTATGAAACAATCAGGAAAATTTGAACACAAACTGGGTATTTGATGATATTAAGAAATTTTTGTTGAGTTTGTAAGATGTGATAATAGTATTGTGGTTATTTATTTATTTATATTATTGTGTGTGGGGAGGGGGGGCTTTTTTTTTTTTTTTTTTTGAGTCTCACTCTGTTGCCCCAGGCTGGAGTGCAGTGGCATGATCTCAGCTCACTGCAAGCTCCGCCTCCCGGGTTCACTCCATTCTCCTGCCTCAGCTCCCAAGTAGCTGGGACTACAGGCGCCTGCCACCACGCCAGGCTAATTTTGTTTTTGTATTTGTAGTAGAAATGGGGTTTCACCATGTTAGCTAGGATGGTCTCAATCTCTTGACCTCATGATTCGCCCTCCTTGGGCTCCCAAAGTACTGGGATTACAGGTGTGAGCCACCGCGCCCGGCCTATTTATTTTTTAAAAAGTGTTCTTCGCTGGGTGCAGTGGCTCGCGCCTGTAATTCTAGCACTTTGGGAGGCCGAGGTGGGAGGATTGCTTGAGCCTAGGAGTTTGAGACCAGCCTGATCAACATGGTAAAACCCAGTCTCTACAAAAAATACAAAACATTAGCAGTGTGTGGTGGTGTGTGCCTGTGGTCCCAGCTACTATGTAGGCTGAGGTGGGAGGATGGCTTCTGCCCGGGAGGCAGAGGCTGCAGTGAGCAGAGATATGCCACTACACTCCAGCCTGGGTGACAGAGACAGATCCTGTCTCAAAATAAATAAAAAGAAAAAAAAGAAATGATCATGCTGCCTAGGATTTACCTCAGTAATTGAGTAGGGGAGGGTGGTAATGAGTGGGGAGCCGGTGAGGTGGGTGGTCCCTGGATTGACAAGTGCTGCAGCAAGGTGGTAGGCACTTGGAGGCTCATTATAATATTATCTCTGGTTTGTATGTGGTTTTTTTTTTTTGAGACAGAGTTTTGCTCTTGTTGCCCAGGCTGGAGTGCAATGGCGCGATCTTGGCTCACCGCAACCTCTGCCTCCCGGTTCAAGCGATTCTCCTGCCTCAGTCTCTCAAGTAGCTGGGATTACTGGCATGTGCCACCACGCCTAGCTAATTTTGTATTTTTTAGTAGAGACGGGGTTTCTCCATGTTGATCAGGCTGGTCTCGAACTCCTGACCTCGGGTGATCTGCCCGCTTCGGCCTCCCAAAGTGCTGGGATTACAGGCGTGAGCTGCCGCGCCTGGCATTTGTTTTTATGTTTCATAATGAAGAATTTAAAGAAAGGATTAGAGACAACTAGTAATAAAATCACAAAAATGACAAGAAAAAAATAAGTAAACAAGAGAAATTAGAAACTCTTCAGAGAAAGAGCAGAGGTAGTTACACCTGAGACTTGCAATAATACCATTACTTCATCTCATTCCTAAATTTGTCTCAACTTCCTGGCTCCAAAGCCTAGACAAAGCGTCCCTTATTTACTTGTAAAACAGTTTCTTAGGCATGCAGACGAAGAGGTGGGAACAGGAGGTTGGAATGTGGATAGCAACCCAAAAGAGAACTTTCTCCCCTGAGGCAAAGTCTTTAGCTGCTTTTCTTTTTGTCTTCCTTGTTTTTTTTTTTTTTTTTTTTGAGATGGAGTTCCACTTTTCTTGCCCAGACTGGAGTGTAATGGCACGATCTTGGCTCACTGCAACCTCCGCCTCCGGGGTTCAAGCGATTCTCCTGCCTCAGCCTCCCAGCTGGGATTACAGGAATGCGCCACCACGCCAGGCTAATTTTGTGTTTTTAGTAGAGACAGGGTTTCTCCATGTTGGTCAGGCTAGTCTCGAACTCCCGACCTCAGGTGATCCACCCGCCTCGGCCTCCCAAAGTTTTGGGATTATAGGTGTGAGCCACCGCAACCGGCTTGTCTTCCTTTTTTGGTGTGGTGAAACTGAGGGAGTTTGTTGGGAGAGGCAGTTACTGAGCTAGGAAGTTGTTGAGCAGGAAGGAGAAAAATCTGCAAACTGGAGAGGGTCTCACTATCAAACTTTTCGGCAAGTAGAATTTCCCCAATAAAAACAGCTGTATGAAGAACATTCTGAGACACATAAAGCTATTTCCATATCCCTGCAGGCAGTCTCTAGAAATAGTGCTTTGTTGTTCCACATACAATGCCATCTTCTGGTCCCAGCACTGCAATGGTCACTCCCACCTCCAAGATACAATAGTGATCAATTGTCTGATGTTTGCACTGCAGGTGGGGAGGAGGAAAAGGCAGAGGATCTGACCCCCAGGCTCTCAAAGCAGTTTAGTTCCTCAATTAAATAGCAAGTAACTTTCAAAGCTCCCCCTCCATCGGCTTCACCTTGTCCACATCTTAATCATCCTGCGATAGAGCAAAAAATATTCTCCAAAATCACCCATCATGCAAAACATGTTGAAAATGAAATTCTGAGGCCGGGCACCATGGCTCATGCCTGTAATCCCAGCACTTTGGGAGGCTGAGGCGAGTGGATCACCTGAGGTCAGGAGTTTGAGACCAACCTTGACAACCTGGTGAAACCCTGTCTCTACTAAAAATACAAAAATTAGCTGGGTGTGGTGGTGGGCACCTGTAATCTCAGCTACTCGGGAGGCTGAGGCAGGAGAATCACTTGAACCCAGGAGGCGGAGGGCGCCATTGCACTCCAGCCTGGGTGACAGAGCGAGACTCTGTGTCAAAAAAAAAAAGAAAAGAAAGAAAGGAAAAAAAAAAGAAATTCTGCAATTCTGCAGAATGAAATAGTGGAGGTACAGCCAAAAGGTGACATCTCCTTTCTATAATTATATTTAGACATTTGATTTACTTGCTTATTCACTAGGACCAAGCACAGGTGTGTGTGTGTGTGTGTGTGTGTGTGTGCGCTCACAAATACAGGGTTTTTTTTTTTTTTTTGAGACGGAGTCTCGCTGTGTCCCCCATGCTGGAGTGCAGTGGAAGGATTTTGGCTCACTGCAACCTCCGCTTCCGGGTTCACGCCATTCTCCTGCCTCAGCCTCCCGAGTAGCTGGGACTACAGGCGCCTGCTACCATGCCTGGCTAATTTTTTTTTTTTTTTTGTATTTTTAGTAGAGACGGGGTTTCACCGTTTTAGCCAGGATGGTCTCGATCTCCTGACCTTGTGATCTGCCCACCTCGGCCTCCCACAGTGCTGGGATTACAGGCGTGAGCCACGGCGCTGGGCCCAAGGGTTTTTTTGTTTTTGTTTTTGTTTTTTTTAGAGACGGGTAGGGAGTGGGGGTGAAGGTCTTTGCTCTGTCACCCGGGTTGGAGTGCAGTGGTGCAATCATAGCTCACTGTAACTGCAAACCCCTGGGCTCAAGCCAGCCTCCCGTCTCAGCCTCCTGAGTAGCTGCGAGGCAAACCACCATGCCCTAGGGTTTTGTTTTTGTTTTTGTATCCTACAGCAGCTTGCTCTTATCACTCAATAATACCTTATAGAAGGCCTCCAAACCATCTGGCCTAGTGCTAAAATAATCTTTTTAATGCCTGCATAATATTCACAGTATGGCTACCATTGTTCATTCTGTCACTTACCTACTCAAAGGCATTGATTTTGATCCCAATTTCCTTGCTACTCTGAATAATGATGCAACAGACATCCCTAAGCATGAGTTTCTGTTTATTGATGTGTACATTTTTATGGAAATCATTCCCAGGACTGAGATGTTTGGGTTGAGGGATCTCATCTCAGTTGAGAGAATAATTGTTCTTGGCCACCCAACAGTTAATACCTAATATTATATGGCACTACTCACCTTCTACTTTCAATTCCATTGCTGCCTCCTCTTGGTAAGAATGATCTCGGAAGAAGCAGGTGAAACCTCCTTCATCTGAGAACCTTACATTCCGGATCCTGAGAGTCACCTTTCCCTCACCAATAGCATCTTTCAGCAGCTCTGTCCGGCCCCGATATTCAGGTGCCTGGTCTCCATCTTGGTCCTTGCCATTTCTGTAGAGATGAACCACCCTAGAGAAGGGGGGGCGGTACCACCCCACCTCCATGCCTGTAGCGTTCTTCCCAGGAGATATGCGACATGGCAATTCCACTTCATCCCCGACCAGAGCCCGGATAGGGTGTCTTGGTCCTATCACTCTGAACTGCCCTGTCCAAGACACCAAAAGGAAGAGATTTAAGGTCAGAGGGAACCTTGGCAAGCAAGCCTGTCATGAGAAGGGCTGCTTCAAAACAGGGAAGGAAGAAGACACTCGACTTTTAAATGACATTCTAGAGCCAGGGAGGATTGCAATTGTTCTTCTTCTTCTTCTTCCTTTTTATTTATTCATTTATTTTTTGAGACAGTCTTACTCTCTGTCGCCCAGGCTGGAGTGCAGTGGTGCAATCTTGGCTCACTGCAACCTCCGCCTCCCTGCAACCTCCGCCTCCCAGGTTCAAGTGATTCTCCTGCCTCAGCCTCCCGAGTAGCTGGCATTACAGGCACCTACCGCCGCATCCAGCTAATTTTTGTATTTTTAGTAAAGATGAGGTTTCACACTGTTGGCCAGGCTGGTCTCGAACTCCTGACCTCAGGTGATCCGCCTGCCTTGGCCCCAAAGCGCTGGGATTATGGGCATAAACCACCACACCCGGCCTCAAGTTTCCTTCTTGAGAACAACAACGACAAAAAAGACTCTGGTTATAGAGATACTGTGAATGTCCTGGACAGAACATTTTAGCAATCATCTCCTCTCAGCATCTGCCCATCTTTTTGCCAGCTGTAGCCATCTCTGACTCTTCAGCCCAGCCTTTAGGTTCCCTCTTGGAATGTGGCACAGCATCTTGAGGTTGAATCCTCCTATGGGCCTCCCTGTTAGGACTTGGCCAGATTGCTGCCTATTCTACCCTTAGAGGTTTTGCTTTTGTCACTCCATCTACTTTAACTGTCTCTCCATCACTTCTCACTATTCAGTCCTTGTTCATACCTTGTTTCCCAAATTCTCTTCTGAGATCTTCCACCCTGGGGATGGCTCTATTTCCCTCTTCCTTCCCCTGTATCTTCCACCTCACTGTGGCTCCCGGACCCTGACCCGAAAAAGTTCCTTTTTTCTATGTGGATGTGTTTCTCAAGTCAGATTCTGAGCTACTAAGAAATAAGGCTGCTTTCTCCCCTAGACCTGGAGAGTGGATGCACTGTGCCTCTGTCAGTCAGGTGGCTCCCTGAGGATGGGAAACTTTCTGTTTATTTCTCCTCTGCACGTGACAGCCGGGTTCCTTTATAAAAACCTACTGGTGCCTGATTATGCAGAGCAAAGTCTCAAACATGACAAGATATTATAATTCCACAAACATTTATTGAGATTTACTATGGACAGGCACTGCTAAGCATGTTACATATCTCATTTCATGTAATCCTGATGAGAACTCCAAGAGGTTGTTATTATTTTATCTCAATTTGAGAGGTGAAAAGACAAAGCTGGAAAGACAAGTAAGAAGTAGTTCAAGGAAAGCCTTGAGTTAGTCACATTAAGGAGTCTGGGTCAGACGCAATGGCTCATGCCTGTAATCTCAGCACTTTGGGAGGCTGAGGAGGGCAGACCACTTGAGGTCAGGGGTTCCAGACCAGCCTGGCCAACATGGTGAAACCCCATCTCTACTAAAAATAAAAAAATTAGGCCTAGTGCAGTGGCTCACGCCCATAATCCCAGTACTTTGGGAAGCTGAGGCGGGCGGATCAGCAGGTCAAGAGATCGAGACCATCCTGGCCAACATGTGAAACCCCGTCTGTACTAAAATACAAAAAAAAAAAAAAAAAAAAGAAAAGAAAAAATTTAGCTGGGTGTGGTGGCAGGCGCCTGTAGTCTCCGCTACTTGGGAGGCCAAGTCAGGAGAATCGCTTGAACCAGGGAGGCTGAGGTTGCAGTGAGCCGAGATCATGCCACTGCACTCCAGCCTGAGCAACAGAGGGAGACTCTGTCTCAAAAAAAAAAAAGAGTCTGGACTCCATCTTGAAGGCTGTAAGAACCACCCACGGAAGGTTTCTGAGGAAGGGAGGCATGTCAGTAGGTCTATGTTTTAGAAAGATAATATAGCAACTTGAGGATGTTTGAAGGAGCTAAGCCCCAGGAAACTAGCCTTTCTGTTTTCAGGGTCTCCCCAGGGCAGGAAAAAAAACATGTCTTACCTGCATAGCTGGAAGACACTTGGAGGAGGAGGAGGAGGAGGAAGGAGCAGAGGCAGCTGGGCAGAGAGGGTCTCGATAAGCTTGCCATCTCTACTGTTCCTGGGGACAGAGAGCCCCCGCAGCAAGGTCAGGCCAAGTGGAGGCCCTTGGGGTGCATGTCCCCTTACTGCTGAAAAGCCCAAGGGAAGATCTTGGAGGGCAGTGCTGCCTGGGCCCTGCCTCCACTCCGGTAATTGCTGCAGCTGTGCCCGCAGAAACAGCCCCACGTCACCCTTGCCAGGCACTCACACAAAAGGGCTACAGACTGAGGGGATGACCAGGGTTTGCCTTCCCCACCCCCCCAGAGCAATGGAGCAGAGGCTGCCTGGTACAGGGCTTTCCTCCCCCACTCCCTCCTGGAGATCCAACCTTTGAAGGGTCTTCTAGGGGCTAATCAGTGGGGCAGGATCACTTACAGGACCTTAGGAAGAGGCTTGTTCATGGAATATGTAAGCTTCCTCCAATCCACCCCAGCCCTACTGACTAGTCAAAAGAGAGAAATTATTATTGGTTCTTAAAAAAAGAAAGAAAACTTAGATTTCTTTTTCCTGTTTCTATTATCTCACAACTGTCATCACCAGACCATTCTTCTTAATGTCTAACCTCCCTTTCTTCTACCGCGAATCCAAACTCTGCCCTGTATGTTTGTATATGTGATAGGTCACTTGGGATTTGTTAGTTTCTTGTTCCCAAAGAATGTTTTTAGGGAAGTCATGAGATGAATGTCAGGTGTGCTCAGAGAGGCAAGGTTGGAGGAAGGGAGACCAGCAAGGGCAGCAACTAACTATGTCAGTCAACACAGGCAGAAGGGACAGAGCCAGCATACAGGACACGCTCTCCAGCCTTCACATCACTTGCCAGTTTCCTCAGTGTCACAGGGGAGAGTGAGATCTGGAATGGAAAATGACCTTTCTCTCACCTCTTGGCTCAGCTGAGAATTGCAAGTGTGAGACCAGCATTGGTAGCAGGTTCCAAAAATAGACTTCCCAATCTTAAGGCAAGTATGCCTCACCAAATAAGGAAAAAAGGCTCAATTTAGAGCCGTGCTGTCCAATGCAGCAGTCACTCCCTGCATGTGGCCACTTAAAATTAATTACAATTAAATAAAATTAAAAATTTGGTTCATTGATTACACTAGCCATGTTTCAAATGCTCAATAGCACTACAGTTAGTGGTTATCTCATCAGACAACACAAATACAGAACATTTCCATCGTCACAAAAAATTATATTGGGCAACACAAAAATTTATATTGGGCAGCAAGGGGTAGAAACACAACTGAGACATACATTTCTGCTTTTGTCCGAGATGGGCGTAAGGAGCTAGAAGGACATTAAGGTCAGCTGAGTTTGGGAACTGCTTATTCTTTCACCCTTCAAGGCAGCCAGCGTTTGGACACAAGCAATGTTTGGCTACTCTGGTGCTGTGTGGTTGAAAGTCAAGATTGCAGGGGTCAATCCCATGGAAAAAGTGGCCGCTGTGGATCTCTGGCTTTTTACCAAAGGGGTTTTTTTTTCTTCAAAAACCTAAAATGTCCTGGGACGCTCTTTCTCCCTGTTGCATATTCAGGTAGGAGAGTTATGCACAAGATGCTTCTGGGCAGGATTTGGGGGTGGTAAGATGTGTGCAATTGTCCAGCACCAAGCAAGCTGTCAAAAGCTGGATGGGAGATCAGGATGAGGGTGGAGGCATGTGGGAGCAGAGAGGGTCAGGAGCCTGCCGAGCCATCACAGCCACTTTGGAGAAATCACAGCATCTCTGAAAACAACAATAAAAAAAACTAACCACCTTACTGAGATATTCTATGTGCTGTGGTTCTAAGTGGTTTACTTGCATTAACACCTTTAATCCTCACAACAACAAAACAAATATTAAACTATTATCACCCATATCTTACAGGTGAGAAAAGGGAGGTACAAAAGAGGTAAAGGAACTTGCTAAAGTCACACCACTAGGGAGTGGCAGAGCTGGGATTTCAAGCCAGGCTTTCTAGTCCTAGAACTGGCTCTTTTAACCACCACAATACAAGGCCTCTGATGAGCTCAGCTTATTTACTTTCATGCCCTCAACTGCCTCAAATTTCCTGAAAGGGGAGGATTCCTGGAGCTGTGAGAGCAGTCCCTTGGCTGACATGGTCTTTGGGCAAAGGTGATATATACAAGGGAAGGCCAGAGGGGCCACCAGCAAAATGAAGCCAGTGGTGTTGCCACTTGCAGAAATCTGGGGTATAGGGGCTGGGCCCGCTCACGCCTGTAATCCCAGCACTTTGGGAGGCCGAAGCGGGCAGATTACCTGAGGTTGGGAGTTCAAGACCAGCCTGACCAACATGGAGAAACCCTGCCTCTACTAAAAATACAAAAATTAGCTGGGCATGGTGGCGTGCGCCTGTAATCCCAGCTACTCGGGAGGCTGAGGCAGGGTAATCCCTTGAACCCAGGAGGCGGAGATTGCGGTGAGCCAAGATCCCGCCATTGCACTCCAGCCTGGGCAAGAAGAGCAAAACTCCGTCTCAAAATAAAATAAAGAAATCTGGGGTATGGGAACATCAGGTATTGCCAGGAATAGAGCTCAGTGTAGATGTGTCCAAGAAGTGAAACCACCCTGTATCACCCTGGGAGCTGCTCATTTCTTTCAGCATTTAAATATTATTTTAATTGATTTTGTATAGCATATGTTATGAGATCCTGCAAGTATTCCTGAGTTCTTGAGTTGCCTCTTTTTTTCTTTCTTTCTCGTTTTTGAGACAGGGTCTCTCTCTGTCACAGGCTGGAGAGCAGTGGCGTGATCAGGGCTCACTGCAGCCTTTACCTCTCAAGTTTAAGTGAACCTTATGCCTCAACCTCCTGAGTAGCTGAAACTACAGGTATGTGCCAGCATGCCTGGCTAAATGAAAGCTTCTTTTCTTTTCTTTCCCTTGGTCTCAAACTCCTGGACTCAAGTGATCCTCCTGCCTCAGCCTTCTGAAATGTTGGAATTACAGGCTGAGCCACTACACCCAGCTCAATTTTCTTCCAGTGTTGCTGTCCTCAGTAATTTCAGCTTAATCTGCATCTCTCACCATGTCCAATGACAGACCATGTACACAGTAATATATTCAGAGTGACACATTGAATACAGTAAATGTGTGTGGTAATTTTTTAACATGCTCTATGCTGTCCATATGTGAAATAGTAAGCATTCAATAAATGGTAGCTTTCCTACATAAATACCCAGCAACAGTACTGTATAAGCTTTTACAGATAATCTGTAAAATATGTATCTTTACATTATTTATGTTATCAGAAGTGATAATAGACACCCTGTTTTGATTCTTGTTGTCTACTTAATTCATAATTCCACATTAATACATAATATGGCTTTTTTGTACTTTTGAAAATTGATTGTTAGCTGGACGTGGTGACATGCACCTGTTGAGCCCAAGAGAGAGAGGCTGCAGTGAGCACTGATCGTGCTGCTGCACTCCAACCTGTGCGACAGAGTGAGACCCTATCTCAAAAAAATTTTTTAAATAAAAATTGATTCTTATAAAGTAACATGCTTTGAAAATAAATCTCAGCCAGCTAAAGCCGATCTGTATTTTCTCTAAATCCTTCCGTTTGTATATATATACCACTAGAGGGCGCTCCACGAAAGTCACTGCCTGTGAGTACTGCAAGTAGCGCTCACACATCCCTCCCTCTCCCTTCTCCCACCTGTTTTACATAAATGGTAACAATTTATCTTGAAGCTCTTTCCTTATCAGTACCTAAAGAACATCCTTGTTATTTTTAAACAGCTTACAATATTTTATTGGATGAATATAATATAGTTATTTAAGTAGCATCCCAAGACATTTAGACTGTTTCAGTTTTTTAAATACCTATTTTTACTAGGATGAAGCAAAAATGTACTCAATTAATTTAAATCAATACATATTTAAAAGCAAGTGCTATGTGTCATACTTTATATTAGGCCCTGATTATAAAACTTTCAGCAAGGCAGACAAGATTCTTGCCTTTATGAGTTATATTCTAGTTGTATTGCAGTTATATTACAGTTATATGTTACCTAAAGGCACAAATTGATCAATGTCAGGCCATCATTTTCAACCTTTTTGCTCTTACATATAATTTGGCAATGAATATCAGTCTACTAAGGCCAGCTACATATTTTGAGGGGCAAAATGAAACTATGGAGCTCCTTGTTTAATAGCAGGAAAAGACCAGGTGCAGTGGCTCACGCCTGTAATCCCATCACTTTGGGAGGACCAGGTTGGAGGATCGCTCGGGCCCAGGGTCTCGAGTCCAGCCTTTACAACATAGTGAGACCCCATCTCTAGTTAAATAAATCTATTAAAAAATAATAAAATAGAAAATAAAAAGCAGAAAAAAAACCCAACCTTTTCCTTTTTTCTGTGGTTCCACTGTCAACCTATTATGTGGGGTTTTTTTCTTTTCTTTTTTTTTTTTTTTTTTGAGACGGAGTCTCGCTCTGTCGCCCAGGCTGGAGTGCAGTGGCGCAATCTCGGTTCACTGCAACCTCCGCCTCCCGGGTTCAAGCCATTCTCCTGTCTCAGCCTCCCAAGTAGCTGGGACTACAGGCGCTCGCCACCATGCCCAGATAATTTTTTTGTATTTTTAGTGGAGACGGGGTTTCACCGTGTTAGCCAGGATGGTCTCGATCGCCTGACCTCGTGATCCGCCTGCCTTGGCCTCCCATAATGGTGGGATTACAGGCGTGAGCCACCGCGCCCGGCCTTTTTTTTTTTAATTTAATGTCACACTCCAGGCACAGGAGTACCTAGGGGGAAGTGCAGATCTTCACAAGTGCCTAGGGCCATGCCTTCCATTTGGCAAGGGAGGTGTGTATGCCTGACCGCTCCCCTCCTTTCCACTGTTCCCAGGCCCCTGCTGGGAGCGAGCCTGCACAGAAGGTGGTGGAGCCGGCAGCTGAAAACCAGTCCTGGGGAGGCTGGGAGGCATGGGGAGCAGGACCTCGCTTGAGCCAGGCTCCAAAAGTCTCTAGCCCATGTTCTGCTTTCTCATCGGACTTCATTATAAGACACAAATTGAAAGATAAAATTATTAAGAATTTCAAGACAGGAACCACAGAGCTTTAGAACCCAAACACAGTATCCCTTCTAAGCATGGGGCCCTTGTGTGACTGCCCTGGTCACTCACCCATGAAGTTTACTCTGCTTTCTACACTGGTAGAATAGTTTGTTCAGAGAGCATGTTTTTTGGTAATTTCAATAAATATTGATAAATTGCCCTGCACAAAGTTGTATACTTCACTGTACCCTGGCTTTCTCCTTAGTGAGTGAGGGAATAATATCATCCACTTCATCAGGGTTATCATGAGAATGACATGAATGAGTCCCTGTGAACTGTGAATGGTACACAGTAACCACTCAGTAAATACAGTCATTAGCCCTTACATGCAGTGATTTTCTTCTGGAACTCCCTCTAGTGGCATAAATATAAAGAGGAATTCACGTTTTCTTTTCTACTTTTGTGGCCCTATTTCCCATAATATTTGTGTGTTTAAATTGGTCTAGATATTCCACTGAGGCTCAATGACCGATAGACTATAAAATGTCTAATTTACATCAATTTAGCCAGATGCTTCCTAGGTAGGTCGGAGAAATGAGAACACTGATCCGAATCAATGTGAGGCAGCTCCCAGCAAGTGAGCGCCTGTAGCATGTGTGAGCATGGGTGCTGTGGTGAATGCAGCCAGGGGCTGCTCTTTCATACTGCTTTATTTCTTTTTCTTTTCTTTCTTTTTTTTTTTTGAGACGGAGTTTCGCTCTTGTTGCCCAGGCTGGAGTGCAATGGCACGATCTTGGCTCACTGCAACCTCCACCTCCCGGGTTCAAGGGATTCTCCTGCCTCACCCTCCTTTGTAGCTGGGACTACAGGCACCCGCCACCACGCCCGGCTAATTTTTTGTATTTTAGTAGAGACGAGGTTTCACCATATTGGTCAGGATGGGCTCGATTTCCTGACCTCGTGATCCACCCGCCTCGTCCTCCCAAAGTGCTGGGATTGCAGGCATGAGCCACCGCGCCCGGCCATACTGGTTTATTTCTTTTTCTTTTTTTTTTTTTTTTTGAGACAGAGTCTTGCTCTGTCGCCCAGTCTGGAGTGCAGTGACACGATCTCGGCTCACTGCAAGCTCCGCCTCCCGGGTTCACGCCATTCTCCTGCCTCAGCCTCCTGAGTAGCTGGGATTACAGGGGTGCGTCACCATGCCTGGCTAATTTTTTGTATTTTTTTAGTAGAGACGGGGTTTCACCGTATTAGCCAGGATGGTCTCGATCTCCTGACCTCGTGATCCGCCCGCCTCGGCCTCCCAAAGTGCTGGGATTACAGGCGTGAGCCACCGCGCCTGGCCTACTGGTTTATTTCTTTAAGTAACACATACAGTGTAGAAAAATTAGAAACGATATGGAAAAATGTAGAGAACAAAAAACTAATTATGTTCTACCAAAGGTTTAAATTTTATCTATCAACATTTTTTCCATTTTTGTGTATTCCCTATTGTTAGTCTGAGATTCACCAATATTTTTATCTTTCAAAAGGAAAAACATTCAGCTTCTTGTGAGTCAAGTGAGTCAGGCACTGAGGCTTGCCCCTCCCCCTCCCCCCTCACCAAATGGGAATGGGTTTGCGCTGATTTTAATCAAACTGCTATGGGTTGTCCTGCGTAAGAGGCTTTGGGCTGTTCTGTAGGTCCCCGTGGGGTAGAACAGTTGGGTGCAAGACTCTGAAGGCAGATTTCAGCTCAAAAGAAAGAATTTTCCCTCCTTCAGAGCTGTCCAACCGTGGTGGGAATGAGTGGGAACTACGGGAGTGAGCTTCCCATTCCTGGATTTTCCAGCCAACATAGAACTGGAGGTTAGGCCACATTATCCTAATATTTTTGCCTAGCTGTAGGATGATACAAGAATATACATTTTCCTTCCCCATCTTCTCCCGCTTTTCCTCGCCTTCTTTCCATTTCTTTGGCCCCTTCGCTTTTCGCCACCTAGCGGCAGAATCTTGCTAGGTAAGGACCAGGAAGCTCTCCCAATCTGACCCGCAACAGCTGACGTCACGACTTCGCCACCGAGAATTGGTTGCCAGCAGCCTTTGGGGGCGGAGAATAAGGCGCAGATTATAAATAGGTCAAAGAGAGGTGCCTGCGAGCCGCGCAGTGACACCCCGTTCCTAAGGGCAGAGCTTTTCTTGCCTTTCGCTTCAGACCCACTGCACTTGGTTACGTGCTTTTCCTCCGCTGTCCGCTTCGTTTATCTGCTTTAACCCAGCCTGGGCTAGGTAGGCCTGAAGCCTATAATGTTGCTTGGCTGTTGCTCAGGAGAAGAAAGGCCCAGGTGGCCAGTTTGGCAACTGGCACAGTCCCTGTGAGCACCCACCTGCTGATGGTCCTTCTGTCACTACGTAGTCGCTCCGACGCCAGGAAAGTGCGGTGGTGGCCATTTTGGAACTGGGCAACTTTCACTTCGCCAATCATCTTGGGGTCTGGCCACCACAGTACTTTTTTTTCATTATTATTCTGGCAGAGAACACGTTATGGAGGGATAATTATGTAGCCTAGAATTTCTAGAGTTGTTTCAGGACTCATAATATCCTCATTCCAGAATATGAGAATATAGAAGCTTGGAATACTCAGATGCAAATTCCAGCACCACCCTTTCCTAATTGATTGAGGAACACATCTGACTCTAGTCTACGGTCCTGTGGAAAGACCTGTGACCCTAGGCAAAGAGCTTAAAGAAATCTCTCTTTTTTTTTTTTTTTTTTTTGAGACGGAGTTTTGCTCTTGTTGCCCAGGCTGGAGTGCAGTGGCGCGATCTCGGCTCACCGCAACCTCCACCTCCTGGATTCAAGTGATTCTCCTGCCTCAGCCTTCCGAGTAGCTGGGATTACAGGCTATGCGCCACTATGCCCGGCTAATTTTGTATTTTTAGTAGAGATGGGGTTTCTCCATGTTGGTCAGGCTGGTCTCGAACTCCGACTTCAGGTGATCCACCCGCCTCAGCCTCCCAAAGTGCTGGGATTACAGGCGTGAGCCACTGCACCTGGCCATGAAGAAATATCAATTTATTTAACTGCAAAATGATAATTCTGTCACCTCGTGGTGCTGATGTGAGGATTAAATGAGACAAGGTACATAAAGTGCTTAGGCCTGTGTCTGGCTCCCCCAAAAAACATAACACCTCTTGTGCAGCACCTGTGCTTAGAATGTTAGCCAGTGAGGGCAGGACTTCGTCTTATTTTCCCTGTGCCCTCCTGGGCATTGAATAGTGAGGGATACATATTAGAATAAGTTTGCTGAAAGAATGAATGACAAAGAATCCCTGCCTGTAGGTCTTCAGCCTTTGTATTCTATTATCTTTTAGGCTGTAGGCTCACCCTCAGGCATCTTCTTGCCACTCTAACCCCTATAGGCTGATAATTACACCTTTACTTGCTCTAGGTCACAGCAATCTGTTAACTACGAGATTAGTATTTTTATTAGTATTTTTGACTTTTTTTTTTTTTTGAGACATGGTTTCACTCTTAGAGTGCAGTGGCGTGATCTCAGCTCACTGCAACCTCCGCCTCCCAGGTTCAAGCGATTCTCCTGCCTCAGCCTCCTGAGTAGCTGGGATTTCAGGCGCCCGCCACCACCCTCGGCTAATTTTTGTATTTTTTTTTAAGTAGACGGGGTTTCGTCGTGTTAGCCAGGATGATCTCGATCTCCTGACCTCGTGATCCGCTCGCCTCGGCCTCCCAAAGTGCGGGGATTACAGGCGTGAGCCACCGCGCCCGGCCTAATTTTTGTATTTTTAGTAGAGACAGGGTTTCACTGTGTTGGCCAGGCTTGTCTCCAACTCCTGACCTCGTGATCTGCCTGCCCGCCTAGGCCTCCCAAAGTGCTGGGATCACAAGCGTGAGCCACCGCGCCCGGCAGATAATTTACTTATTATTTCATACACCACCTGATATATTTTCACAGTGAGCATATGGCCTTTAAAATAATGATTTTTTTGTTGTTTAAGTTACAAACAAACCTGAAAAAATATTTGCTTTTTAGAAATGCTCAGTTTCTGAAGGGACCTAAGTTTGCCTTGTAACTGGTACCATCTAATGGTCAAACTGAGCTATTGCGCTGAGGTTGGATACAGGAAGCTAAGGGAAGACAGGGATGTGGGAAGTTCAACAGGGGTATGCTATGGAATAGGGTGATAGAACTTTGTGGATGACATACCAACATCACTTGCTGAAGTTGTGTAGAGCTTATTCTTACTGAAACAGTAATCCAGAAATTAACTCATATCTAATGACTTGGTGGTATAGCATACCAACACTTTTATGCCAGCCACTGGAGAAAAAGTGTGTTCCTATAGCATTTTCACATTCTGAAAACATTTGTCTATGATTGTATTTATTTCTCACAATAGTATGTGAGTTAAAGATATCAAATAGTTTTATTCTTATTTTACAGTTGATGAAATTGAGGCCAGACGGGTTGTGACAGGCTCAAGGTCAGTCAGAAAACCATTGTCAGAGCAAGACCAGACTGGCATTCTTTTTCAGGTGTTTCTGCTGCAATTGGGGGCAGAGATATGCAGGCTTAACTTTTATAAATATAAAAGATGCTTTATTGGGAAACGTGAAGTAGTGGTTCTCTGAGTTTTTTGTACCATTTCTTAGCCTTTTTGTTTTATGCAATTTTTTATTTGCCCCAACCTGAACTCTATGTTTGGAGAGGTGATTTTCAGCAACAAAGCTAAATTTATGTATAATTTATTTCTTTTTCTTTTATTAATCAAACGTGTTTTAACTTGTAACTTTTCTTCTAAAGTCAGCATCATGTGTATACATATGCAAATAATTCCACTCCAAGGTAAGGAAACTTTAAGGATATTTTAATTAGTGCTCACAACAAATATGTGTATCTGTTCTGATTTTTAAATAATAAAGATGGAGCATGACTTTCTTCTTCTCTTTCTGTATTCCAGTTTTAAAATCATTGGCTGGGTGCAGTGGCTCATGCCTGTAATCCCAGCACTCTTGGAGGCCAAGGCAGGCGGATCACTTGAGGAAAGGAATTTGAGATCAGCCTGGCCAACATGGCAAAACCCTGTTTCTATCAAAAATACAAAAAAGTAGCTGGGCATGGTGGCATGCACCTGTAGTCCCAGGTACTTGGGAGGCTGAGATGGAAGGACTGTTTGAGGCTGGTTGACACAGTGAGACTCCCATCTCAAAAAGAAAAAAAAATCACCATACCACATTGTAGGAGCTATGAAGGCTGACATCATGCTTAGCTCATGTGTGTGATCCCAAACTGCCCTATTCCATAAATATTTATTGACTAAATGAGAAAAAAATCTTACAACCAGGTAAGATTTCTTTTCTTTTCTTTTCTTTTTGAGACCGAGTCTTGCTCTCTTGCCCAGGCTGGAGTGCAGTGGCGCGATCTCTGCTCACTGCAAGCTCCGCCTCCCAGGTTCACGCCATTCTCCTGCCTCAGCCTCCCGAGTAGCTGGCACCCGCCACCATGCCCGGTTAATTTTTTCTTGTATATTTTGTAGAGACAGGGTTTCACCATGTTAGCCAGGATGGTCTTGATCTCCTGACCTCATGATCAGTCTGCCTCAGCCTCCCAAAGTGCTGGGATTACAGGCGTGAGCACCGCGCCCAGCCATAGCCAGATAAGTTTCTTTTGCACACCTGTACTACTTTTAATGGTAGTTATGGCAGGTCATATTAAATAACAATAATATTTTCTGGGCCAGGCATGGTGGCTCACCCCTGTAATCCCAGTACTTTAGGCAGGAGGGTCATTTGAGGTCCAGAGTTCAAAACCAGCCTGGCCAACATGGCGAAACCCTGTCTCTACTTCAAATACAAAAATTAGCCAGGCATGGTGGTGCATGCCTGAAATCCTAGCTACTGGGGAGGCTGAGGCAAAAGAATTGCTTGAACCCTGGAGGCAGATATTGCAGTGAGCTGAGATTGCACCGCTGCACTCCAACCTGGGTGATTTTATATATATATATATATGTAAATATATATATTTAGTTTTCTTATGAGCCCCTTAAGAATAATATCAATACACAGGCAGAAAAAAAGCATTCCAAGATCTTTTTTTTCTTTTCTTTTTTATTTGAGATGGTGTCTCACTCTGTCACCCAGGCTGGAGAGCAATGGCGCAAACTCAGCTTACTGCAACCTCTGCCTCTCCGGTTCAAGTGATTCTCCTGCCTCAGCCTCCTGAGTAGCTGGGATTACAGGTGTCCACCACCACACCTGGCTAATTTTAGTATTTTTAATAGAGACAGGGTTTCACTATGTTGGTCAGGCTGTTCTCGAACTCCTGACCTCGTGATCTGCCCACCTTAGCCTCCCAAAGTGCTGGGATTACAGGTGTGAGCCACCGCGCCTAGCCTTTTTTCTTTTCTTCTTCTTCTTCTTCTTCTTTTTTTTTTTTTGATAGAGATGGGGTTTTGCCATGTTAGCTTCAAACTCCTGGGCTCAAGCAATCTGCCTGCCTCAGCCTCCCAAAGTATTGGGATTACAGGTGTCAGCCACTGAACCAGGCCTAAAACTTTATTTTCTAAAGTTGAAATAACTTCAGGATATAATTTAGAGATATCATGACTCCTTGGGGTCCAGAGAAGAAAATCACTCAGGAGTTAAAATTAAGAGAAGGGTCAGGCACAGTTGTGAGTGCTGTAGTCCCAACTACTCAGGAGGCTGAGCAGGAAGAATTGGTTGAGGCCGGGAGTTCAAGAGCAGCCTGGGCAATAGAGTGAGACCTGTCTTTTAAAAAAGTAAAAATAGGTCAGGCGCGGTGGCTCACACCTGTAATCCCAGCACTTTGGGAGGCCGAGGTGGGCGGATCATCTGAGGTCAGGAGCTCAAGACCAGCCTGGGCAACATGACAAAACCCCATCTCTATTAAAAATACAAAAAATTAGCCATGTGTGGTGGCACACGCCTGCATTCCCAGCTACTCAGAAGGCTGAGGCAGGAGAATCACTTGAACCCAGGTGGAAGTTGCAGTGAGCCGAGATCGCATCTGCATTCCCAGCTACTCAGAAGGCTGAGGCAGGAGACTCACTTGAATCCAGGAGGTGGAAGTTGCAGTGAGCCGAGATCGCACCATTGCACTCCAGCCTGGGCAACAAGAGTGAAACTCCACCAAAAAAAAAAAAAAAAAAGTAAAAATAAAATCACAAGGAATGGTTGGAGGAGCCCAGCCCATTCTATTTGTACCTCTATTTTGAGCCATTTCATCCTCTTCCCTGACCAGTTCATCCATCATCCCTCCTCCCCATTAACCACCAGCTTACCTTGTACTCTTCAGTCTTAGAACCCACATTACCTTCAATCTTCTTTGTAAAATGTTGGTAAGAAGTTAACAAATTCAGGCCGGGGGTGGTGGCTTATGCTTGTAATCCCAGCACTTTGGGAGGCCGAGGTGGGAGGATCACTTGAGGTCAGGAGTTCAAGACCAGCCTGGCCAACATGGTGAAACCCCATCTCTACTAAAATTACAAAAATTAGCTGGGCGTGGTGGTGCATGCCTATAATCCCAACTACTCAGGTGGCAGAGGCACAAGAATTGCTTAAGCCCAGGAGGTGGAGATTGCAGTGAGCCAAGCTTGCACCACTGCACTCCAGCCTGGGTGACAGAGCAAGACTGTTAAAAAAAAAAAAAAAAGTTAACAAACTCAAATTCAAGAATGCTTTCTTAATACATTTCTCCTGTTATTTTCCATTTTTCCCATGGTGGAAAATAGAAAATAGGATGGCATCACTTGAGTTGGGCATAGGGAAAGAAATTTCAAACAGGGCATGAGTTCTAGGATTTAGAACAGCTAATGCAGGAGTAGAGTTAAAGAAGATACCCCACCTAGCCTAGCCTGCTAGCTGCTTGACAGTAACCAGGGATAACAGGGGAACAGTTAAGGTTCTTCAGATCATGGTCTCTTTCTTTTTCTTCTCCCCTCCCCCATCCTACTTATAATTATTCAGACAGAATGAAAGTTTGCTGCAGGCACAGGTGAAAATTTTCCACCCGTGTCCCTATTTCATAGCAGGATCTTAAGATAAGACCAAGGAGAATGATCTTTGGAAAAGTACTTTCTTAAGAGCAGCGAATGGCTGAACATAGTGGCTCATGCCTATAATCCCAGCACTTTGAGAGGTCAAGGCGTGTGAATCACCTGAGGTCAGGAGTTTGAGATTAGCCCGACCAACAAGGTGAATCCCCATCTCTACTAAAAACACAAAAATTAGCCAGGCGTGGTGGCAGGCATCTGTAGTCCCAGCTACTCGGGAGGCTGGGACAGGCCTGGGAGGCAGAGGTTGCAGTGAACTGAGATTGCGCCACTACACTCGCCTGGGCAATGGAGCAAGACTCCATCTAAAAAACAAAACAAAACAAACAAACAAACAAACAAACAAACAAAAAAGCAGCGAGAAGAGAGAGAAGAGAAGTAAGGCCCTCTTCCTGGTAACATCTTGCTCTACTCCTATTCCCGATGTGGGCCACCATTAGCGCTGCTATGTGGAGCAGAATTTGTGCATGCACCAGAGATTATACTTGCAATGCTATCAAAATACTCATGGGTGGTGGGGGATGCACAGAGGTCTTGCCAGGTCTAATGCTGGTGAGGAAGCTTTAGTTTGCTAATGGTAAGGGCTACTGGGCAGTACAGTAAGGGTACTGAGCATAGTAGCATCATGGACAGCAAAATGGCAGCACCTACAAATAACGCAAGTAAGTAAAGTTATTGCTAAAAGAAAATATTCAGATAAACACTGGTAAGTCTTTTTGGAGAGTGATTCTGCCTATGGCTCAGCCAAGGCCCCCTGCTCTATGGCAGGGTGAATCTTCTGGATCTTCTACTAACAGAAATCTTACCCACATAGTGATAACCGCAGTGATTTAATCCTTAGCAGCATTGCTGATATGCACAGGACTCTCAGGGAGAGAGACCCCTGGGTGCCTTGAGGGTGCTTTCCACATCTTGTCATTGGGCTGAGCAGGGTCTTTGGAATCACTAATCTCATGTTGGCTTGTTACATGTGAGACACTGTGCAGATTATTAAACATGTTTGAGTTTCAGTTTTCCCATTTTGTAAATGGGAAGACTAATATCTATATCAGAGAATGCTATAAGGAGCAAGTGAGACAATCCAAGTAAAACACACAGCCCAAAACTGGTTATAGTAAAATAAATGCTATTATTATTATTATCCTGTAACTTATAGGGTGGAATGACTTAAATGTGTTTAGAATGTGTCACTATTATGGCCCATGGAACAAAGCAACCCATTTTACCAATACCTAGTAGGTCTTCAACAAACAACAGAGACCGCTAGATTAATAGACTTGGAAACTGGTGTGATCATTCTGTACAATGGAATGAAACTCATCTCTGAGTCAGAAAATATGTAGCTCTTTTAGTGGGATAAAATGAGCCACATAGTCAAAATCCCTGCCCTCCTGGAGTTTATGGTCTGGTCAGGAAGGCAAATGTAAATACACGATTCCACAGTTACCTTAATTACCACTGAGATAAGTTTTGTGGTTTTATTTTTATTTTGAGACAGAGTCTCTCTCTGTCACCCAGGCTGGAGTGCATTGGCATGATCGCAGCTTACTGACCTTGACTTCCTAGGCTAAATCGATCCTCCTGCCTCAGCCTCCCAAGTAGCTGGGACTACAGGCTCATGCCACCACACTCGGCTAATATTTTTAATTTTTGGTAGAGACAGGGTCTCCTCATGTTACCCAGACGGAGATAAGTTCCTTCCTTCCTTCCTCCCTCCCTTCCTTCCTCTCTCCCTTCCCCTTCCCCTTCCCTTCCCTTTAGCATGCACCACCACCCCCAGCTAATTTTTGTATTTTTAGTAGAGACGGGGTTTCACCATATTGGTCAGGCTGGTCTGGAACTCCTGACCTCAGCTATCTGCCTGCCTCGGCCTCCCAAAGTGCTGGGATTACAGGCATGAGCCACCACACCCACATGGATTTTGATTTTCTTTTCTTTTCTTTTTTTCTTTTCTTTCGTTTCTTCTTTTCTTTCTCTCTCTCTTTCTTTCTAAAAAACAAACAAACAAAACAATGACTACAGTATGCCATATATGAGAGTGGCTAGTGGGATTGGGGAAACAGTGTTCTAAGTCTGGGGAATTCAGGGGAGGCTTTACTGAGGAGGTGCCATTTAAGCTGTTAGCAACATGGGTGTGGGGTGAGGAGGCTGAACAGAGCACCACGCCCAGGCAGAGGGAGCTGGGTGTGTTTGGTTTCTGAGTTGAAAGTTAAGGAAGTTTAAAGAACAGCAGTCAGACCACCATGGCTGGAGCACTGTTAGTGAAGGGCAGAAGGACCTGAGACTTGACTTTGAGGCCAAGCTCTGGTATTTATTGGCTGTGTGATCTTATGAAGTTCATTCAAACTTTCTGAGCTTCAGTTTTCCTATCTGACAAATGGAGATATTATCATATAGAAACAACAGAAAGAATTAGAAGAGCTAATGTGAGAATTCTTTGTAAATTATGCACCAATAAGGTATTCAGTTTCTGCACAGATCTAGGTGTAACAAATACTGAAAGCATCTGAAGGTGTGTATGAGTCATGTCTGCTTTTTAGGTCTTCAGAGTGATGGCTTAGAAAGACAGGCAAGGAAGAGTAAACTCAGCAGGTGTTTGTTTACTCTCAATTGCTAAAAGCCAAGCTTGCTTCACATCTGTTCCAGGCTTTCCCTCCACTAGGACTCAGTGGTTCCCGTGGTTCTCTGGACTAGGGTAAGATTAATCTGACCTGCTGTAATAGGGTCATGGATGTGACATGGTCAGGTTTTCATACATAGCCTTTATGGAGATCCTTACTGGCATTTTAAAATTTATTTTATTTTATTTTATTTTATTTTGAGATGGAGTCTTGCTCTGTCGCCCAGGCTGGAACGCAGTGGTGTGATCTCGGCTCACTGCAACCTCTGCCTTCCAGGTTCAAGCAATTCTCCTTCCTCAGCCTCCCCCGTAGCTGGGATTACAGGCACCTGCCACCATGCCCAACTGATTTTTTGTATTTTTGGTAGAGACGGGGTTTTGTATTTTTGGTAGAGATGGGGTTTCGCCATGTTGCCCAGGCTGGTCTCGGACTCCAGTTCAAGCGACCCACCCGCCTCGGCCTCCCAAAGTGCTAGGATTATAGGTGTGAGCCACCACGCCCAGCCCTCTTACTGGCATTTTTATCATATTTCCATGAATAGAATTTCTAGTCTGTTGCTTCAGATTTGTTCATTTGACTTCTAAAACATCTATCTGTAAACATCTTCTCATGTTTATAAACAGTTTCACATATCCTTTTCTGCAATTCCAAAATTCACAATACTCTGAAAACCAAAATTTTGTAACTCATTTGGCGGCAAAGCCTGGCCTGACTTGCATTCATTCTGTGACAAAACGAGATGTGAAGCTATTTATAGTCTTTCTTTACCTCATCTAGTGTAAATAGCCATACATTTAACGTGAAAATATATTTTTGCTTATTATGGGCTTTAGACCTGCATACACATATTAAATGATAGATTTTTGAGTATTGTGTAGCTTCTAATAGAAAAATCTGGGTGATATATCCTTTTACTCTGAGTATTATTTCATTAGTGTGCTTCGAATAAGTGAGCAATCATTTTAGGTACTTGAACAGAATATGACGAGAGACAGAAATCTATTGCAGCAAAATGAACAAACAAATCCCCTAGCAACCAATTATATACACACATTATGATGCATACGTTTTTCAGATTAGTATGAATAATTATTTGTAGATATTCATACCAGTATATACTTAATTACACGTTTAATTAAATATAATACTTATTTTGAGATCTTCAAAATGCTCATTAAATTTGTGTTTATGAGAACTGAACCTTTTTTTTTTTTTTTTTGGAGACAGTTTTGCCTGTTGCCCAGGCTGGAGTGCAATGGCACAATCTCAGCTCACTGCAACCTCCAGCTCCTGGGTTCAAGCGATTCTCTTGCCTCAGCCTCCCGAGTAGGTGGGATTACAGGCATGCACCACCATGGCCGACTAATTTTGTATTTTTAGTAGATGGGTGGTTTCTCCATGTTGGTTAGGCTGGTCTCAAACTCCTGATCTCAGGTGATCCGCCCGCCTAGGCCTCCCAAAGTGCTGGGATTAAAGGCATGAGCCACGGCGCCCGGCAGGAGAACTGAACCTTTTCTAAGTCTTTTAACATGACCTCATTATCCTGTAGATGAACGGACAAAGAAGCTATTTTCCTTTTTGTTTCTTAGGTTAATCTAGCATTTAATTACATTGTGTTCATTCACTTATTATATAAAGGTGTACTTATTGAGAAATTATTTCTAGAGGCAACTTCACAATGTCAATGTTGTAATTTGGTTATTGGCTCTGTGCACTCCTGAGACAGGGGTAGGATCCCCACTGCCTCAGGGATTCTTGTGTGTGAGAGTGGTAAGTGCTAGTGCAGGTACTCATAGTGTGGCTTTTTAATTTCACTGAAGTTTTGTGACTCCCAAACTGGGCTCACCTGTACATGCCTGTAAAGACATGATAGAAATAGCTTCATGAGCTTACTTTTATTGGCACAATAAACCAAGGCCAGAACTGCCAAGAATGTACAACTGCTATGGTCTGAATGTTTGTGTTCCCCCAAAATTCATGTTCTGAAACCTAATCCCCAATGCAATGTGGTATTAAGTGGTGGGGACTTTTGCAAATGAGATTAGTGCCCTTCTAAAAGAGGCCCCAGGGAGCTTGTTTGCCCTTCCACCATGTGAAGACACAGCTAGATCGCAGATGGCAGATGGCAGTCTATGAGGAAGCCAGCCCTCACCAGACACTGAATCTGCCAGTGCCTTAATCTTGGATTTCCCGGCCTCCAGAACTGTCAGAAATACATTTCTGTTGTTCATAAGTTACCCGGTGCAAGAGATTTTGTTATGGCAGCCCAAACAGACGAAGACAGCAACCAAACTAGGATTGTGTGTGGGGAGCAATAGAGAGGGTTTATTAACGAAAGATGTTCCCTTACTCTCTCTCTTTTTTTTTTTTTTTTCCTGAGACGGAGTTTCACTTTGTCGCCCAGGCTGGAGTGCAGTGGCTCGATCTCTGATCACTGCAAGCTCCGCCTCCCAGGTCACGCCATTCTCCTGCCTCAGCCTCCCAAGTAGCTGGGATTACAGGCGCCCACCATCACGCCCAGCTAATTATTTTTTTTGTATTTTTAGTAGAGACGGTGTTTCACCGTGTTAGCCAGGATGGTCTTGATCTCATAACCTCGTGATCTGCCCGCCTTGGCTTCCCAAAGTGCTGGGATTACAGGCATGAGCCACCGTGCCCGGCCTACTCTCTTACTTCTTTCTGGCCCAGTGATTCTGAGTGCCTGTGCCTATCAAGACGGGAAGAAAGAGAACACACAAATGGAAACTGAGGGGAAGGATCAAACAGTTTCACAAAAATATCCTATTTTAGTGATATTAAATATGATGCAAAGGATTCAAAACCTCACTAAAAAGCCAGAGTGAATCCCAGAGTGTAAATAACTTCACGTTTGAATAATAAACCTTTGCCCTATACATTTTTCTAAAGAGCAAGAGCTGTTACAGGACAGAAAACTCTCCCAGAAGACAGGTCTTTCATCCTAACCCAAGAGGACATGAACATCTTCCATTCACCCAGTGATCACCACTACTTTAGATGAGAGAATAGAACTGCAGTTTGACCCTTGACAGAAAATGCCTTGGAGCCGGGTGTGGTGGCTCACACCTGTCATCCCAGCACTGTGGGAGGCCGAGGTGGGCGGATTACGAGGTCAGGAGATCGAGACCATCCTGGCTAACACAGTGAAACCCCGACTCTACTAAAAATACAAAAAAATTAGCCGGGCATGGTGGCGGGCGCCTGTAGTCCCAGCTACTCGGGAGGCTGAGGCAGGAGAATGGTGTGAACCCGGGAGGCGGAGGTTGCAGTGAGCCGAGATTGTGCCACTGCACTCCAGCCTGGGCAAAAGAACAAGACTCCGTCTCAATAAAAAAAAGAAAGAAAGAAAGAAAGAAAAAGACTTGGAGTGGGAGTTGGGTGAGAGAAGTGCCTCAAAACTAAGCCTCTCAATGCAGTAGAAAGAATTTGAAAATAGGGTAACGAACTTAAGTTCAAATGTTGGCTCTGTCAGCTTTATAGCTGTGTGACCTCTGATTTGCTTCTTACTTTCTTTAAATGGTAGTTTACTAGGCTCAGTATAGAACATGAATATCCACTCTGTGTGGTTAGGTGAGAATTTAATGAGATACTCCCAAAATGTACCTAGCATCTACCTGATCATCAATCAAGTGAACTACGTTGGTTAATATGTTTTCAGGGCTCCCAGAGTGTTAAATTCTGGGCTATATGCTCTCAGGGATGGATGGAAGATGAGGCAGAAGAGAGAAAAGGAAGTAGAAAGAAAGTATGGGAGGCCAGGCCCCGTGGCTCATGCCTGTAATCCCAGCACTTTGGGAGGCTGAGGCGGGCAGATCATGAGGTCAGGAGTTTGAGACCAGCCTGGCCAACATGGTGAAACCCCGTCTCTACTAAAAATACAAAAAATTAGCTGGGCGTGGTGGTGGGGCGCCGGTAATTCCCAGCTACTCAGGAGGCTGAGGCAAGAGAATTGCTTGAACCCAGGAGGCAGAGGTTGCAGTGAGCGAGATCGCGCCACTGCACTCCAGCCCGGGCGACAGTGTGAGACTGTCTCAAAAAATAAATAAATAAATAAAATAAAAATAAATAAATAAGAATAAAAAATAAAAATTATTAAAAAAAAAGAAAGTATGGGAACTAAAATGAATAAGATTTGTCATTTTCCAGTAATCTGAGTAGGAACTCCACTATCTCTATGAAAAACCGTCAAAAACTACAAAAGGAGATGGCATTGCCAAAGGCACAAATTGTACAGAAGTGAGAGAAGGATGGGATCAAGCCTGGGGATCCTTCCAGAGGAAAGAAGTTTTGTGCTTGATGTAAAAGGAAAAGAAGGAAGTAGATTGATTGTGGGGAGGATGAAATTAGGATACTCAAGTAGTGGTTCTGGAAGGACCTCTACAAATATCCTGAAAAATATGGCCAGGAATCCTGGCAGTGACATTGGAATATGAAAAGATGTGAAAGGGGGAAGTTGTAGCTACTGGTGGAAAAAGGTGAGTGGTTTGTATAATGAACATAATTGGAGCCCTTGTCTGTACCCTCAAATGCCTCTGCCTCCCAAACAAGTAACAGATTTTAGCTATACTGATGCAACTTGCTAGGAAGGTTTTCTTTAAACCTTTATAAATCAATTAAAAATGATTTATAGAGGAGACACTTGTAAAACATTTGAATAAAAGTTGAACAACAAATATGACGAAAGAAAAGTGTGCAGGCCCCGCACAGTGGCTTATGCCTGTAATCCCAGCACTTTGGGAGGCTGAGGCAGGTGGATCACCTGAGGTCAGGAGTTCGAGACCAGCCTGACCAATATTGTGAAACCCTGTCTCTACTAAAAATACAAAATTTAGCCAGCCATGGTGGTGTGCACCTGTAGTCTCAGCTACTCGGGAGGCTGAGACAGGAGAATCGCTTGAATCCAGGAGGCGGAAGTCGCCGTCAGTCGAGATCACGCCATTGCACTCCAGCCTGGGTGACAAGAGTGAAACTCCGTCCCCCCACCAAAAAAAAGAAAGAAAAAAAAAGAAAAGTGAGGGTGGAGGGAGGGAGAGCACGACGTGCGCGCACCCTCTCCCCTTGTCCACTGCTGCCGCCTCCTTCTTCTGCCGCTCCTGGTGCTGCTTGTGTGCTCGTTTGGAGCGGACCTGGTACCTCTTTTGTGAAGCGGCAGCTGAGGAGACTCCGGCGCTCGCCATGGCCGAAGAAAAGCCCAAGGAAGGAGTCAAGACTGAGAACAACGATCATATTAATTTGAAGGTGGCGGGGCAGGATGGTTCTGTGGTGCAGTTTAAGATTAAGAGGCATACACCACTTAGTAAACTAATGAAAGCCTATTGTGAACGACAGGGATTGTCAATGAGGCAGATCAGATTCCGATTCGACGGGCAACCAATGAAACAGACACACCTGCACAGTTGGAAATGGAGGATGAAGATACAATTGATGTGTTCCAACAGCAGACGGGAGGTGTCTACTGAAAAGGGAACCTGCTTCTTTACTCCAGAACTCTGTTCTTTAAAGACCAAGATTACATTCTCAATTAGAAAACTGCAATTTGCTTCCACCACATCCTGACTACTACCGTATAGTTTTCTCTATTCTTTCATTTCCCCCTTCCCCATTCCTTTACTGTACATAAAGTAACTGGTATATGTGCACAAGCATATTACTTTTTTTTTTTTAAACTAAACAGCCAATGGTATGTTTTGATTGACATCAAGTGGAGACGGGGGGGAAAATACTGATTCTGTGAAAATACCCCCTTTCTCCATTAGTGGCATGCTCATTCAGCTCTTATCTTTATATTCCAGTAAGTTATTTTGCTCTCACTGTTTTAACAACAACAACAAAAAAACAACAACATAAAAATCCTTGCATACCTTGTTCAATTGGAGAATTTTAATGTTTTTCATTTATCATTGTAAAACCAAGGACAATTTTATAACTTTTTTGTACTTAGCTGTTACATGCAGAGCAATCTGTCTTTAAGTAGGGATAAATTACTCTAAAACAAAAAAGAATCCTAGATAGTTTTCCCTTCAAGTCAAGCGTCTTGTTGTTTAAATAAACTTCTTGTTTAAAAAAAAAAAAAAGTAAAAAAGAAAAGTTATGCAACAATTAATGGCCCAGAGGCAATCCTTGTTAACATTTTGATGCATCTTTTAGCTGTTTTTTTTTTTTTTTTTTTTTTTTTGACTGAGTTTGACTCTTGTCACCCAGGCTGAAGTGCAATGGCATGGCATGATCTTGGCTCACTGCAACCTCCGCCTCCCGGGTTCAAGTGATTCTCCTGCCTCAGCCTCCTGAGTAGCTAGGATTACGGGCATGCACCACCATGCCTGGCTAATTTTGTATTTTTAGTAGAGTTGGGGCTTCTCCACACTGGTCAGGCTGGTCTCGAACTCCCAACCTCAGGTGATAAGGGAAGGGGCACTATTGACATTTATGGTTGGGGCAGAGGTGTAAGATATTCTTCAAAGCACTACCTACATGTTGAAGAATTGTTCCTCACCCAGATTCTCAAAAGTCCCCCAGGACATTCACGTAGTGAAAACCTGTGTTTAATTATCTGAGCCTATAACTTAATACAGTTTTAAAATTTTTTTTTAAATATACAGTGAACTTTCTAGGAATGCAATTATAGTTGTGTGTAAAATTAGGGAAAATTAACTTTGCTACCAAGAGTTGTTCAACATTTTGTTAAATCACTTCATTGATGGCAACATGCTGGAGGTAGTTGAGTCACCAACTCAGCACCTGGATCAGCCTGTGTTGGTAGCAGTTTCATCCCCGTGGTTCTGTGAATAGGTGGAAGCATCTGCTTACTCCATCAGGACTTCTAGGGTAGTCGGGCCTTGGCACTCACACATTAAAATACTGTTTATGTTATTTTATTGCAAGTTACTTTTCTTTCATTTCCCCTTTACGTTACAGAAAGGGAAGCATTTTGCTTTCTGTTTAAAGTTGTGTATGTAGGTAGGTTATATCATCTATGACTTTCTCTCCCTCCTTCCCTTTCTTTTTGTTTGAGATGGAGTCTTGCTCTGTCACCCAGGCTGGAGTGCAGTGGTGCGATCTTGGCTCACTGCAACCTCTGCCTCCCGGGTTCAAGCGATTCTGGTGTCTCAGCTGGGATTACAGGCGCACACCATCACACCACGCTAATTTTTCTATTTTTAGTAGAGATGGGGTTTCGCCATGCTGGCCAGGCCAGGCTGGTCTCAAACTCCTGAGCTCAAGTGATCAGTCCGCCTCGGCCTCCCAAAGTTCTGGGATTTCAGGCGTGAGCCTCATCTATGAATCTCAATTTAGGACAGTAAAAGTGTCATTACAAAATATTTATTGTAAAAAAGGGTTGGAGGTTGAGAATCTCAATTCTAGTCAGTCTCTCAGTGTTTGGTTTCTTCCTACCATTTTTCCCCCTAGGACCAGCCAGAAAGCAGCTTTTTTTTTGTCCCCCCCAACAAGGAGCCCACTGTTTCCTCTCCCAGCCCAAACTCAGGCCTACGAACAACAACAGCACAACACACACACACACACACACACACACACACACACACACACACCCCCCTCCACTTCAAGGTATAGCCAAGAGCTTCTGGAGCCGTCAAAAAGGTCTGTACCTGCTGTCTTTAGAGCTTCCAGTTTGCCCTTGGTCAAGAAATACTGTTTGCTAGGCTCTGCTGGAGTACATCAGGTAATACTGGCTTCTAAACCACCCTGAGGTTCTTTTCTCTTGTCCTTTTACTCCCTTCGTACTTCAATTTCTCTCCTTGATGTCCCCCTCCCTGTTTTGTTTTTTGCCTCCAATCCGTTCTGCGCGTTCCCTGCAGAGCAGGCGAGTAGCAATGCTGCTGGACCATGGAGCTGCTCTAGTCTCCCAGAAATCTCTTCTACACCCAACCCTTCTTGCGCTTAGGTGGTCCTCAGTCCCCCTCCCCCACCTCCTTCTGACCCAGGCTTCTTTCTCGCCCTCCGGTCGCAGTTCTCCTGGGCATCTGCCTCTGCCTCTCTCCTCTCACCCGGATCTAGGGCTGCCTTCTCTTTGTGCAGCCGTCTTTCTCCACCTTCATCCCAGACTCCCTGTCTCAGCGCCAGCTCCTCTGCCTTTGGCTCGGGTTCCCTCTCCCCCACCCCAGCTTCCAGTTGTTTGGCCCGCAGGTCCCTCGGCAGTGACCGGCGCCCCCCGACGAGTGCGTGTGCACCAGGGCACCTCCCTCTCCCCCACCTCTCAGCCCCGCGCCTCTCCACCGCCCGCCCCACCGCGCTGTGGGCGGTCCAGGGCGGGGCTGGGATCCGGGGCGGCTCCCGGGGCTCGGGTTGTGGGAGGCGCCCTCTCCCCGGTCTTCCCCTCTCTTCCCCCCGCCCTGCCTTCCCTTGCACCCTCCTTCTTCCCTCCGCCCGGGAGCTCTCCCTGGTCCCCGGCGCCGCCTCCTTCCCTCCCGGCTCCCCGCTCCCCGCTCCCGTGGCTGCCGCCGCCCCGGGGAAGAAGAGACAGGGGTGGGGTTTGGGGGAAGCGAGAGAGGAGGGGAGAGACCCTGGCCAGGCTGGAGCCTGGATTCGAGGGGAGGAGGGACGGGAGGAGGAGAAAGGTGGAGGAGAAGGGAGGGGGGAGCGGGGAGGAGCGGCC